>NC_000003.12:157644967-157947998 GCF_000001405.40 Homo sapiens
TGGGTGCTTCTCTCTTTCTGCTCTTTAAATGGTCTCTTTTCAAAACAGAGAAGACATTTTGGCTAACTGCCCCCCTTAATCCCAAAGAAAGAGGATGATGGGTGTCAGTGTATCTAAGAGTGGGAGTAGTCGTGGTGAGCAGATAAGAGTGGTCAGGGTGAGCAGATAAAAAGCTGACACCAAGATGGCTTTGGGTAAAGAGGAATAATTATTTTCTGTTTTCTCTAGGATTGGGTTCAAGGATAGGATGGGAAAGAACCCAGAACTGGGCAACAGAAAGTAAAAGCTTCCATTCTTTCTTTGCTACTAAAGAGCTGTGTAATCTTAGAAGTAAAAGTCTGACATCAGTTGTCTTGTTTTTACCTACCTGTATGTGAAAATCAAATTAAGTAGTAAACAGGAATATTGTGTGAGAAGTATAATGTTCCCCAAAGATGTAACCAATCTAGACTTTGCCAAAATTGTTATTTAATCCAGATTCAAGAAAGCAAAATCTACACATCTGTACTTCTATTGAACAAAACTTAATGAGGAATGTCCACTTCTGAGTGCTGATCTGGGAACTATTGACACGAAGGTGAATTAGGTAGATGTGCTCTCTGACCTCAGGCTCTTTACTGTACCAAGAAATAAAAAAAAAAAAATTGTACAGAGCAGTCAGCCTTTGCTGGGTTATTGGGTATCCTGCAGCAACAACCCCCAAATCTCAGGTGTCTTACATCTACAACTGATTTTCCTTCATTCATGTTTATGATGCTGGTTATGACTTTGCCCACATGTCTTTTCATTCTGAAATCCAGGCTGATGAAGAAATCTTTACATGGAATATGCTGTTCCCATGGACAAGGAGAAGCAAAAAGTCTGGTGAAAACACACCAAGGCTTATAAGACTTTCATCAGTCCTAAGGTACATTGCATTCCCTTCTATTGGCTACAGCAAGTCCTACAGCCAAGCCCACAAGTCCATTATCACTGGGGCAAGGGTACTCCATGAAACCTTGCAAGTTGCATGGCAACAGGCAGTGATATATAACCCTTATGGGGAAGGAAGTGATTAACTGAGCAGGATAATCGAATCCGTTCCACAGCAGGCAATCTCAAGGTAGTGTGACAAGCTGAGGTAAGGAAAGTTTAGGGTACCAGGGAAGGCCAAAGAAGGAGGACCTGACCCTGATAGAATTGTGGATATAGGAAGGTTTCAGAGTAAGTGACTTCTGGAGATGAGCAGGAATTAGCCAAGTGATTGGAGTTGGAGGAGGAAAAATGTTTCAGGTAGGAAAAAATTCATGCACAGTGGGTCCCCAGCAAGAGGAAATACGGCAGATTCAGAGATCTCAAAGTGGTTTGCATGGCTGGATTCTTGGCTGAGACCCAATGTACATGAATTTTTTTTGCTGCCTAAAACATTTTTCCTCCAACTCCATTCACTTGGCTAATGCCCGCTCATCTCCAGAAGTTATTTACTCTGAGAAACTTTCCTATATCTCCAGTTCTGTCAGGGTCAGGTCCTGCTTCTTTGGCCTTCCCTGGTACCCTCAACTTTCCTTACCTCTGCTTGTCACACCATCTTGAGATTGCCTGCTGTGGCACAGATTCTACTATCTGGAGCACAGAATAGAAAGGTGGAGTGAGGAAAACTAAGGCTAGAGAATTTGGGGCCTTATAAATAGGGTGCCCGCATAATTTACATTCTATCATATATAGCTTCCAAATCTAAACACTTTGGAGAGTGAAAGGAGATTCTCTTAGTAAGTATACTGGGACAACAGGCACGAATCATACTATCCCAGGAAAACCAGAGTGAAGTTCATCTGACTGACAAGCCATGTTCTGGAGCTTGGACTTTAACCTGTGACAAGACTTTGAAGGGCTCTAAGCAAGGAAAAGACAAGCACAAAGATTTACATTTTAGGAAGCTCATTCTGGCTACAGTGTGAAGGATAGATCTGCAGGGGAAGAACAGAGTCAAGGACACCCTAGACTATAGTAATAAGCCAGGTGAGAGAAGACGGATGGCTAGGCACTCACATACATGCACACACACGTACACTCAAGCACATACACATACACACACTCATGCTGCTATATATAAAAGCTGGGTTCATTTCAGCCAAATGAAATATTCCTGGCCTACAATAGTCTCATAAAGTCGTATTGTTGTTTTCAGGGAGTGATCAGGAACAAAAAGAAGAAACTAACAACTTCAGATCATAATATACAGGCTAAGGAATATTTAGTGATAACAGGAGTTCTTCCATTGAACAAATACATGAAGAAGACTCAAAAACATGTAAACACTTCTACAGGACTTTGAGTTCCAAAAGACTGGCTTTCCTTGAGGATTTCTAATGTGAAATGTGATTGGTATGTACATCCAGCAGAAATACCCACTGTGCTTTGTGCCCAAGACAGCTCAGAAATGGGGTAGGTTCCAATTGCCTGGATTGGTAGCACTAGTGATTTGTGTCTGAGATCTTCTGGGTGTTTATGCTAAGAGCCCTAAAATGAAATGAGCCATCATTATTATTTGGATTCTTTCCACTGGGGCAAGAGGCCTTTGCTGAGCCATCTTTAAGATGAACACATTTGCTGCTCTGTGGTTGGAGGGGATGAGCTAAGATTGGAAAAGATGCATTTGTGATGTTGCATTGCATCTTGTGTGAGAACCTGGAGGTGAGGCAGCATTTCTCAGTGAGCAATTCTAATCAAGGAGAATTAACCCTAACTATTGGTAGAACAGAACACCCATAAACAGTGATCCACAGGCTCCAGGGGATCTCCTTTCCATCCTGCTGATGCCAAGAGTCATGCCTTTCCTGTCACACTTGGCCTCCTTTCTCTCTTTGTCTGTGTCTTGTTTTTGTTTTTTTCTTTCTCATTTTATTTTAGCACATATTACATTCTAACAGCCATGTACAGAGCTCTTTGATATAAAAGTATAGCAAAAATATTCATGCTTTTGTCCCAAGTTCGAACTGAATGCAGCAATCACATTCGTCTATGATCCCATCCCCATCAAACCCTTAATCATATGCGTATGTCCTCTTTTGCTTATTTTGCAATTTTGCAGCACAGTCTAGCATGCTCACAATGCAAATCTCTCCCTCGCCTCTACTGTTGTGCTCCCTCATTTCCTCCCAGGGCCTTCCAAGTCAGGTTTTGTAGCTGTTCCAGTCTCATGGTGTTTTCTAATCCACATTTCCAGCCACCTTGTCTTCTTGCCTACAGCTGTTCCATTGCTGACTTTGTTGCTCCTTTTCCTTTTTCCATCTGCCAGCCTTATACAATTCTCAAAATATTTTAAAGACAAATGCTTTTGAATAATAGTGGTAGCTAACACTTTCTGACAGCTTCCAATGTGACAGGATGAGAAATGAGCCCTCTGCAAGGACTGCTTATGTCACCTTCACCTCCATCAGTGAGGTAGGTGTTTTATTAGCCACGTTGGACAGAATTGGACACTGAAGTCAAGTGCACAGTCATAAAGTGTAGAACCTGGTAAGAAAAAGCCCCAAGTGCCTGATATAGAGTATGTGTATGAGTTAGAATTGTGTTTGGCTGCAAGTAATAGAAAGGAAAGGAAAAAACCTCACTCCAATTTTAAAAAAAAGTTTTATTTTTAATTACAAACAATTATATATATTTATGGGGTACCAACTCCAATATTTTAAATGGGGATATAGTTTTACCACATTGCAAGAGATCCAGAGTTAGGTAGATACCTAGATTGGTTCAGCAAATCAACTGTGCTAGGACAGATGTCTTTCAAGATGGCTGTACAGCTCTAGTGCCACATCCGCTTTCACAGCCAGAAGAAACAGGACCTCCTTCTTAGACATTTTGCTTATTAAAGAAGGAAACTATGCCCTACCCCACCACTACTACCACCACAAGAAAATTTCCCTTACTCTTCACTGGCCAGAACTGGGCAACCCCCTCCCGTCCCCCAGTAGATCAGTTATTGTCCAGTGGTAAGGAATTTGCCATGACTGATTTACACCCCTCCTACTTCATTCCTTGGAGTTGGGGTAGAGACCTGCACACATTAAGCTATCTTTAATTCAATAATGGAACAGACTGGAATTACGTTGCAGGGAAGAAGTAATGGAGATGGCCATTGGAGAGGCAATTTATAGTATCTACCAAAACTTAATGGAAGTTTGTCTCCATCCCTACTTCCTTTAGAATAGAGAGAAATTTATTCCAGGTCATACTCTTTCAAGTTGAGTTTTCAGTATGGCAGCTGAATTCAGGTGGGTAGCCCTTGTGAATGGCATAAGGTAACTCTAGACCTTAGAGTCAGTCAAATTTTTAGAAAACAGCTAAAGCTTGCTGCCATTCCTCCAAATACCTGAAAGTGATTTAAACAGCACTATCAACATATTTGAAGAACTCTTAAGTATTTTGTGGGACTCAGTGTAAATTGATTCCATGGTAATTTGAAGCACCAAAGACTAAATATTATTCCCCTACCTCATTTTGATCTATGATTATCTGATGTTTATTTAAAAGTAATGGGTCATCTTGTCAGCTGATGGACAAACATCTTCCTTGGGAGATAAAGCACCCAACCAAATAACTCAATTTTCTAGCCTTCATTTGAGACTGCCAGAATGTGGATGTGAATCCTGGAGATGCAGCGACCACCTTGCAACCATGATGCAGCAAGCATGAAGACAAAGCCAGTACTGAGGGGGACAGAGCAAAGTACTAGCAGACTGAGAGGTGCTGACATTGCATAGCTACTACACAGGCCTGCATCATCTATCCCCAGACTTCCTGATAGCTGAAAAAACAGTATTTAAAGCCCTGTATGTGGGTTTCTGTTACCAGCAGCCTAGTACAATTGCAACTGATGTAGTTTTGTGTTGCAATTAAAACAATTGCCATGTAGATGGAAGTGGGGTTTCAGAACATTTTGGGATAAAAGAAAACTTGAGCCTCATCTGAATAAGTAATTTTCACTTAAAATTATTAACTAGCCTGGAGTAGAAGTGACCAATCCTAAATGTCCTTTTGGGCTCATCCTCGCTTCACTTGCCTCTCTTCCTAAATATATAACCACTGAAAATCCCTTAGCTTGGTGTCTGACCTGTAGTGAGTACTCAAAAAATATTACAGATTATTAAGTTTTTAAGGCTATTTCAGTTTCACTTTCACCATCTTTGAAGTAATGGCAATAATATTCTGCCAAATTGTCAAGATTAACAGAAGTGACATATGTGAAGCAGCCAGAACATTCAATCATTCATGCAACAAACATGACTTGAGCACCCACGATGTGCCAGGCACTGAGGATACAAAAGCAAACAAGATAGACAGAGACTCTGCTGTCATCCTTCTGGGGGCAGACAGATCTGTAAACACTTTGGCCAACTAGGTTGTTGGCTGGTGATTGTGCTGCTAAGAGACAAAAACAGGTGCTGGGATAGAGATGTGTGGGCAGGGTTTTATTTCAGTCTGGGTCAGGGAAGGCCTCAGTGAGGAGGTGACCTCTAAGCTGAAAGTGAATGATGAGAGAGTGCAAAGGGAGACAAATAACTCAATAGATAGTCTTTCTACTACTTATTTATATTGTTTTGTCACTTAAGCCTTGCAACAACTTTATTATATTACTCCCATTATGCAAATTGCAAAAATTGAAGTCTAGTAAAGTTAAGTAACTCACTTAAGATTACAACACAAATAAGGGCACAGCCAACATTTGAACCACCATTTAGCCTGAAATGAGAGCTGAACTCCAATACTGTTTAAAGGATAGCCTCTCTGCCAAGATATTTTTATGCTGCTGCAAGTATGAGCAAAAGAGAGGGAGCCTCTCAGCAGGTGGGCTTCAGCAAGAGTTAAGACCATGCCTTGGAAATAACTGACTGAGTTCAAGCTGCAGAGCACATGGTTCTTGCCTGCTCATCTGGGTGTCTTGTGCCTGGCTGCCTGATGAACAGGATTGGGAACTCAGTGTGATTTCAAAATATCACCAAGATGCCCTGTGTTTAAGACTCTAGAGAGTCTGGAAAGATGAGACATTGGTTCTATTCCAATAGCCAATGTCATTCCAGAGCCATCTTTGCCCTATCAACTTGTGTAATACGTTGGTGTCTTAAGCCTCAATTCTGCCTGATAATATGTTAATGAAGAAGAAAATTTTGAGAGGGAAATTTTCATTGCACTCCCCTTAAAACTCTAACATTGTTTTCTTCATGCAAAAAATAATGCTTGAGCACCTACTATGTGTCAAATACAGTGAAAAGGACAGATAGTTTCACTGTTTTCATCAGGCTTTCATCAAGAGTAACAGAAGGAGAAAATATAATAAAATGAACAACAGAATCTCAGGAATAAAGTGATGAGAGGAAAATAAAACTGTGGAAAGAGAGGGACAGGCCTACTTCAGAGAGGCTGGCCAGGGAGGACAGGTGAACTGAGGCCTGAGGAAGGGATGACAAGGAAGAGCCAGCCCTGAGACCATCTGGGCACAGCGTTCCACAGTCCCACCCAGCAACACCACTTGAGAAAGGAGAAACCTTGTAGCATTCAAGAAACAGAAAAAACAGGCCAGTAGAGCAGAACATGGCAAAGCAGGGGAGGAAGGAGTGGGTTGAAGTGGAAGAGATAGGCAGGGGTCACATCATGTGGGACCTTCCTGGACACAATAAAAAACTGGAGTTGCCTATTAGTTCAGTGAAAGCCACAGGAGTGCCACTGTGGCGAGCATACACATGTGCTCTTTTATGCATGGAAAGCTTGGGGGCCCCAATCCCACCCCCAATCACCATTGAGGGGCCTCTGTGAGAGCCTGGTGTCTACCTTTGCCTTGGTCCATTCCTGGATTTCTGGAAAGATAACTGGAATATGAATGAAGCTTTCTGGATGGTGTGGAGCACCATCTTCCTACATGGATGGATGCTTCCTGTGCAAGCATCCATCACTGGGAGATGACAGATACTCCAGGAGGCTAGAAGCCAAGTGAAAAATATTCCTGTTTTTCTTTCTCCACTTCGGCATATACGTATTTCAAGAAACAAGCCTTTTCCTCACCAACCTGTCCCACAGCCACCCTGAATTTCCCTGGTGTAAATGGACATGGTCATTTCATGCTAACCTCATGGAATACTCTGAATACTAGTGAAACAGGTCCTTGGTCCAGCCCTGTGTAGTCATTTATTGGAAGTAATTTTGAGTAGAAAATGTCCTTCTCAGGATTTTTAGCTCTTATATGAAAGTATTCCAATGCTACTCTCAAGAACCCAGAAAGGTCAGATATTTTAGTTTAAGCCCATCTCTAATTAATTGTAGTATTTATGTTTAAATAGATCAATAGCTGAGTTTGACCTCAATGTACAATGTGAGCTTTACAATATCATTGCAATATGAAGGAAGCTGTGATGTGTGGGCCAGGCAGACCACTTATATCGAACTCAGCAATATGGACGAGAAGCTTTTGTTCTAATGAACATTGTATTTCAATGTTAAAAATGGGAAAGCCACACTTGGGTTCCATCCACAGCTGAGCTCTGAACCTGAAAGGAACAGGAGGATCCTGGGGGAAAGAATTATAGTCTCCTTTTAGCAGTAAGACAAACCCAGCTGGCTGGAAACCACAGCCATGGCTCCAAGTCAGTTTGTCTTCTTGAAGAGGAAAAATAGAGAAAAATGAACAATTCTCTCATAACTTACACACATTATTCTTTTGCATTCAACAATTATTTTGAGAATTATTCTTAAATGAATCATACTTGGGGGAAAGTGGAACTCTGACAAGAGGGGTTGGGGCCAAATTTGATTGAGAAGATATGTTAGCATCTTTTCAAGAATGTTCATTTAGTGAATATTTGCCTGATCTCCTGACTTTACAGATGAGAAAACTGAGGCCAGAGAATGCATGTAATTTGCTCCAATTAGAAAACTCTATTATCTGGAATCCCAGTCCAGAGCTATTCAGAACATACATATACACTACACTTGGACCCACACACTCATAGAGAGACATGTCCACAAACACCAACACCTATGCACTCCTGCATATACACACATGTGGTCCCAAGGACAAAAAAAAGCCTCCTCAAAGAAGCAACTTGAAGGGCATTGGGCCAGCACTCAATCTCTGATTCTCTGTGTGAAATTACACCATTAAAATTCTTTATTTTGTATCTTGACTTTTATTTTCTGGAGACATCTATTAAAATGCAAATGTTCTTAGGGAAGAGTAATGCTGTTAACTATCTGATTATTAATGAAGAATTTAGGCAGAAAATATGGCTTCCTATGAAAGTGGTGCACTTCATGTGTGCATGCCTGTGTATGTCTGTGTTTGTGTTTGTGTGTACCTTTGTGAGTGTGTGACTGTATGCAAGTGTGTACATATGTGTCTCTATATGTGGGAGTCCATACATGTTAGTGTGTGTCTCTATGTGAATTTGTCCATGTGTAATGTAAATGTATGTTCTGAATAGCTCTGGATTAGAAGTCCACATAATAGAATTTCCTAATTGGAGTAAGTCAATTCTCTGGCCTCAGTTTTCTCATCTGTAAAGTCAGGAGATCAGATAGAATGTCTTTCAGGTTTTCTCATTCTCAAATGCTCTCTGTACAATTTTGCCCAGAGCCAGCCCTTTCTGGCCTGTGTAGTAAACTTTATTGTCTGATTGTAAATTAAATAATTACTTTTACCTCTCACCAACAATAAGCACAAGTTATTCAATAACTGTGAAAAAAATTCACAAAAGTACCAATTTTTTAAAAGACGGAGCAAAATGAGCAATGTTTTCCTGTCATTTTAAATTTATCTGTTGTACTTTCTGGAAGATTTGTTGAGTATCTTTGGAAGAATAGATGCTAAACTATCTCCCTGCCCATTCTATGGTATCCTTACAAGAAATAAATGGTGTGTCAGAGCTCAGAGTGGACCTCTGCGGATGAAGGTGCTGACCAAGCAAAGTACTCAGCTTGTGCAAGATGGTCTGTTTCCTGAGGAAAAGGGAAGGAGGAATGACGGGAAATAATCACAGCTTCCTTTCCTACGTATTACAAAAACCAGAATATTAACAAATCACACTTATCCCAGACTAGTCTATTTTTCCTTTTTACTTATCATGTTATCTATATGATTCCCTGGGATACCATTTATTAGCTACATGACTTGGGCAAGTTGTCTAACCCTTCTGTGCTTCAGTTTCTTCATATGTAAAGTGAGGATAATAACAGTAATTAACTCATAGGGCAGGTATAAAGTCTAGATAAGTTATTGTATATAAAGCCTTTAGAATACTACCTGGCACTTACTAAACATTACATACATATTAGCTAGTGTGTTTAATTTTGTTATTCAAAATATGAGCATTTTCATGCTAGTGAAGTGCACCATTGAAAATGGTAAACCTGGAAGCCAGCAGCTAGAAAATTCCAGGGCTTCCTTCTCTTGGCTTTTACGTCAATAAATTAAAATCTGATATTTGCATTTCCACATACTGAACAACAGTTGGGAGCCAAGTACCAGTAAATCTGTTTACTGTTGTTACAGTAAAACAACTGTATTGTTGCCTTGGTCAGTTCAGGCTGCTGTAACAGAATATCATACACTGACTGGGTGGTGTAAACAACAAGCATTTACTTTTTACATGTTTGCAGGCTGGGAAGTCCAAGATGGAGGTGCTGAAAGGCATGGTGTCTGGTGAGAGCCCATTTCCTAGTTCATAGATGGCTATATCACTGTGTCCTCACATAGTGGAAAGAGGGCAAGAGAGCTCTCTGGGGTCTCTTTATAAGGTCACTAATTCCATTCATGAGGGCTCCACCCTCATAAACTAATTACCTCCCAAAGGTCCCACTTACTAATGCCATCACACTGGTGATTAAGATTTCAACATACAAATTTTGAGGGGACACACACATGCACACATTCAGTCCATTGCGACGGTGTTTTCTGGGGTAGTAAAAATAGATTTCCATGCCCCAACACTGAAAGCAGGGAAAGCTTAGAGCCACCTGTTATCCTTACTGCTTCCTCTATATCATATTAATATGATATAATTTAAAATGACAGTTTGCCACAGCTTTTGAGCAGATAATGCACTTAATTTTGTAGTGTAGAAACATGAGTCTCTTTTTAATGCCATATATTTGATTTTTAGTAGCTGGTGAAAGCATTTTCCTCTAGGATGAATCTGTTCTATGCTGAACCAGGTTGTCTTGGATGAAGGACCTCTCTCCCACACCAGCTGGGTGTGCCTGCAGTCCACTTTCTCATCTATACTCACCCACCCTCCTTAACCAACACAATTATTTCATTAGCAGGCTAAAAATACACAGTCTTAACATAGATGTGCCTCACAGAACAATCTTTGTTTCGCTGTGAATTAATTAACTGTAGCTCTGTTTGTTTGTTTGTTTGTTTTTGAAACAGAGTCTCACTCTGTTGCCCAGGCTGTAGTGCTGTGGCATGATCTCAGCTCACTGCAACCTCTTCCTCCTGGCTTCAAGCGATTCTCCTGCCTCAGCCTCCCAACTAGCTGGGATTACAGGCACCTGCCATCATGCCTGGCTAATTTTTTGTATGTTTTTAGTAGAGACAGGGTTTCACCATGTTGGCCAGGCTTGTCTTGAACTCCTGACTTCATGTGATCCACCCACCTTGGCCTCCCAAGGTGCTGGGATTACAGGCATGAGCCACTGCGCCAGGTCTCAGTGTAGCTCTTAAAGCCACATTTTGACATGCAGCTGAAAAGCCTTTTTTAAAAACTTTTATTTTAGGTTCAGGGATACATGTGAAGGTTTGTTACATAGGTAAACTCGTGTCATGAGGGTTTGTTGTACAGATTATTTCATCATGCAAGAATTAAGCCTGGTACCCAATAGTTATCTTTTCTGCTCCTCTCCCTCCTTCCACCCTCCACCCTCAAGTAGACCCCAGTGTCCGCTGTTTTCTTCTTTGTGTTCATAAGTTCTCTTCATTTAGCTCCCGCTTGTGAGAACAAGTGGTATTTGGCTTTCTGTTCCTGCATTAGTTTGCTGAGGATGATAGCCCCCAGCTCCATCCATGTTTCCACAAAAGACATGATCTCATTCTTTCATATGGCTGCATAGCATTCCATGGTGTATATGTACCACATTTTTAAAAAATCCAATCTGTCATTGATGGGCATTCAGACTGATTCTATGTCTTTGCTATTGTGTATAGTGCTGCAGTGAACATTCACATACATGTGTCCTTATCGTAGAATGGTTTATAATCCTCTGGGTATATACCCAGTAATGGAATTGCTGGGTCAAATGGTAGTTCTGCTTTTAGCTCTTTGAGGAATCACCACAGTGCTTTCCACAATGGTTGAACTAATTTACACTCCCACCAATCATGTATAAGTGTTCCCTTTTCTCCACAACCTCACCAGCATCTGTTATTTTTTGATGTTTTAGTAATAGGCATTCTGACTGGTGTGAGATGGTATCTTGTTGTGGTTTCGATTTGCGTTTCTCTAATGATCAGTGATATTAAGCTTTTTGTCATATGCTTGTTGGCTACATGTCTGTCTTCTTTTGAGAAGTGTCTGTTCATGTCCTTTGCCTATTTTTTGGTGGGGTTGTTTGTTTTCTCTTGTAAATTTAAGTTCCTTATAGAGGCTGGATATTAGACCTTTGTCTGATGCACAGTTTGCAAGTATTTTTTCCCATTCTGTAGGTTGTCTATTTACTCTGTTGATAGTTTCTTTTGATGTGCAGAATCTCCTAAGGTTAATTAGATCCCAGTTGTCAATTTTTGCTTTTATTGCAATTGCTTTTTGTGTCTTTGTCATGAACTCTTTGCCCATTCCTTTGTCCAGGATGGTATTGCCTAGGTTGTCTTTTGGGGTTTTTATAGTTTTGGGTTTTACATTTAATTCTTTATTCTATCTTGAGTTTATTCTTGTATATGGTATAAGGAAAAAGTCCAGCTTCGGTCTGTTGCATATGGCTAGCCAGTTATCCCAGCACCATTTACTGAATATGGAGAAAACTCTTAATCATCAAATAATTCAGTCCCTTCTAATTGAATCCTTGTGGGTAGATAATAGATTTAACTCAAAATTCCTCCCCCAACCCATTTAGAGGATGAATGCCAGACTACAAATAATTGCTCTGACTTTGGACTGAGACATTTTATCCTTAAGCCCCCCTCAGTCACCTCCACTACCACTGAGGTAGGGATTATGTCTCTTGTTCCACCTTTTTTCCAAGGCCAGTCTTAACTTCTGGAGCAAATGTTCCTAGCTGATATAGTTTGGGGCCTGCTATCACTGAACTGTCAACATAGGAAGATTTTTCTGTCACTGAATTGTCACAGGCAGAGAGGGATACACTTGCAGATCAGCTCCATGGAAACCATGCTGCCTCCTACCTGCCTTCCATACCTTTGATATGGCCCTTTGGAGCTGCCAGTTTTCTGAGGCTCAGCCAAGTCTAGCATCAGGTCTGCAGTGCATGGGGAACCTGCAGAACCTAGAACACAGTAAGATCAACCTAGGCTCGCCCCTATCAGAATTGAGCATATGGCTCTCAAACCTCAACTGCCTTCCAAGCCTGTCTCCAATGGTTCTAGGAACTTTTTTGGATGTTCTCTAGAGCTACAGAATTTGGAGCGTCTTGGGAGAATGGAAGCATGTAAGTGCATCGCTATCTCAGGAACTGAAAGAAAAACTACATAGACAAAATAAATTTAACAGTTATTTGAGCATTAAAGGAATCAGGTAACACTCAAAGCCAGAAGAGGTTCAGGGAGTTCTGCTCTAACAGCAAGAGCAGTGGGCTTTTGTAGCCTATACACTGTAGCAAAGTAATTACAGGCAGCCATTTGTATTCATGGGCTTCGCATTGCAAATTCAACCAACCACAGATATCCAGGAAAAGAAAATTGCACAAAGTTCCAAAAAGCAAAGCTTGAATTTGTTATGCACGGAGTATTACATTGAATCCACTCAGATGAAGTGATGTGTAGACATTGTATTAGGTATTATAAGTAATCTACTGATAATTTGAGTATATAGGAGGATATGCATAGGTCAGGTGCAAATAAATTATGCAAGATACTTGAGAATCCTTGGATTTTGATATCAGTGGGGGTCCTAAAACGAATCTCCTACAAATGAGGAGAGACTGTAGTACTTGATTGGCTATAACTAGGCATTTGCCTTATTTGGGTATGACCTGGTGGAAAGACCCTAGTTAGAGGTTAGCTGTCAGTTTCTGATTGGTAAAGTCTCTAGTTGGAGGTTTCTGATTGGTTAGGCTTAAATTAATTTTATTGTTTCTATTGAGATGGGTTTTGGTTTGCTTATGTAGGAACCCAAGGCACTGGAGTTGTCTCGGCCTAATGGTTGATTCTTTTAACACAGGCTACATCACAGCCTCTTTACCCAAACACCCATTTTTGTTTTAAGCCATGTGAGGAACAAGCTGGGTTCTGTCAGGTACAACTGAAAGCAACTTTATTCTTTCCTCATGACTGCCTTGCCTACCCAGTTTGTAGGATAGTTCTTTCCCCTGCCACCTCCTTAGATGAAAATCGAGCAGGTCCATGCCTTTTCTGGTTACTCCTGACTAATACATCTTCTGGTCACTTCAGTCCTCAAAAAGCCTCAAGCCAATAATAAATATGTCTAGTCCTATCTGATAATCAAAACTCTGAACTTTATTTCAGGTTATGTCTTCTCTCTTCATGTAGATGGATCTTGTAAACCTGTGGTCCACTTATCTGTTTCCCCACTCTGCTTGGTCTGGTGGCCTAGCAGAAAAGGGGTTACTTGACTGGCTTCTATAATGGTATTGGTTCATTCTGCTAGGACAGATCGTTAAAGCCATCCTCCATCTTCCATTTCCCTGCATTGTCTGTGACAGGTCACTTACAATGCTTTCTGCAGTCCCTGGACACTGCTGGTACACCTCCAGGCTCTTTCAGTTAAGATCTCCTAACTTCTATGTAGGGTCTTGTTGGATAGTGTTATGGGTGGAATTGTGTCTGCTCCTAGAAAGCTATGTTGAATTTGTAACTTCAGTACCTCAGAATGTGACCTTATTCGGAAATAGGGTATTTGCAGATAAAATGAATTTGAGAAAAAGTCATACTAGATTAGGGTGATTCCTAAATATGATGATCAGTATCCTCATAAGAAGAGGAAAATTTGGACACAAACACATGCAGTGAAGAAGGCCATGTAATGACAGAGGCAGAGATTGGAGTTTTGCTGCTACAAGCCAAAGTTTGCAAGGACTGTCAGCAACCACCAGAATCTAGAAGAACAGATTTCCCTCTGAGCCCCCAAGAATAAGCCAAGCCTATCCACACCTTGATTTAAGACTTCTATTCTCCAGAACTCTGTGTGAATACATTTCTATTTTTTGAGCCACATAGTTTATGCTGTTTTCTTACAGCAGCACTAGGAAACTAATATACACAAACTCTCTAGACTGAGCTCTTGAGGTTCAGGGATTATACATTCCTCATTGTGAATCCCCCACCCCTATGCAGCATAATTTCTAGTACAGAAGTCATTTCATTAAATGTTGAGTAAGTGAATGAGATCTACATGATTGGAGAAAACACTCAGAAATTTGATGTTGATTGGATGGTTGGTTTAACAGTTTGCTTTTCATTTTTCAATTTGGTCTTATGCAAAAGAGCCATACAGTTATAAAGCTTTTATAAAGATAAGAAAAAGATGCATTGTTATATATAATTAAAATGTACCCTTGTTAACTAACTTTATTAGTTAACGTATACAATAATTCAATCAATTTTTGTTCCTTATATGTTGCCATGTGTAAAGAAATTTCCCTTTAAAAGCTGTAATACATTAAATTGTAGTTTACTGAATTTTGAATGCCCTTTTAAAAAAGAGAAACAACAGGGATAGTAGTAGTAGCTAGAAACGTAGTGTTATCCACAGAACTTCTACTTCCTTGCTTGCCTTCTTTCTCTCTTTTGTTTTTTAATTGTTTTCAAATTAAAGCAACCATGTAAATTTTGAGCAGTATCAAAGTTCTGCTCTGGCTGACTCTTCTGAAAAACCCACACATCTCTGCAAAATGATCATTACTACTGTAAGGACAGACTCAGCAGGATGTCTTCTTCTTTTCTTGTTCCTTTGACCTCTTTTCTTGCTTCTCTCCATCTTAAATACATTAATGTTATCAGATGCAAGAACATTGAAATCTTGTGGGCACATCTATCCAGACAGCATCATAAAAGGAGGGGTAACTTAGGTCTGCCTTTTTTTTTTTTTTCTGAAATTAGTCACCACCCAGCTTAGTAGGCTGAAATGAGCAGGACAGACAAATCAGGCGGACAAACCTTCAGCGCTTTCCTCACCCAAACTCCTCAAATAGTGTGATTACAAAGTAATAACCCCAAAGGCAAAAGCTTCAATTACCCAGAGATGTTCAAGACCCCGGGCAATCTGTTCTTTAACTCGGCAGCATGGAATGCAGAAGTAAATCATCTTTGTGATACCCCAGAGCTAATAGGATAGAAGATGCAAACAGAGAAAGTGATCTAATTGGTAGGGGAGAAAGAGGCTGGGTGGATTTCAGTTTCTCCACCAGGAAGGTGGGTCATCGATGGAACATACTTTTAATTAAGGAAGTTTGAGAGGCTTCTTTATCACATGGGTAAACAATTTCTTAGAGTAATAGAGAGGTTGTCAATGATTCTTTTATGTTCAAAAAACCCTATATTGTGCTGTAGGTCAATGAGAAACTGTGGAAGGTGAGATCTGTTCAATACTCATGGCCTAAGGTCTGCAGAAATTTCCATAATATAAGGAAGGATCCTACAGGGACAAGAATGCTAAACTGCAGAGTTTTTTGTTTTTTGTTTTTTTTTTTCTTCTGGCTATCTCAGCTTCTTTGGTCGTCTTCCATAAATATCCAGAACAACTGGGTTGTGAAACTGCCTTCTTTTAAACAAACCTGGGAATTAAAATTAAATCTTTGACCAATAAATCTGTCTTAATAAAAAAAAGTATCAACCCAAGCATGCATCAGACAGTAGGGGGAAAATTTGTGTGGATAGAATGAGATTTTAAAATGCAATTACAGAAGAGGCAGCTATTTATTTGATTATCTCCTATCTTGGAATCTTGGACTTGAGCTCTATAAATGTCTGGTAAGGTATCTGGTTCTTTTATCCACTACCAGTATTTTTCTTTACCCTGTACTGATTTTTTATACCACTGTTGTTCCAAACCAGTTGTTGTTGGGGTTCTCATGGTCAAATGAATATCCCAAAAGGGATCACATTTTCATAGTTTTCTTTCAAACCGTGGTTTCAAATCCAAGTCTTTAGTCTTATGGGCCCATCAAAAAGAACATGTTGTTCTCAGTAAGTAAAGACAAAGGCACAAAATAGGACATTTCACCCAATTTAAAATCTGATCAAGGCCAACTCAAAAAAGAATTCTAACATGAGAGCAACAGATTTTATGCGGCTAAGTTTGCTGCAGTATTGGGGGAAAGTACAGTACTGGGGGAAAAATATGTCTTCTTGCATTCATTCTTATCAGTGGTAATTCATTCTTTTCTCCAAGGAAGGCCAGGATGCTGGGTTACCTGTTTAGCTCAAAGGAAGGGCCTGACAGGCTTCGAAGTAGGTGTGATTGGGAAGTTGAGGGTGTTGGAGGTCCTATTCCTGGCAATGCTGATTTGAGGGGGCATTTGTCTTTTTACAAAAATTCTGTGCAGTGCTTCATACACTTGGGGACATCCATGCCTTTGAGTTTCAGAAACAGGTAGACCCCACCCCAACTACAAAAGTGGAAACTGCCATGTTTTTGCTTTCCAGCTTCTCTGGTGGAGAGGGCATGAACTTATGACATGGCCTGCAAAAATCAAACTCAACCACAGCGGACAGAATCAGAAGCCAAAGAAGCAGACACTATGTAGTCACTTTCTCAGGTGCTGATAGTACTTGATAGTTGCAGGTGACCAAGTTCCAGATGCTGCAGTGGCTGTGGCTTAAGCGGCATCATCTCACGCTTGGTGAATGTAGTGAGGGTTTTTCTCATCAGGCCTGCTTTTGGCATGATTGTGACTGCTTAGCCTGAAGTATCTTTCTCCAGCCCTCATTATAATCTGTGAAATAGCCAATATTCTTTTCATACATGATGCTTCTCGGCTGAAATCAGCCAGAGTTCTGCTGCTTACAACTATGAGCACTGAAGTTCATAAATAAATATCAGCACTTCCTTTGCTCTAACTGCTATGTAGGGTATGGAAAATTTTTCATTTATATCCCCTAAGGGGATGTTGTTACTGAATGTTGACTGCTTTTCTTTAGTCTAAATTAATTAAATGACACAGTATCTGTTGTAGAAAACAAAGATCATTTTACACAGTATACTGTGAATAGTGATTATAATGTGTGCTCTTTCCAGAGAAATAGAATGAAACAATGTGTTCACTCAGATAGCTCCTGTTGGAAATTGCAAGGCTGTCCTCTACATTGTAATCCATTTCTTCCTTAGCTCTAATGTAGCAAACTCCACAGTGATTTAATAACAAAGTGACAGCAGTAAAATCCAGTGTAGGGATAAGAGATGGAAATAAAATAAGTGGGTAAATTTTGCTATATGGAAAACATGTGGAAGACACAAGCATTTCTCCATGAAAGATAGGAAAACAAGGAACCAAGCTGTTGTCTCTGATTTGTGCAACAAGAAAGACTGTTCTTGAGGTTTGGGTCTATTTTCTTGGGACCATCCAGAAGCTAGAGACCAAGGATGCAAAGTGAACTTGTTTTTAAGGCAATCCCATGAACCGAGACTTTGCTTTTCTTTTCTTTCTTTTTTTTTTTTTAATTATACTTTAAGTTTTACGGTACATGTGCACAACGTGCAGGTTTGTTAGATATGAATACATGTGCCGTGTTGGTGTGCTGCACCCATTAACTCGTAATTTAACATTAGGTATATCTCCTAATGCTATCCCTCCCTCCTCCCCCGACCCCACAACAGGCCCCAGTGTGTGATGTTCTCCTTCCTGTGTCCATGTGTTCTCTAAAGCTGACCTGGCAGGAGAGGCTCTTCTTAAGGTTATCCAGTGGAACAGAAGCCTCCTGACCACTCTGCCATAGAGAGTACCTCCTCCCACCTCAGCATCATCTGTATTTAACTCACTTTGTATGTGTGTTCAAATGCTATTCAGCATCTATTGGCTCCCTGACTGTGGCCCTGTTTCATAAATAAATGCATATCAAGGGCAAATTTTGCCCTCAGTGAAGACAAAGAGTTGGCCCTTAATATGCAAAGTCAAAGGCCCTTAAAATGCATTTATTTATTAATAAATCAGAAGAGGTCATGGATAGGTATTCAGATTGTTGCTGAATTTTTGAGAAAAGGACATAATGAAATAAATATCCCACCCACATGAAGGAGATTGGGATGTAGAGTCATGCAAAAGAAGAAGCCACCAGTGATGAGAATGCTGGGTGCATGGGCACAAATCCAGGCT
The DNA here is from genome assembly GCF_000001405.40 of Homo sapiens. NCBI lineage: Eukaryota > Metazoa > Chordata > Mammalia > Primates > Hominidae > Homo > Homo sapiens. The sequence goes on from NC_000003.12 coordinate 157,663,442, forward strand.
CTGGGAGAAGGGGAAAGGACAGGGACTTTCTCCCTTTTCCAAGAAAAGGAAAAGCCAGGTTTTAGGCAGTTAGTTGTTAGTTACTTTGTGTGTTGTTTTGGTTTGCTCTCTCACATAAAGCACCCAAGCTGACAGTTCAAGTGCAGGATATCGTTATTGTCATCAGCATTTTCCATCAAAGGGCGGGTCATCAACGTTATTATACACTTACTGAGTGCCTATTAAGCTCAATGCACTTCAGATTATGATAATTTATGTAATCCTCATGACTTCATACAGTTACATAAGAAAGTAGATAAGAAAACTGAGGCCCAAAATGTCAACCGATGCCTGACAGCTCATGGCTAGTAGGTAGCAGTGAAGGGATCCAAGTCCTAGTCCTTTGAAAACCATTCCTGAGGCTTTGTTCAATAACTCATCAAATTCCTCTTTGAATATAAAAATGAGTTACATGAAAGAGTGATGAGAGCTTTTATTCACATATATGTTGGTAATACACTTCCCATACTGGAATACCCAGACTTTAATGCCTGGGAAATGTGTAACACACTAGGCAACTCAAAATGGAAGAGGGTAAATTGAGCTACTTAAGTGTGAAAGTCCCAGGGGTGGATTTAGTTCTCTTCTCTTTTCCCAGGACAAGTTCATCCTCCAAGAAAGTAATGAATGCCTCTTTCATGGCTTCATCCTAACCTAGATGATTCCTGAATGACCATCTCCAGGCCTACTCCTGTGTTCCCTGGATTTTGCTCCAGCTAGTGCCATGGGCACAGCTTCCCTAGGGAGAAAGCACTGAATGGTTTTACCGCAGAACTGGATCCCACCCTGGACATACACACCCCCACCTCCACCCAGATGCTTTCAGGGGGTTCATCATTTTGGTTTTACCTGCACCCACATTTTGGAAGCTGCTGATAACTTTTAACACTATTCTAAAAGACAATTGAGTTTCCCTGTACTCAGCTTGGCCTGAAATACAGAAAACAGCAAAATGAGTTCTAAGCAGGTTGTAGCAATAGTTATCCAGGTAGTAGCTGAGAAGCCCAGTTGGAAAACTATTTGGGTCAATTTTCTCTGTGTGTGTAATAACTTAGTTAATCCTGAAACCTAAAAGAACAGAAACATTGTTTATTATTTATTCAAAAGTGGTTATGCACTAGGAAGTTTACATGAACTATCTTGTTTGAGCCTCATAATGTTTCTGGGTTATTATGGTGTTATTATTACACCCATATTTATGGATGAAGAAAATCAGACTCAGAAGAATTATGTGCTCAAGAGTACTGAGTGAGCGATGGTTTCAGGATTAGACCCAGATGTGGCCAGCATGGAGGCATGCATGCTCCTCCTCCTCCACGCCATGGCCATGGTCTACTTTATCTGTTCAACCAGAGATGAGCATGTGCATTTGCTTTTCAAAAGTCAATGTCGATATCTGCCAAGGATTTATCACCTGAAATTTAATTATTAAACACATTCATCTTTTTCTACTTGACCTCATGTAGGCATGAGCTACACTTAATGTTGCTGTAGCAAATCTCTTCTCACTGAACTACCTGTTCCAAGACTCAAGCTCCAGCAGCTCTATGTAAGCGGGGAAGACTGAAGGACTGATATAGGACAGGTTACAGGATGTCTCAGCAGAGGGTCACATTGAATAACGCTTTAACTGGTATTTCTACATTTGCACTGTAAACAGGGATTTGATTTGCCTTAACCTGGCTGATGTGGGGAAATTGGATGTTTCAATTATGTAGACTGTCCAAATGTTTGAGTTAGGAGGTCAGGCTACAAGTGATTTTTAAAATAAACCAATAAGAGCCTTAAAAAAAATCCAAAAATGAAAAACAAAAAACTCCAGCAACATCTGCTTATAGAAGGAAAGCAAATACATTAAACTTTCTGAGCTCTTTTTTTTTCTTTGGAAATGAGAAAACAATAAAACTGATATCCACATCTCTGAGTTATGTTTGGAGGGATTGCTAGTACAACCCTAAGCAATTTAATGAAGTGCAAAACTTGCTGGAGACAGGTGATAAAATTGCAATATGGATCTCTCACCTCCTCCCTCCCCAAACAAGTAAATGTGGTTACATTTAAGAAATCAAGAAGTATCTCTTAAGTAACATTAAAATCCTTTCCCTGCTTTCTTTTTGTGTTCCCTATACCCCATAACCAATTTTCTAAAATTCTAAACTTTATGCATATGGTAATAGTAATTATTCTAGGAAGCAGATACTCCTGATGTTGACAAAAATCAACATGTAGTAATAAGGAAAACATACTAATTCATAAATACTATCAAATTTATTGGGTTTCCAGGGACTGTGATTACATGTTAAGTCCTATGTCAAAGTGTAACTAATCAATGTCCATTCCAACTTTTCCATTTATTCTCTCTTCCAAATCATTTTTTCTGTAATCTGTTCTCATTATTCAAGAACCCTTTCCAAAGATCTCAGCCAGGCACGGTGGCTCACTCCTGTAATCCCAGCACTTTGGGAGGCAAAGGCAGGTGGATCGCCTGAGGTCAGGAGACCAGCCTGGCCAACATGGTGAAACCCTGTCTCTACTAAAAATACAAAAATTAGCTGGGCATGGTGGTGCACGCCTGTAATTCCAGCTACTCGGGAGGCTGAGGCAGAAGAATCACTTGAACATGGGAGGCGGAGGTTGCAGTAAGCCGAGATCGCATCGCTGTACTCCAGCCTGGCCAACAGAGTGAGACTCCATCTCAAAAAAACAAAAACAAAACAAAGATCTCAAGCATCCTTTTCTCCATTGTTCCACAAGGAGGTTTGTATGGGGTGGGGGGATGTATTAAAAGCAAAATATATGCCACATTTATTTGTCTCCAATCAATGAGAATAGGATATGTCTATATTTGAGCAAAGTACAAGCATTACATGTGCAGCTTATACACTTGTGCTATGTCCATATGGTCACATTTCTTTCTGTGTTTCATCTCTCTTCATTGCATTTATAAAATATTTCCAGCCAGGCACAGTGGCTCACACCTGTAATCCCGGGCTGATCACGAGGTCAGGAGATAGAGACCATCCTGGCTAACATGGTGAAACCCCGTCTCTAGTAAAAATACAAAAATTAGCCTGGCGTGGTGGCAGGCATCTGTAGTCCCAGCTACTCGGGAGGCTGAGGCAGGACGATGGCATGAACCCGGGAGGTGGAGCTTGCAGTGAGCCGAGATCACGTCACTGCACTTCAGCCTGGGCGACAGAGCGAGACTCTTGTCTCAAAAAAAAAAAAAAATCCATAAAACAATGTGTCTATATTTTATGGTTTTATAATTGTAAATACAGATGGTTTCCAATTTATAATAATTCAAGTTATGATTTTTTCCATAGCATTCTGTATGCTCCTTGACTTATGATGCGACAATGTTTGGATTAAACCCATCATATGTTGAAAATATCCTAAGTCAAAAGTGCATTTTTGACAGGATATTTTCAACTTCTGATGAAGTAGCCCTATCATAAGTTGAGGAGCATCTATAATGCACAAACAATGGTAACAATAACAGACATTTCCAAATGAGAAAAGAAAATCCCATAACACCACTAATAATTCTACTTCTCAATGTGCATATATAATATTTTACATAGCTATAATTCTCTTCTCAGATAAATGCTGCCAATTCATGTATTACCTAATATTAAGTGATGTGTTTTCAAACACAGTACGAGGCTGACCATAATCAAATTAACCTTTTCCATCTCAACCTTGACACTTTAAGAGACAATTATTTAATTATTCTCAAAAGGCTGCCATTGTTCAACAACTTTTGAGCTTCCCCTTGGTATGCTGCTTGTGATGGTTAATTTTATGTGTCAACTTGACTAGGCCATGGGGTGTTCAGATTAAACATTATTTCTGAGTGTGTTTATGAAAGTGTTTCTGGATGAGATTAGCACTTGAATCAGTGGACTCTGTAAAACAGATTGGCCTCCCCAGAGTGCGTGTGGTGGACGGGGGATGGGGGAGTGGAGGGGAGCATTATTCAATCTGTGGAGGGCCTAAACAGAATTAAAAGATGGAGGAAGGAAGAATTTGCTCCTTTTGTCTCATCACTTGTGCTGGAACATCTTCTCTCATCTCTTGCCTTTGGACTGGGATTTAAACCGTCAGCTCTCCAGGTCTCAGACCTTCGAACTTGGACTAAATTACATCACCAACTTTCCTGAATATCTAGCTTGCTTTGCAGACAGCAGATTGTGGTACTCAGCCTCTGTAATCACATAAGCCAGTTCCTCATTTTATGTCTCCTATTGGTTCTGTTTTCTGGAGAACTGTAACTAATATACTACTTTTGAGCTTGCTGTTATGCTTTTGATCCATTTCAAGTGTATCAGAATAAATCTTTGTATTCTGAGAGTGGGTTTGATATTTGGACTCTATCACATTCTGTATCAAGTCAAGTTTGATAAATAATATTAAAGTTGGCTAGAAAATCAAGCAAGAATAATAAACAATACACCTGATGAGTAACCTCTTGAGACACTGAGTTTCTTCTGTGACACATAGATTAGCTCCAAAGATCATTTCCAAGGAAAAGTTCAAAAGTGACTTGAGAAATAGCAGAATCAGTGTAGCAATGTTGGTCTCCCATACAACCACAAAAAAGGGCACAATGCTTATTTGGAGATCGCAATCCGTGTGGGTGGTTTGTAAAAGGAGTTTCATTCATCCATAACTTGACATTCGCACCCACATGCTACTGACAGCCACCATGTGCTTGGCTCTGCTGCTCCAGCTGCTGTAGAGGCTCTGGGGTCTGAGGAGCTCATACCCCATAGTCCTCTCAACCCTGAGCTTCAAACATCTGCCATTTGAGAAGCCAGGCTTTTTCCCAGATTTGCTACATTCAGGAAGAGCATCCCAAAGAAGAGAATCTGATATTTTTTGCAACTCATTTTTAGTCTTGGAAAGCCTGTTCGTTAAAATGCAAAAAACTTCCATGTGTGAGAATCCAAAGACCAGATCCCAGTCCTAGCCCTATACTAACTAGCCTTTGGAAATCATTTCTACTCTCTGGCTGCAGCTTCTGTGCTCATGATTCTCTGTTGATCTTCCACCAGCTTTATACTCCTCCCTGCTCTGCCCTGCTCTGAACCCAGGAATCAATCTCTGTGGTGCCTTCCTTATTCTTTGGCTTCTACTTGGGTTTGGTGGAAGGGAGTCCTCCAACAGGAGATCAGAGGGTTTGAGGAAAGAGGTTGGGGAGATACCACCCCCTTACCTTTGCATACACACACACACACACACACACACACACTCTCTCTCTCTCTCTCACACACACATGCACGTGCACACACACACACACAACACACTCTTCCGTGGGGCTGTGGTGTGGCAGTGGCTGTATTCCTCTATGGCCTCCATGTCTGTTAGGTGACTCCTGCCCACAGCTTCAGCTCTTGCTGGATTCTAGCTCCCTGTTTTGCTCCTTCAGCTGAGGCGTGGTAAGAGCTTTCCACCATGGCTGGTCCCAGAGAGCTTCAACATCCCTAACTCTTCGCAAATCTCAGTAAATAGTCCCTTCAAAAGACTCTATTTAATTAAACTTTTCAAATGTACCTTTTATTTCCTGAGGGGACCCCATCTGATGGGATTGTCTAATATGTATAATAAAGGGTTCAGACAAGTTGAAGCATAAGGTACCTTTTGGCCCTACCATTCTTGGTATCTCTGACCACATTATGTTTGCTGACGGAAGAGGTAATTTTATAACCACAGACTTGCTCAAAGCATAGTAACTTACTTTTCTTAGGAGGCTTTGGCTTTCAAGCCCATTATTTTTAAAGTCAACCTAAGATGACTTTAACAGTCAATAGTCATCATCCACTATAGAAAACTGCTTATTCAAAATGCTTGGCTTGGAGTTGGCAAATAGACCCCAAAGCTAGTCCTTTTTCTCTAGGTTTTATTTAAGAACATCAGGATTTTTAAAAGCCTATAATTAATTAGGGCACCTTTTCTTTTGCCTGATTCATGAAGTCCACCTTGCCCCAGTCATGTCCCTGCTGACCTGTCTGCAGGTTTGTCAGCCTGTCTCACTGGACCCTATCCATCTGGCCTATCTAATTGTAACGTCTGGGATGTAACTGGACACCAATGGCATTCTTCTTTTTGAGTAATCACATCAATGAGTTATATTAGCTGTCATATTAAAGTAGCTCTCTGCTAACCTCTGGTAATATGAGAACACAGTCCCCATTAGCTTTTCTTTCAGCTGGGTAACACCATATCCCTAATGTTTTTGCTTACTTAATCCAAACTGGGATAAAATGCAAGAGAAGAAACAGAAAAGTAAGGAGATTTGAGAGTGGTTCAATATTTTATTTTGTGTAGCATTTTTTCCCAAAATATAAAAACAAACATGTTAAAAGCAGAGGTCTTGTGAAACCTCAGAATGTTGACCTGCTGAAAGAGGGATTCTGCCTTTTCTTAGGAAGTGAGGAAAAATGATAAGGGCTTTGGGAACATCAAACTTTACTTGAAATAGCTGGGAGAGGGTGGTAAGATATATAATCCTTCTGTCAATTTTTACCATCTTTGTCTTGTACCCAACGATATTAGACCAGAATTAAAATAAATATCAGCATCTTACTTAACTGCCATATTTTATTACTCATCTAAGATGAAAAAGTAAATGGCTTCCAGTTTTTTCATCTTGGGACATGGGCTCAAAACGTTTTACCAAATGTAAAAGGAATGTTTACAAAAATGCCTGGATTGCATTTTTTTCATATTTTAAATGAATCAAATATACTTTTTTCAATGTCTTGTGATGCCAATATCTTTCTCAATGAGTGTAATTTGAAAATAAGAAACAACGATTTTATAAGCTGATGTCACCTGTCATAAATTCAAATTTTCAAATCTTGTTAAACTCAGACTCTTGCTGTTTGGCATTGTCATGGTCCCAACCATCTTTCTACACTTGCCCTGAAGGCAGGAAGATGGGAAACAGGAAAATCAAACTGAAAGCATAGAAAATCAAACTGAGAGCATAGTGAGAAGAAGTTCATCTCACTTTTCCCTTCAAGTTCCCTGAACAAGTGACGAGAGCTTGAGGGGATGACTTTTGTCTACAAAATTCAAGTTACCAGTCCTCTGTTTATATGCACACCTACTTTTATTTCCTGTGTGATTCTAGCTGTGGAGGAAGGTTTTTAATTAACAGTTTTAAGGAAGAAAAACAAAAGTATTCACTGCAGTAAAAATGCATCAAATCAAAAAGTCAAGTTACACGTTTTGGTAGTTCTTCTGTCCTTCATTTTTCTTTTCTTCTTCATTTCTTCTTTCCTTCCTTACTTCTTCTTTTGTTTCTTCCTTCTGTAGGGGCCAAGGGAAAACTTACCCCATCCCTGAAGTCTTACTGCAAACTGACAAAGGCAGATTAATAGAAGAAAAATGTATACATACAAATTTATTTTAACCTTCATGGCCCAGGGAAATAGCAGAAGTATGACCCAATAACCCGGTCAGGTACAGATGCTTATACACTCTTCTTCACAGGGAAGGGTAGATGGGGGAAATGTGGCAATCTGAGGGATAATAAGTGATTTTTAGGGGGAATCGAATGGGCCCAATGCTCAGACAATGGCTAGTAAATAATTTTCTTTGGAAATTAGATGGGACCAATAGCAGACGATGGTTCAGGACAAAGTTTGTCTGGGATCCAAGTGTAATGTTTAATTTTCAATCTCTTCCTCTGTGATATGAATTTTAATCTTCTCTGGTTAATGACACTTCAGGGAGGGGATTAAAGGCAATTGTGTTCCTCTTTGGCAACTCCACCTTCTAGGTTGATAAGGAAACTTCAGAGAATAGCTTCATCCTGTGCTTTGGAAGAAACAGAGGATTGAAAGACAGGAGGGCTGGGGGGAAGTCAGAGAGGCCTTGAAGCTGCTTCATATGAAAGCACTATGCTTTGGGGTAACATTATAACATTTTCTGATCCCTGACCCACCTTTCCTCCCTCCCTCCTTCCCTTCTTCTCTTCCTTCCTTCCTTCTTTCCTTCCTTCCTTCCTTTCTTCGTTACTTCCATTTTTATTCAGTGAAGTGGACAATGCCAGGACAATTAAAAACAATTGAACTGAATAAATAAGAACACCGGGATAGAACTGGACTCCTTAAATACATATTAATTAGATACCAATCATGGCATCTGTGTATTATGCCCTATTTTGAATAATGGGAAAAGTGTGACTCTATGTTTGGCATGGGCCTGCTTATGTCCCATTAGTGTAAATACATAGATTGAATTTCCACTCTTTTAGCATACCATTTCTGCTGCTTTCAGAGCAGCTGCTGCTTCTACCACTGCGACAGTTTGCTGTTACCACCTCTGCTCTGCCTTTCTTGGTAAAGTCAGTTTGGTAAATTGCCAACTCCAGAGATGATTTCTATAGTAATGGGATGCCCAGGGCCATGGAATTACACACAGAATCATCAACTTGTGTCTAAATCGAACAACTGTGATAACTATAGTAAAATAAGGCTTTTATAATTAAATGCTTGAAAACGGAGCCAAGCAGAGAAAGGGAGAAGGCAGAAAAGCTCCCTCATGAATGAAATTCTAAACATATAATGTAGTTTTCTTAATTCCAGAAATCTATTTATTATAAACAAGATAAGAAATAATTCCCACTTTAGTCTTTTTCTATTTGAAAATATATTTCTAATCATGTGCTTGAAGACACTAAGCCCTGGTTTAAACTCCTGGTTTAAACCTAAGTGAAGTTTAGTCCCATTGCAGATGCAGAACAGCACAATTTATCCCAATAAAATCCCTGCATTCTTGGCATCTAGGACTAGGACTTGGCATCAGACTAGGAATTGGTCTGAAGCAGTTATCTGATCCAAGAAAATGGGAAATCCTCTAGAACCGATACTTTTCCAATTTCTTAAAAACATCCAGGATTTGAGATTTCATGACCTCCCTCAGTGATATATTTTATATCACATGATCCTGGGACACAATTCTTTTATTCTAGTTTAAAGAGAGATCTATTTCCTGTCCTTTGTTCCTTTGAGAAACAAAATACAATGCCTTTATCATACCAGACCTCATTTTCATTTTAAGGAGGTGGTCTGACTAGACGATCTGCAAACCCCTCTGACTCAAACATTCTGATTCCTATTTATTAATATTTTGGCTTCAGTTAAAAAGCAAACAACTCGCCGGGCACTGTGGCTTATGCCTGTAATTCCAGCACTTTGGGAGGCCGAGGTGGGCGGATCACCTGAGGTCAGGATTTTGAGATCAGCCTGACCAACATGGAGAAACCCAGCCTCTACTAAAAATACAAAATTAGCTGGGCATGGTGGTGTATGCCTGTAATCCCAGTTACTCAGGAGGCTGAGGCAGGAGAATGGCTTAAACTTGGGAGGCAGATGTTGCAGTGAGCCGAAATCGCGCCATTGCACTCCAGCCTGGGCAAACAAGAGCAAAACTCCGTCTGAAAAAAAACAAAAACAAAACAAAACAAAAAACTCTCTACTTGAAGACAGAAAGGGAAACATGAAGGAGCCATTAATGTTACCTAAATGAATGAATAAAGGACTGTATTCATACCCTTTCTAAATCCTGTTTTCTTGACCACGCAATTAAGTTTCCCTCAATTTCTTTTTCTATTTGACTAATTTTTTGTTAAAAATAACTAGGGAGAAGAAACTATCATCAGAGTGAATAGGCAACTTACGGAATGAGAGAACATTTTTGCAATCTATCCATCTGACAAAGGGCCAATATCCAGAATCTACAAGGAACTTACACAAATTTACAAGAAAAAAACAACCCCATCAAAAAGTGGGCAAATGATGTGAACTGACACTTCTCAAAAGAAGACATTTATGCGGCCAACACACATAAGAAAAAAAGCTCATCATCACTGGTCATTAGAGAAATGCAAATCAAAACCACAATGAGATACCATCCCATGCCAGTTAGAATGGTCATCATTAAAAAGTCAGGAAACAACAGATGCTGGAGAGCATGTGGAGAAATAGGAACACTTTTACACTGTTGGTGGGAGAGAAATTAGTTCAACCATTGTGGAAGACAGTGTGGCAATTCCTCAAGGATCTAGAACCAGAAATAGTATTTGATCCAGCAACCCCATTACTAGGTATATACCCAAAGGATTATAAATCATTCTACTATAAAGACATATGCACACGTATGTTTACTGCAGCACTATTCACAGTAGCAAAGACTTGGAACCAACCCAAATGCCCATCAATGATAGACTGGATAAAGAAAATATGGCACATGTACACCATGGAATACTATGCAGCCATACAAAAGGATGAGTTCACGTCCTTCGCAGGGACATGGATGAAGCTGGAAACCATCATTCTCAGCAAACTAACACAGGAACAGAAAGCCAGACACCGCATGTTCTCACTCATAAGTGGGAGCTGAACAATGAGAACACATGGACACAGGGAGGGGAACATCACACACCAGGGTCTGTAAGGGAGTGGGGGGCCAGGGGAGAGATAGCATTAGGAGAAATACCTAATGTAGATGAAAGGTTGACGGGTGCAGCAAACCACCATGGCACGTGTATACCTATGTAACAAACCTGCATGTTCTGAACATGTATCCCAGAACTTAAAAGTATAATTTAAAAAAAAAAATAACCAAGGACATAAGGATGCATAGTGGAAAGAAAATGGGCTTCTACACCATATTTACTAGTTACAGAAACAGAAACAAGTTGTTTAACTTGTCTGTGGCTTACATTTTCTTCTTCGTCATATGGACTAATGAAAGTTACCTCAAGGATTGTTGCATAATGTATGTCAAGAGGCTGACACAGTAGAAAAACAACAACAAAACTTTGTCCCGTTTCTCTAAAACAGATTTTAAGTTATAGCTTTTTTTTTCAATAAGTTGATTGTGGCAGAGACTGCTATTTGTCTATTCCAATCTCCAAATAGCAGTCCCTTCCTTCTAGGCTTTAGAGTCCCTTCCTTCTAGTAACAAGACTCTAATTTGAGTTAACCCAGATAAAGACATCTTCTAGCCTCCCTTGTAGCTATATTCAGCCATGCGAAAAAGTTCTGCCAGCAAATATAAGCCAAAGGATCATGTATTACCTTCCAGGAGGTCTCCTTAAGAGGAGGCACTTTTCTTTCTTTCTTCCTTTTTCTTGTTGCTTGTATCATAGATTTATAGCTGTAGCTAGGTCTACCACCTTGAACTCCTCGGATGTGGAACACATATTAGGGATGGCAGAATAGAAAGCTGAAGGGGATTTGGGTGACCCTTTAAGTTTCTATGCAGGCCTTAGCTGCTTACCTATAGACTTCCTTTGTTGGATAAATAAATTTCAATCTGGTTTAACCCATTGTTATGTGGATATTTTCTGTTATATGCTGCCAAACTCAGGAGATAATATCAAGTGGACAAAATATATTTTAATTCTAACTCATAAATTCTTTCTTTCTTTCTTTCTTTCTTTCTTTCTTTCTTTCTCTTTCTTTCTTTCTTTCTTTCCTTCCTTCCTTCCTTCTTTTTTTTTTTTTCTTTTCAAGACAGTGTCTCACTCTGTTGCCCAGGCTGGAGTACAGTTGCATGATCTCAGCTTATTGCAGCCTTGATCTCCCAGGCTTCCAGGCTGGGTCCCAGCTACTCCCACCTCAGCCTCCCAAGTAGCTGGGACCACAGGTGCACGCCAGCACAGCCAGCTAATTTTTTTTTTTTTTGTAGAGATGAGTTGAGGTTTCACCATGTTGCCCAGGCTGGTCTCAAACTCCTGGGCTCAAGCAGTCTGCCCACCTTGGCCTATCAAAATGCTGGGATTACAGACGTGAGCCACAGCACCAGGCCTACTGTATATTTGTTAACAACTTATATATTAAGCTTCTTTTCATCCCTATTGACTTCAATTATACTAAAACCACAATGATGGTTCTCATTTAACTGTAATACCTATAGTTTTCCTTTAGTATTTGTAACTAGACTGCAATAAGCTTCATGCTTCTTTTGGCCTCTTCTCCAACAGGTCAAGGTCATTTACATTTATGTTTTCACAATTATTAATAGCATTACTAATTCATAACAATTTAGAAGACAATATGGTTGAGTTAAGTGGCCTAGGATTTGGAGTTCAAAGGTCTAGACCAACACCAGTAGTAGTATTATTGGCTATGTGACTTTGCACAAGTCCTTTAATTTCTCTGAGCCTTAGTTTTATTCACAAGAAACAGAGGTAATAATAATAATCATGCATTATTGACTTATTGGTATATTGTGAAAATCTGGTAGGGGAATATATTTGAAAGTATTTTGTAAAAGATAAAGCAACATACAAATGTTAGTTGTTATGAATAATATTAGAATCTTCAAATATAAGAGGCACATACTAAGTTTCTTTATCCATACACACATTGAATAGAAATATAAGAGGATACCTTTAAAGATTCCAATATATATGGCAGTTTTCAATATCTTCTGTTAGTTTTCTGAGGGTAGAATGAATCTTCAATTAAAGATCTTCCTGTCAAATATTAACAAAGCAGAGTAATGGTCACAGATGATGAATATTTTTGCTTTAGAGTTGTTTAGATGTAGATAGAAGATAAATATTTAAGATCTTGAAATTGAACAATGACTCTTAGGATCTTTGTACTCTTGGTTCTCTCCATCTCCCTTCTCCCCACACCATGCCAGTATGGATCAGGGGAATCTGAGGACATTGTCCTTGAAGAGCATGACAGAAAGGTCAAAGCCATTCTTTTATAGCTTGCCAATCATTTGGGACACAACTAAAAGTGTCAGTAATAATCAAGATAACTTATATCTATTACTATCTCATTGTCCAGGTGGGCAATCATAGCCAGAATTATTCAAGCTCAATTTTGTCTTCAAAAGCTGTATTGATTACTGCATAATACTTTCTGATGGTCCAAAGATTTTATGGTCACTCCCCATATGAACTGGAAATACCCATTTGTTTCCTAACAGTTATGCTAAAATTCCAGTTACAAGGGTTTTGAATATGAATATGCTTTAGTAGAAGAACTGAACTTAAAGCCATGTGTATTTATCTTTTATATTATGATTTTACTGAATCTGGTACACTGATGTACCCTTTTAGGGTGAATATACATCTTGGTTTGCCTGAACAGTCCTAGTTTGTACTTACTGTTTCAGCATAATTATTAACAGTGTCCCCTTTACTTTCTAAAGGAATGATAAATTATATGCTTACTCTCTTTGAGAAGCATTTTATTGTACTGGTTGAGCAAAATGGAATGTCTTTGTAAATTCTAGGCAGGGACCATTATTTTGTGCACAATCTGCCCTGTTGTGATGAGTTTGAAACCACGACTCTTACAATCTGTGTATCCTTGAGACCCAAGAACAAGCCTGACTGACTAACTCATCCTTTTCTTAGGAAAGAAAAATATCACTTAAAAATATCAGCACCTCTGAATATCTGTATCAGAGGTTGACGAACTTTTTGTAATGGACCAGATGGTAAATATTTCAGTTTGCTCAATTCTGCTGCTATAGCATGAAAACAGCTAGACAATATGTAAACAAGTGGATGCCCTCTGTTCCAACAAAACTGTACTGACAAAAGCAGGAGGAAGGCCTGGTCTGGTCTGCATCCTTCAGTGTGCTGACCCCTGATCTAGTGTTATAATGTTCTCTCGATAACTCAATGGAATCTATATCGTCCAGATTTCTTTTGAAGTATTAAGAGGAGCAAAAGACTGTTTAGCTGGACTTAGTTAGATTATAATTAATATTATGGAAAGACATTCCCATTTCTTATCAACAAAGCTCCTAATCTTCTGTCATTAACACGTCCTGTTCAGTCCAGTGAATTACAGTCCACATTCAATCTACTGAAGTACAATGATGATGTTCCCTTTCTAAAAAAGCCAACACAAATGTGTGTCCTTTACATGCTGTGGGATTGACAGGCAGCTAGCTTTTATTGCTTAGGTGTTTAAAAATTGTTTGGTGTCTAACATGTATTAAAAAAGAAGTTTTTGGAAATTTTCATTTTATTCTGTATCTCCTTGTGTTTTCATAGGATGAGCAGAAGGGTACAAATCTGCCTTTGGGAAATACATCTGAAATGCAGAGATAAACAAGTTTGCATCTATGAAAGGAGAATTGGAGAGAGGGGAGAATTGAAAACACACCAGTGGTTAGAACAGAAGAGGAAAGTCCACTGCCCTTTAAGTTGAAACAGAAGGAAAGACATGAAGGAAAGCCTTGAATGAAATGAAATAAACACTGAAACCATACTCAGAAATACATCAAAACCCTGGGTTCTTGTCTTGCTATGTTGAGAACTGCGATAATATGGTATGGTACACAGTGGGTGTGAGTAACACGTGTGTGTGTGTGTGTGTGTGTGTGTGAACAGGAATTAAAATTAGACAGTAACAAAATGTCAAGACCAAGATATTGGACATATTAAGCAAAGAAATGAATTCTGTAATGTAAATAGACAAAGTGTGACATGCTCTAAATGATGATGAGTTGACGAATTCTTTGCTATCTGACCTGGAATATTAAGCCCCAATCAGGAATGAGTGGACTGTCTCTCCTGGAGAGGTAGGCACTAGTTGCAGCCTGGGGAAAGAGGAAACATAAAAGCAGATCTAGATTTGCCTTGCAATGAGAGCTGCATATTAATCTAAAGAATTTCCAAAAAATCAAAAAGACATTTTTCAGCAAAATACACCCCTAGAGCCTCAATCACAAAGCAAGGGAATAAACTTGAAACAGGATTGATTTCATCTTAAAGGGAATATATTTCTTTGAAATGCTACCAACTGTAGTTGTCTTATTTGGTTTTCAATCCTATAACAAAATTGTGCCATATTGTGTCAACTAAGAAGATAATATAACGGCTTTAAACAAATTTTGTAATTATGGGATCAATCAAAAGTGCATTAAATTTGTGTGTATTTGGGAAGTTACGCCATTGAATACTAAGTAGCTCTAAATATCAACCTTCATTTTTCACTTCCGTTTCGAGACCTTAACTTTAAAAGGGTGAGATTTCCATAATAGGAGTTATAGACTAGCAGAGATTTTGTGAATTTTAGTTGCTTGGTATTCTCTTTAGAAAGTGCCAGGCACTGCTCTGGCAGAGATTGAAGATATTTGGGCACGACAGAGATTTTGTGTTCTAATGTTTCTTTTATCATACCCTAAGTATGATTCTAAGCTTTGAGCATACTCAGCTTTCACTGGCACATAAACCAGACTCATGAAAAACTGGGTTGCTTGTCCTAAGGGAAACATTGACAACTGGGTCCTATTTGGTTCAATTTTTACAAAACGATCTTTTCAGCATTTGATGTCCCTTGATTAGAAAGGAAAAAAGACGAATAGGTTAGGAAGGCCTCGTGGATCTTCAAAAAGCCAGGCAGGCCTGAAATTGAAGCTCTGCTCCAATAATTAGGAACGTGGGCAAGTCATTTCCTTCTCCAGACTTCGGTTTGCTTATCTATGAATTGAGGGAAATTTTAGTACCCTCTTTACTAAGTTGTGAGAATGATCTAAGACAATGAATGCAAACACAGCCCAAAGTCTGGCACATAATAAGGGCTCAAAAAAAATGTAGCTATTTGATAAAGACCCCAAAGTTGTGATTAACTAAAACCATCACAGTTTCTTAGTAAGCTTGGTAGGAAGTAGGTATGAGAGGTGTTCTTCTTTAGGTGATTTTATTTTATTAGTACCAAAAGCAGAACTAATAACCTTCAGTAGGATTTGAGAAGGCAGAGGATATGAGCACAGAAAATTGAGACTGCAAACAATGTCCCTGGCAAAGTAACAGTTTTTTTTAATCTCTTGAGATTTAACAAATCTTTAGCCTTATACCCTTTTACAGTTCTTCCTAGAAATTCCTTCTGTTATTGGCCCTTTTTTTTTTTTTTTTTGACAGAGTCTTGTTCTGACGCCCAGGCTGGAGTGCAGTGGTGAGATCTCGGCTCACTGCAACCTCTGCTTCCTGGGTTGAAGCAAACCTCCTGCCTCAGCCTCGGGAGTAGCTGCAATTATAGGCACCTGCTACCACACCTGGCTAATTTTTATATTTTTAGTACATATGGGGTTTTACCATGTTGGCCAGCCTGGTCTCGAACTCCTGACCTCAAGTGATCCTCCAGCCTCGGCCTCCCAAAGTGCTGGGATTATAGCTGTGAGCCATCGTGCCTGGCTATGGGCTTGTTTATTTAAAATATATTTACTTTAGACTTTTGGTATAAATTGGCTGTATGTTCAAGATTTTGATGCACAAATATAGAAAGTAGTACTATGTCAACATATTTTTGCCTCCCTGTGCTAACATGTTTCCATGGAAGAAAGTACATTTTGGAACTTTATATTTTCTTTTTCTGTTTATTAAAGAAGTTCCCTGCAGCAAAGTCCGTGGAAAAGTTATCGTTTATCCTTTATATCTTAAGACATGATTTACCCTAAGAAAATCTTTCTAACAACTGCACTGTAGCATAAAGTAAACTGTGCCTGACATTTAACACATGAGTATTGCACAGACTCTGAGGAATAAAGAAGCCACTCAAAACCATCCAGGGATCTGGGAGAAGAGGTGAGTGGAAGAAACCAGAATGGGCCTATCTTTCACTTGGCAATGGGGGCATGTCATGCCCTACACTACGTACTCTATACAGCCTCGTAGCAGTCTAGTGAAGTCCATGTTCCCATTTTATGAATGAGAACACTGAGAATCAGAGAATTCAGTAATCAGCTGAAAGTCACATGACTACCAAGTGGCAGACCTGAGATTTGAACTCAAAATTTACATTCCTTGCACCTGAATCAAGTGTCCTTTAGCACCTATTCCATCTTGCAAAATAACATTGGTTCTAAGGCTGATTCTCTCCTTTGGCCTCACTAGAAAAGTGATGATTTTGCTGCCGTAAGGAGCTACGGGACCAGGAAAATAAAAGCATTTCTCTATAGCAGTTTTCTAAAAGTGTGATCTCCAGACCAGCAACATCAGCATCACCTGGGACCTCAGAAGTGCAACTTCTCAGGCTCCTTTCCAGACATAGTGAATCTGAAACTCTGGAATGTGGCCAGCAGGCAGTGATTTAACAGGCCATCCAGGGGATTCCAATGAGTGCTAAAGTTTGCGAACCACTGTTCTGTTGCTCTAGACGTCCTCTCTTCAAAATAGTAAATTTGAACTGGAGGCCTACTGTTTGTCCTGCCTTATCAGTCAATAGCCAACAACGGAGGCTGCCCTGGAAGGGCAGAAGTGAGAAGAATCCCATGAGCAATGCTGAAAATGTTTCCATGTAGAGCCCAAAGATAATTTTCAGCCTTTCCAAAAAGTAATACAGAACACACTCTGTCCATTCTTGGCAACAGCATGGAAGCCTTTTAATTAGTCCACCCTGAAGGAAATAGAGATGTACTTGTTAAGTAATTGCTCTGATTACCAGTGGGCAGAAGTGTGCATTGTTGTCAGATGCAGTTGTTAGGAGTCAGCAATCCTATTAAACTGAAGGCTTCTTACAGAGAGTGTCAAAATAAAAGGACTCCAACAAGCCATGTGGGTGAGAGGGAGGTGGCATTGATGGCAAGAACAGTCCCAGAGCCAAACACACACAAAGATGCATGTGCACACACATACACATTCACTCACTCACAAATATCAGTTCACACTGTGCAGACTGATGAATGGCCTGTATTCCAGGGAAGTGAGCATTAATATTCCTGAGACTCCCTGAAATTTCCAAGAAAATATCAAGGCCTGGTACCTTCCTCCAAGTCCCCATTGCATGGGGTTGAATGTTTTACTGAAGGTAAGTCATCCCAGTGATAAGACATATAGACTCAAGTTATACGAATATAAGAAATTGAGATGCATTCCATTTATAAGAATGTCCCATCTTAGTATAAATGTGGGTTCTATTACTAGCACACACAATCCCAGTAATGAGTCTGAGTAATGGTATTGGAAAGGAACTCTGAAACTGTGTCCTCCACCCGCCTCCCCCACTAAAGGATCTTTCTTATAGTAGCTCTGTTCCAGTATCATCTTTCTGATCACACAAATTGGATCAAGTGCCTGCTAGATGGGCCCAGGCTGTTGAGGTCCTGGACTAAAGCCACAGAGGCCAGTTCCTGGGATTGAGGTTCCCAACAGCGCTGGATCAGGAAAGAGGAAATAGGCCTATAACTAAGTAGGTGACTTTTCCGGCTAAAGCCAAGGGCATTGGCTTCATCCAGTCAAATCACCTTGGATGATGGTCTATCAGTGGTGGCCAAAGGCAGTCTCTTCAAGCGGCCAAGGGAAGAGCAGATTCTCTAAGTGGCACGGGGTGACGGGGCTGACAGTGAAACGGCAGTTACCACATTGAGCTAAAGTTGGTGGTGGACATCCCTGTCCCCTCCACAATATTATCAGAATCATCACAATATCTTATTAATCTTAATAAAGCCACTTTCTAGAATATCAACATGTTACAGTATAAACATAAATTAATTTTATTTTTCTAAAAAAGTTGCTTTCTTTGTCCAGCAAAATGTGAGCATAAGTAAAGGCCATAGCTGGATGGAAGCCTTTAAGAGCCAGTGTGTGTTGTGATTGGATAAGCCAGGCTGTATTCAGAGGTCCTACTGCAAGGCAGTCCATTCCTTTCCTGGATAGTTGATCATTTGGGCAAAGACATACTCCGTGCACTGCATTCAGTTTCTCATTTAATCTTCCAACAATCCCATGAAGTAGGTTTTGTGATCTCCAGGTTACAAACAAGGCAAATGTGACCCAGGGAGATTAGCTGCCCAGAGTCACGTAGCAGAGTCAGGATTCAAATGAGGTCTTGCTCTTGGCACTGCACTCAGCCACTTGGTTAGAAAACGTTTCTTTCTTTAGAATCCTGTGTTAGTTTGCTTGGGCTTCCATAACAAAATACCACAGGCTGGGTGGCTTAATAGAACTTTTCTCACTGTTATGGAGGCTGGGAAGTCTGAGATCAGGGTGTCTGCAGGTTTTGTTTCTTCTGAGGCCTCTCTGGCTTGCAGACGGCCATCTTCTCACTATGTCTTCACATGGTTTTTCTTCTGTGTGCACAAGTCCGTGGAGTCTCTCAGCAAGTCCAAATCTCTTTTTATGAAGATAGGTTGGAAGCCTCATTTTAACTTCATCTCACCTGTTTATAGGCCCCCTCTCTAAATACAGTCACATCCTGAGGTACTAGGGGTTAGGGCTTCAACATATGGATTTCAGGGGGACACAACTGAGTCCATTACATGCCCCAATCTGTCTCTTCAATTTTCCCACATTGGGACTAGTTCTCCTCTCTCTAGTTCCCAGATATGTGAAATGCTTTCCCCCTTGCAACAGTCATCCAAAGGTAGGACCTTCTTCCCATGTGGTCTAACCAATGCTGAGGATCATTCAACACTTGCTTCTTTTGTTTCAAATACTATTCTTCCCTTGGTCTTAGGTTTTTTAACAGCTGCATCATTCAGCTCTCTCTTCATGAGCTTTTGTTCAATATAAATCCTAGAATTTCTTTGGGGTGCCTTTGGTGTCAGGTTTATCTCCCCCATTCTATTATCATTCAATTGATTTTTTGAACCCGAATGTAGTCATTTACATTCACATTTGGTTTTGTTTATGATTATAGAATACATGTTTATTACCATTCTCATTACATTTCCTCTTGTTATTTTTGACTTCTTACTTGTGGCTTTGAAGAGCTTTTGTACATAATGCTGTTTTTCTAATATACTTGTTAGTCATGTCAGCTATACGTCCATTACTTCATGAGTGTATCTTGTCTACAATTATCTAAGTTGTTGGGAGACATGTTTAACCAAAAAGTTCTGACAGAGCTCTAGGTCACCCTTGAACTGTGCCTCTGTAGTTTGACATTCAGGTGCATAGAAGAACACTGGTGAACTCACCCAGCATCCCACCAACATTTGTCAACAGAGATTCCTTTCTCCTCTGAGTCAAAGAAGCTGACAGCCCCCATCCATTCCGTCTTTTTCTTGGGCTATCATGCAGATTGGTAAGCGTACTAGGACTCAAACCACATCTTTTTGGCTGCTGGAGGTTTGATTTCCCTGCTGGCTTTGACTCAGGAGCCCTTAGGTATGCTTCTGGATCCTGGAGGCTCAGCAGTCACTCAGCTGGATCTAGCCCAAGCAGAGCTTGCCCACGGGGAACCCTAAGAGGACTCTCATGGGCTGGGAAGAGCCTTAGTTCTGACAAGCTAAGTGTTCCAAAGGGATTTCCCTTCACTAGGGGTGCTTCGCTCTGTATTGTGGCTATTCTCAAATTCAAATAATGGAATAGAAAACAGTCCCTGATTTAATCTGCTGCTCCAGCCCCTGCGAGGACACAGCTGGTGAGGGTGTGCTGCTCTATTCACAAGTTAGTCCCTTCTCTCCAGCCTTGCAATAATTTTGTTGTCTTTGTTATTCTACATCCTGCGGTGACTTCCCTGAGTGCAGTGAGTGATTAATTTAGCTGGTGTCACAGGCTACAACATGTTGATATAAAGGGGAAAATAAAGAGAAAAAGGGAAGTGTGGAAAGGGTGGAAGGCTACTGAGGCAAACACACACAGAACCCAAGCTCCAGACCTCGCACAAAACACTCCATTGGCCAAAGTGACCCTATGACATTGTTTTTGTGAACATGAGTATGAACCTCTGAATGGTTGAGTTCCGAAATTCAAAGCCTGAAACTCTCCCAGGGCTTTCTCACTTCCCCCACTGCCTCTGAAACATCAATAGCTTCAGGAAATAATGAAAAACAAATCAGAAATAAAATCAGCCCTTGAAAACCTATGGTTCTCTATAAAAAGGGCATCTACTGTTCAAGTGCTAGTTCACAACAAAGCAAGCTTCAGGATGTTGCGTGAAAACAAATTCCAAGGGGGGTTTAGTTTCTTTTGTTGTTGTGGCAGTTTTAATGCCCAAATTAACCCTTTATTCTTCTTGGCTCACAAAGCTAAGAAGGGCTCATGCAGCTATGGATTTGTGAGATATCCTATTGTTCATCAGTCCGAGGTGGAAGTTTGTGCATATGGTTTATAATATTGGTGGGGGAGGTAGTTGATTCAAGGGATAATCCTCTTTATACCTCACATAAGGTAGTTAGTTGTTTTTATAATACCTTGGAAAGACCTTAATTTCATAATGGTGAAACCACTGTAGTGGGACTGTAAATCATCAAGATTCTTTATGTAATATAGTTTCCACCATCTGTAATCCAATGACCCCCTCACCATTTTGTAATTTTACTTTTAAATATTGGGTTATGAAGTAAATTAAGAGGGAATGATTTTTTTTGTATTCACACTAAGCCAGGTTTTGACAATTTTATCTTAACATTATTTTTAGAGAGAGCTGCAATAATTTTCATTTAAAAGTGATACAATTTCATTAAAGAAAATATAGAAAATATTTTCTAAAAAGTTACCCAAAATGTCATTACACAGAGATTACCACTGTTAATATATTTGGGCTATTCTTTTCCAGTCACAAAAGTATGTGTGTGAATATATGTTTCTATACTTTATTCCAAAAATGAGATAAATGCTGTACTTATTATTTTGTAACCTATATTTCTCCACTTAATAAATTATAAACATAATTTCATGGGATTTTATTCATTCTACATTATTTTTAATGTTTGCACAGATTTCATTTAATTGGAGCATGGAGGGGTAAAATGATACACGCTCTCATTTCATTTAAAAAGTGTAAGAAGGGGGTGGAGCCAAGATGGCCAAATGGGAACAGCTCCAGCCTACAGCTCCCAGAGTGAGCGACGCAGAAGACGGGTGATTTCTGCATTTCTAACTGAGGTACCAGGTTCATCTCAATGGGGACTGCCGGACAGTGGGTGCAGGACAGTGAGTGCAGCGCACTGTGTGTGAGCTGAAGCAGGGTGAGGCATTGCCTCACCCGGGAAGCGCAAGGGGTCAGGGAATTCCCTTTCCTAGTCAAAGAAAGGGATGACAGATGGCACCTGGAAAATCGGGTCACCCCCACCCTAATACTGCACTTTTCCAACGGGCTTAACAAACTGCACACCAGGAGATTATATCCCACACCTGGCTCAGAGGGTCCTACGCCCACGGAGACTCACTCACTGCTAGCACAGCCGTCTGAGATCAAACTGCAAGGTGGCAGCAAGGCTGGGGGAGGGGCGCTTGCCATTGCTCAGGCTTGAGTAGGTAAACAAAGTGGCCGGGAAACTCGAACTAGGTGGAGCCCACCACAGCTCAAGGAGGCCTGCCTGCCTCTGTAGGCTCCACCTCTGGGGGTAGGGCACAGACAAACAAAAAGACAGCAATAACCTCTGCAGACTTAAATGTCCCTGTCTGACAGCTTTGAAGAGAGTAGTGGTTCTCCCAGCATGCAGCTCGAGATCTGAGAATGGGCAGACTGCCTTCTCAAGTGGGTCCCTGACTCCCGAGTAGCCTAACTGGGAGGCACCCCCCAGTAGGGGTGGACTGACACCTCACACGGCCAGGTACTCCTCTGAGACAAAACTTCCAGAGGAACGATCAGGCAGCAGCATTTGTGGCTCACCAATATCTGCTGTTCTGCAGCCACCTCTGCTGATACCCAGGCAAACAGGGTCTGGAGTGGACCTCCAGTAAACTCCAACAGACCTGCAGCTGAGGGTCCTGACTGTTAGAAGGAAAACTAACAAACAAAAAGGACACCCACACCAAAAATCCATTTGTACGTCACCATCATCAAAGACCAAAGGTAGATAAAACCACAAAGATGGGGAAAAAACAGGGCAGAAAAACCAGAAACTCTAAAGATCAGAGTGCCTCTCCTCCTCCAAAGGAACACAGCTCCTCACCAGCAACGGAACAAAGCTGGATGGAGAATGACTTTGATGAGTGGAGAGAGGAAGGCTTCAGAATATCGAACTACTCCAAGCTAAAGGAGGAAGTTTGAACTAATGGCAAAGAAGTTAAAAACTTTGAAAAAAAATTAGACAAATGGATAGCTAGAATAACCAATGCAGAGAAGTCCTTAAACGACCTGATGGAGCTGAAAACCACGGCACAAGAACTACGTGATGAATGCACAAGCCTCAGTAACCAATGCGATCAACTGGAAGAAAGGGTATCAGCGATGGAAGACAAAATGAATGAAATGAAGCGTGAAGAGAAGTTTAGAGAAAAAAGAATAAAAAGAAATGAAAAAGCCTCCAAGAAATATGGGACTATGTGAAAAGACAAAATCTATGTCTGATTTGTGTACCTGAAAGTGATGGGGAGAATGGAACCAAGTTGGAAAACACTCTGCAGGATATTATCCAGGAGAACTTCCCCACCCTAGAAAGGCAGGCCAACATTCAAATTCAGGAAATACAGAGAGTGCCACAGAGATATTCCTCGAGAAGAGCAACTCAAAGACTCATAATTGTCAGATTCACCAAAGTTGAAATGAAGGAAAAAATGTTAAGGGCAGCCAGAGAGAAAGGTCAGGTTACGCACAAAGGGAAGCCCATCAGACTAACAGCTGATCTCTTGGCAGAAACTCTACAAGCCAGAAGAGAGTGGGGGCCAATAGTCAACATTCTTAAAGAAAAGAATTTTCAACCCAGAATTTCATATCCAGCCAAACTAAGCTTCATAAGTGAAGGACAAATAAAATCCTTTACAGACAAGCAAATGCTGAGAGATTTTGTCACCACCAGGCCTGCCTTAAAAGAGCTCCTGAAGGAAGCACTAAACATGGAAAGGAACAACCAGTACCAGCCACTGCAAAAACATGCCAAATTGTAAAGACCATGAAGGCTAGGAAGAAACTGCATCAACTAACCAGCAAAATAACCAGCTAACATCATAATGATAGGATCAAATTCACACAGAACAATACTAACCTTAAATGTAAATGGGCTAAATGCTCCAATTAAAAGACACAGACTGGCAAATTGGATAAAGAGTCAAGACCCATCATAGTGCTGTATTCAGGAAACCTGTTTCATGTGCAGAGACACACATAGGCTCCAAATTAAGGGATGGAGGAAGATCTACCAAGCAAATGGAAAACAAAAAAAGGCAGGGGTTGCAATCCTAGTCTCAGATAAAACAGACTTTAAAACAACAAAGATCAAAAGAGACAAAGAAGGCCATTACATAATGGTAAAGGGACCCATTCAACGAGAAGAGCTAACTATCCTAAATATATATGCACCCAATACAGGAGCACCCAGATTCATAAAGCAAGTCCTGAGTGACCTACAAAGAGACTTAGACTCCCACACAATAATAATGGTAGACATTAACACCCCACTGTCAACATTAGACAGATCAACGAGACAGAAAATTAACAAGGATATCCAGGAATTGAACTCAGCTCTGCACCAAGCAGACCTAATAGACATCTACAGAACTTGCCACCCCAAATCAACAGAATATACATTCTTTTCATCAACACATCACACCTATTCCAAAATTGACCACATAGTTGGAAGTAAAGCACTCCTCAGCAAATGTAAAAGAACATAAATTATAACTGTCTCTCAGACCACAGTGCAATCAAACTAGAACTCAGGATTAAGAAACTCACTCAAAACCGCTCAACTACATGGAAACTGAACAACCTGCTCCTAAATGACTACTGGGTATATAACGAAATGAAGGAAGACATAAAGATGTTCTTTGAAACCAACGAGAACAAAGACACAACATACCAGAATCTCTGGGACACATTCAAAGCAGTGTGTAGAGGGAAATTTATAGCACTAAGTGCCCACAAGAGAAAGCAGGAAATATCTAAAATTGACACCCTAACATCACAATTAAAAGAACCAGAGAAGCAAGAGCAAACACATTCAAAAGCTAGCAGAAGGCAAGAACTAACTAAGATCAGAGCAGAACTGAAGGAAATAGAGACACAAAAAAAGCTTCAAAAAATCAATGAATCCAGGAGCTGGTTTTTTGAAAAGATCAATAAAATTGATAGACCACTAGCAAGACTAATAAAGAAGAAAAGAGAGAAGAATCAAATAGACGCAATAAAAAATGACAAAGGGGATATCACCACCGATCCCACAGAAATACAAACTACCATCAGAGAAGACTATAAACACCTCTATGCAAATAAACTAGAAAATCTAGAAGAAATGGATAAATTCCTCGACACATACACCCTCCCAAGACTAAACCAGGAAGAAGTTGAATCTCTGAATAGACCAATAACAGGCTCTGAAATTGAGGCAATAATCAATAGCTTACCAACCAAAAATGTCCAGGACCAGATGGATTCGCAGCCGAATTCTACCAGAGGTACAAGGAGGAGCTGGTACCATTCCTTCTGAAATTATTCCAATCAATAGAAAAAGAAGGAATCCTTCCTAACTCATTTTATGAGGCCAGCATCATCCTGATACCAAAGCCTGGCAGAGACACAACAAAAAAAGAATTTTAGACCAATATCCTTGATGAACATTGATGCAAAAATCCTCAATAAAATACTGGCAAACCGAATCCAGCAGCACATCAAAAAGCTTATCCACCATGATCAAGTGGGCTTCATCCCTGGGATGCAAGGCTGGTTCAACATACGAAAATCAACAAACGTAATCCAGCAAATAAGCAGAACCAATGACAAAAACCACATGATTATCTCAATAGATGCAGAAAAGGCCTTTGACAAAATTCAGCAGCCCTTCATGCTAAAAACTCTCAATAAATTAGATATTAATGGGACGTATCTCAAAATAATAAGAGCTATCTATGACAAATCCACAGCCAATATCATACTGAATGGGCAAAAACTGGACGCATTCCCTTTGAAAACTGGCACGAGACAGGGATGCCCTCTCTCACCACTCCTATTCAACATAGTGTTGGAAGTGCTGGCCAGGGCAATCAGGCAGAAGGAAATAAAGGGCATTCAATTAGGAAAAGAGGAAGTCAAATTGTCCCTGTTTGCAGATGACACGATTGTGTATCTAGAAAACCCCATCATCTCAGCCCAAAATCTCCTTAAGCTGATAAGCAACTTCAGCAAAGTCTCAGGATACAAAATCAATGTGCAAAAATCACAAGCATTCGTATACACCAATAACAGACAAACAGAGAGCCAAATCATGAGTGAACTCCCATTCACAATTGCTTCAAAGAGAATAAAATACCTAGGAATCCAACTTACAGGGGATGTGAAGGACCTCTTCAAGGAGAACTACAAACCACTGCTCAATGAAATAAAAGAGGATACAAAGAAATGGAAGAATATTCCATGCTCATGGGTAGGAAGAATCAATATCATGAAAATGGCCATACTGCCCAAGGTAGTTTATAGATTCAATGCCATCCCCATCAAGCTACCAATGACTTTCTTCACAGAATTGGAAAAAACTACTTTAAAGTTCATATGGAACCAAACAAGAACCCACATTGCCAAGTCAATCCTAAGCCAAAAGAACAAAGCTGGAGGCATCACACTACCTGACTTCAAACTATACTACAAGGCTACAGTAACCAAAACAGCATGGTACTGGTACCAAAACAGAGGTATAGAACAATGGAACAGAACAGAGCCCTCAGAAATAATGCTGCATATGTACAACTATCTGATCTTTGACAAACTTGACAGGAACAAGCAATGGGGAAAGGATTCCCTATTTAATAAATGGTTCTGGGAAAACTGGCTAGCCATATGTAGAAAGCTGAAACTGGATCCCTTCCTTACACCTTATACAAAAATTGATTCAAGATGGATTAAAGACTTACATGTTAGACCTAAAACCATAAAAACCCTAGAAGAAAACCTAGGCAATACCATTCAGGACATAGGCATGGACAAGCACTTCACATCTAAAGTCCTTCTTCACAGCAAAAGACTAAAGACTAAAGTCCTTTTGCACAGCAAAAGAAACTACCATCAGAGTGAACAGGCAACTTACAGAATGGGCGAAAATTTTTGCAACCTACTCATCTGACAAAGAGCTAATATCCAGAATATACAATGAACTCAAACAAATTTACAAGAAAAAAACGAACAACCCCATCAAAAAGTGGGCGAAGGGTATGAACAGACACTTCTCAAAAAAAAACATTTATGCAGCCAAAAAAACACATGAAAAAATGCTCATCATCACTGGCCATCAGAGAAATGCAAATCAAAACCACAATGAGATACCATCTCACACCAGTTAGAATGGCGATCATTAAAAAGTCAGGAAACAACAGGTGCTGGAGAGGATGTGGAGGAATAGGAACACTTTTACACTGTTGGTGGGACTGTAAACTAGTTCAACCATTGTGGAAGTTGGTGTGGTGATTCCTCAGGGATCTAGAACTAGAAATACCATTTGACCCAGCCATCCCATTACTGGGTATATACCCAAAGGAATATAAATCATGCTGCTATAAAGACACATGCACACATATGTTTATTGTGGCACTATTCACAATAGCAAAGACTTGGAACCAACCCAAATGTCCATCAGTGATAGACTGGATTAAGAAAATGTGGCACATATACACCATGGAATATTATGCAGCCATAAAAAATGATGAGTTCATGTCCTTTGTAGGGACATGGATGAAGCTGGAAACCATCATTCTCAGTAAACCATCGCAAGGACAAAAAACCAAACACCGCATGTTCTCACTCACAGGTGGGAACTGAACAAAGAGAACACATGGACACAGGAAGGGGAACATCACACACTGGGGACTGTTGTGGGGTGGGGGGATGAAGGAGGGATAGCATTAGGAGATATACCTAATGCTAAATGATGAGTTAATGGGTGCGGCACACCAACATGGCACATGTATACATATGTAACAAACCTGCACATTGCGCACATGTACCCTAAAACTTAAAGTATAATTTAAAAAAGTGTAAGAAGGTAAAAATTATTTACATTCCTTCCACTCAATAAAAACCACTGTAAATGTTTATATGAGCCAACTTCCAGAGAGCTTCCTTTCTGTAAAATACCTTTTGCTCCAAGTGGTGTTTTGCGATCTGTTTTCAAGCACTTGACAATTGGTCAAAGAGAAACTTGCATGTCCATACATATTTTAAAAGGCAATATTGTATTCCATTGAATGTAAGTGTCTTATTTATACAACAAATGCCCCATTGATGAACATTTAGATGGTTTCCAATTTTTTTGGTGGGGCACTATTCTAAACAACCCTATAATGAACATCACTGAGATTTTATCCATTTGAACTTGAATGACTCTCTCTTCAGAGTAAACTCCTAGATGAAGGATTGCTGGGGTAAATAGTACACACATTTTAACTACCAAAGTGACATTCAAAAAAGTATCAACTTATATGTCCACCAAATAGCACTAGAGAGAATTGTTGCTCAACAACACTGAGTTTTATTAACTTAATTTTTTTTGCCAGTCTTCTGGGTGAAAAATGAACTTCGTCCTTTTTTATTTACATTTCCTTGATTATTGGCATGGTTGAAATCTTCTCAGGTGTTGAATGTTTTAGTTCTGTGAGTGGTGTGAATATTTAGATGATTTCTGATCTTTTAGCAGGGAGCTATTCTGAACAACACTGTAATGAACATCACTGAGATTTTAACAGTATGAACTCGAAGATTGTCTTGTCAGAGTAAATTCTTCAAAGTAAATAATTCATGTCCTATGCTCACTAAAATTTTTTTCTTGATTTTTAATGACTATTTAGTTAATAATATTGACTTGTGATCTATCATTCGTCTTTACAAACTTCTTTCCTATTTTGCTTCTTTCAATTTTATGATATTTTTAATAAAGTTGAAGTTTATATTTTTGTAGTCAAATAGTTCAATTTTTCTGAGTTTTCATTACATGATTAGAAAGTTCTTTTCCCAATCCAAGGTTATAAAAAATTATCACTGTCTTCTTTGAGAATGGTCATGGTTTTATTTTTTATTATATTTAAGACTTTGACCCATTTATAATTTATTTTGGTGTATCCAACTTTGCTTTATTCTAAATGGTTAGCCAGTATGTCAACAATTATTTAATAATTTATTTCCCCAATCAATTTGAAATGTTACATTTATATTTTCTAAATTCCCATGTTTTAATATTTATTTTTTAAAATAGCTTGTTTCATTGCAAAAATAATATATGCCCATGGTAAGAAAGGACAGAAACATCAGAAAGTATATACAATGTCTACCTCTCATCACCAGTTCTTCCCCTCCTCTCAGTTCCTCATTTCCCCTCCCTAGGGGGAAACATTTTCTAGAAGTGCTCTAGGGGTACAAGCATGAGGTATATGTGCGTGTGACATACATCATACAAGTACAGGCATCCTATTTTATGTTTACATAAATTAGAGCAAACTACACATATTAGTTGGCACTTAGCTGTTCCTTAACTAAATGATATATCTTGGAACACTTTATAAGATCAACAGAACTACTTCATTCTTTTTTGTAACCTTATAGCATTCCATTGTATATATGTATCATATTTATTTAAACAAGTGGGCTGTTTGTTGTCAATTCTTTTAGTCGATGCCTATGACCAACAATGCTACACTGAACACCTTGCCTCATCCTTCTTCTTGCACATGGGTAAATATAATATGGGACAAATTCCCCAAAGTGTCAGCTGCTGGAACAAAGAGATATGTGCATTTTATATTTGTTAGATATTGCCAAATTATCCTCTGAGGAGGGTGAACTAATTTATACTCCTGCCTACATTGAATGATCATGTTTGGATCCTTGCCTCATGTACGTTTTAAAAGAAATTCTCAATATGAAAATCAAAAAAAGTTATCTAATTGTTAATGTAAATTTTTTATTGTTAGGGAGATTGAAAAGTTTTTCGCTTATTTATGAACATTTTATCTTTTTTTAACCCAAATTTCATGTTTCTATTCCTTATCAAGTTCAGAGAACTCTTTATATATTGAGAAAATTAATCATTTGTCAGTATTATGTGTTTTAAATGTTTCTCTGGTTGGTCATCTGTCTTTTGACTATATTTATTATGATATTTTTACTGTGCATAAAATTTAATTTTAGGTAGTGAAATTTAACCTTTAACTTTATGGCTTCTAGGTTTGTTTCTTGCTTAGAAAGCTTTTCACCATTTCAGCCGGGCATGGTGGCTTACGCCTGTAATCCCAGCACTTTGAGAGGCCGAGGCAGGCTGATCACCAGAGGTCAGGAGTTCGAGACCAGCCTGGTCAACATGGCGAAACCCCATCTCTACTAAAAATACAAAAATTAGCTGGGTGTGGTGGCGTGTGCCTGTAATTCCAGCTAGTCGGGAGGCTAAGGCAGGAGAATCATTTGAACCCGGGAGGTGGAGGTTGTAGTGAGCCAAGATCATGCCATTGCACTGCAGCTTGGGCAACAAGAGTGAAACTCCATCTCAAAAAAAAAAAAAAAAAAAAAAAGAAAGAAAGCTTTTCACCTTTTCAAAAGTATAGACAAACCTCATGTTTGCTTCGAGTACTCCTTTGGTTTCCTTTTCCTATCTTTAAACTTTTGATTCATCTGGAATCTATCTTGCTATTAGGAGGAAGATTGAGTAATTTCAATTTTATTCTTTTCCCAGGGGCCTAGTGAGTTTTCCTAAACCCATTTATTGGGCAATCAATTTTCTCATTGATTTTAACTGGTGGCTTTATCACATATAAAATTTTCATATAAAGTTAGATCTATTTCTAGACTCAATTCTGTTCCATTGGTCTAATCTTTCTAGTCTGTGCTGATACTGCAAAGTTTTAATTACTATAGTTTTATAAAAACTTTTAATATATGGTAGGGCAAGTCTCCCTTAATAGTCTTTGTTCAGTGTTTTTTGTTTGCTTGCTTGCTTGCTTGTTTTTGAGACAGAGTCTTGCTCTATCACCCAGGCTGGAGTGCAGTGGCATGATCTCGGTTCGCTGCAAACTCCGCCTCCCAGGCTCAAGTGATTCTTTTGCCTCAGCCTCCAGAATAGCTGGGATTACATGTACACACCACCATGCCCCACTTCTGTTTTAGTAGAGACATGGGTTTTGCCACGTTGGCCAGGCTGGTTTTGAACTCCCGGCTTCAAGTGATCTGCCCACCTTCGCCCCCAAAGTGCTGGGATTGCAGGGATGAGCCACTGTGCCCGGCCTCAGTAGTCTTTTTCTACTTTTTCTCACTATTCTTGGCCAAAATAAACAAACAATTCACAAACAAAATAAACCCCAGTGGGATTTTTATTGAAATTGCATCACAGTTATGGATTAATTTAGATATAACTTGCATCTTTACATTATTGAGTCTTCCTGCCTATTTATTCTCCTTTTATCTCCTTTGCTAGTTTTAGAATTTTCTTCATGTATTTCCTACATATTTCTTATTGAGTTTAATTTGATATATGTAATGGTTTTTGCAGCTATTGTGAATGGGATAATTTATTCCATTAAAGTTTCTTTCAGATATTGTTTGTCTATTTACAGCAAACTTAAGTGAGACTTTTTTCTTGTGTCACTTCAATACTGAGGTTCTTACTTTTATAGAGCATTCAGGTACATAACCACCACATTATCAAATAGAGCCACACATAAGACCCACTCCAAACCCCAACCGGGTGTGAAGTGATGAAGAAACGGTAGGAAACACTTACCAAGTAGACGGTTAAAATACAGATAATGGACAATCAATTTAATCTTCAGGTAATTGTGCACTGTTAGAGTGTTTTTATAATTTAAAATAAAAGCGGAGGACAGTGTCATTCTTAGCAGAGGACAATAATTTAATATGAATCAATGCTGGTGACCAATGCACTATGAGCATTTTGTCACCAATTCCTGCCTCCTCTTCCCTTGCTTCCTGTCTGTGTCAGAGATGCTTTCTCCTAATGCATTCAGAAGGGCTATTTTGGGACTTGAGTCACCTTTCTCTCCTTGTGTCTCTGCAGCAGACACAATCCATCAACCTCCTATCATATACAAAAGAAAAAAATCCACTCTTCAAGATAGTGGGGCGGTCATTTGTGTAGTGTGTTATCACAATGGCTGAGCCCAGGTTCTCTGATGTTTCTGAGTGTGAATTCTCAGCCACCTCAGATGCCCACTTTTGGTGCCCTGACCTGCTCAGTTTAGAACAGAACACTTTTCCTGACAAGTGGTGGGGTGCTAATTATATTTTAATTAGAAGTATGGCCAAAACCCTGAAAAAGTAAGAAGTCATATAAACTTATGCATAATTATTGCATCATGTGACAAACAGGAAATACCCTGAGCCTAGTTTCATATTATATGCCATATTATATGTCAATAACTCAATTAATAGACACTAAGTTGGCTTGAGATCAGAAGCAAACCCTCCAAGTCATGACAGACACTACAGAAAAAGAGAATCTTATGATTATGCAACTAGGTGAGGGTAGCCAACTATGAAGATGAATCTTAAGAAAAGCATCCTGCATAGTAATTATTTTTTTATGAAAAGAAAACTCAACCTTTACCCAGAGGTTAGACCATCTTTCTTTGAAGATACAGTTGCCCCATTACTAACTTACAACAGCTCTATTGTCCAATACATAGGAAGGTTGAAAAAGCCTGGAAGTAATGCACAATGTCCCCTGAATTGCAGACTCAAATGGCCAACTGCCTTCTTGATATCACCATTCCATTTTAACAGTACACAAAATGAACTTTTCTTTTCCCCTAAACCTACTCCTCCCAGTCTCTCCCTCCAAAAAAAAAAACTTCTCCAGGCTTGATGTTTCTGATTCTCTTATAGCTCATATCTGATTCATCAGCAAATCTGGGTGGTGTCACCTTCAAACTCTCTCTAAAATCCAAGCACTCCTCAGACCCACACTGCTACCACCCAGGTCCAAGCCACCATCATCCATGTCCTAGACTGTTGCACAGACCTCCTAACTGGCCTATTCTCAACAAGTGGCTGGAGTGATCCTGTTAAGAACTAAATTGTATCAGTCACTAATTTGCTGAAAACTCACCAATGGCCCTCCATCACACTCACAGTGGAAGCCAAGATACTTACCATGTTCTACAACACCCCGCATTTCTGGCCTTCAGTCACCTTTCCACCATGGCACTCTTCCATTACACCTCACCATATCCACTCTAGTCACCTTGCCTTACTGGTGTTCCTCAAACACACCAGCATGCTCCCCACTCAAAGTCTTTGCATCCTCCTCCTTGAACACTCTTCCCCCAGGTATCACATGGCTCACTGTCTCACCTCCTTAAGGTCTTTACTTACATGTCATGTTATCAGTGAGTCCTTCCCTGGACATATTGTTTAAAATTGCAACCCCTCTCTGCCACTTATCCTCCGTCTTTTCTTCTTTCTTATTCTTCTCAGGTTTCAGCACTAACATATTTCGCATTTTACTTACTCATTTATTGCCCTCTGGAGTATAAGTTCTTGAAAGGAAAGGAGTTTTATTTGATTTGTTCATTTGTACCCAGAACAGTGCCTGGCACATAATAGGCTTTATAACTATTTGCTGAATAAACAAGTGAATGAATGGGTATTTGAGGGTAAGGGATGATAAAATAATAACATGGAACTTTAGTAAGATACTTATATTTTTACTTCTTAAATTAGATACTTGAAAGACTTGTTGATAAAGTCATATGTTAGCATCTTTTTTGTTGTTTGTAAAATAATACCATTAACCTATCAAAGTTTCAAAGTTTTAATTATCACCTCTAACCCCTTCCAGTGGTTTCATTTTTCCTTGAAGACTCTGGGAAGGTAGGTCCGTGTGGTTCTCAATGACATCATCCTTATAATGAAAACTGTCAAGTCTTCAATTTAAACTGAGAACCACAATTTCCAATGTCGTTCTTTTCAATAAAATAGGGGAGTGGGGAAAACTTTCATTGGGCCAGTTCAACCACGAATATAATGCTGCTAATCCTAAAAGCAAAGTCCTAAATATTGAAGGTTAACTGGATCCATGTGAAGTCAGCCTAAAGAAAGACAGATTTTAGTGTGGCCAAAAGCATGCAGTGCCAGTGGCTTTAAATTCAATATAAAAAGATATTAGATATTAGAATGATCTAACTTAGGCATTTGCCTGGTGGTACATTGTAGTGACCAGAGTCTATAATGATGTATGTCAGAAGATTCTCAGGGGCTCTGCTCATCATATCATGTGGTCTGATCATCTCAGTCACTTGAAATTTTACCTCTTGTTTTTTCTATTGATATAAGTCATCTACTCATTAAGAACACTCCTAAAGTGAACTTTCATTAAACAGAAGGTAATTTATATTTGTTATACACACAGCTGCCATTAATATATAGCCAATTCAGTTCTTGTTTTATGTTGTTCCTCACCTATAAATTCATTTTGTAATCGGGCTTCTAAAGATTAGGAAACCAGCATTCCACATATAAAAGCCAGGTTACTTTAATATTCAGAATAGTAAACTATAGACACACTATGGAAAATAAAATTCATGCTAAGACTAATTGATGGAGCCAGGAGAGAACAGATAGGGTTTGGAGAGCATATTCTCAGATTAAATGCTATACAACTCAATTTACATGCACTACATGATTTGGAGGTAAGAATATGCCTTCGTACCTCCTAGAACTTCTATGCATAGAGTGAGAACGTATATATGAAGGCTTTCATTATGCCTGATTTTGTCTTCCTTTAACAATAAGGCTCTCTACCTCAACTGCCAGGTGAAAATTCAATGCCACTGTAATACCAAGCAAGTTCTGTATAATGAACTACGGAGGATTATATATTCACGTTGCAGTGTAAATATCAAAACATGAAAAATGTATATCTATGGTTCATCCTACAGGAGTGATATGGTTAGGCTTTGTGTATCCACCCAAATCTCATCTTGAATTGTAATCCCCATGTGCTTGGGGAGAGACCTGGCGGGAAGTGATTGGATTATGCGGGTGGTTTCCCTCATGCTGTTCTGTGATAATGAATTAATTCTCACAAGATCTGATGGTTTTATAAATGGTAGGTTTTCCTGTGCTGACACATGCTCTGTCTCACCTGCTGCCATGTAAGACATGCCTGATTTCCCATCTTCTATAACTGTAAGTTTCCTGAGGCCTCCCCAGCCATGCGGAACTGTGAGTCAGTTAAACCTCTTTCCTGTATAAGTTAGCCAGTCTTGGGTATTTCTTTATAGCAGTGTGAAAACAGACTAATATAAGGAGTGATTTTCTAGTTTCGTTGGTCAATGGATCACTTTCTTAAAATAGTAGTAACTGAAGAATGAGATACCAATTTCTTACTTGGATGGGAGCAGGGGGATACGAATATGAAGTACAGCTAATGAGATGACATTCTATTTCACAACTAAATGTTGGAGGAAATGAGGAGGGAAGTTTACCCAAGCATCAGCGATCTATGTTTGGTTTTGTTCTGCTTTTATTTTTAACTATATTTCAAGGTGGCTGTGTTGAAAGAAAAATGTTTGAATACTAGGTCTCATCCCAGGTGAAACCCTACACTGCACAGGTGGTGTCACTGAGTTTTGCCATCTCTGGACCCATCTATCGGGTTTTCTCATCACAGGGACCACCAGCGGATGCTCTCAGGCACCACAGATTCTGATCATTGCAGGCGGGGCCTCATATTCTGTCTAGTAACAATAAGTGGGATATTATCCTCAGGCTTACAATGTACAATAGTGTTTTTCACTCTGCCAGATTGTGGAGTTGATTGTGGCACAACTAGTACTTTTAAGTGAACTAAAATAGAAAATATTCACTGGTGTCACATGTAATAAGAACAAGTATTGTTTACAAGTTCTAGAGGTGTGTAGGGATTGGGTTACTTAGTATTGATATGAAATTAATTGTGTACTAGAGTTAAGTCCACAAAGTTTGAAAGTCATTTATGGCAAATTGCGATTCTTTGCCAATATTTGTATTTCTCCCGCCTTTCTGGTAACACAGCTGGAACATCTCAAGCCTCTCCTATAGTTAGTTAGGTGTACCCATGTGACTGAGATCTGGCTAAAGGAAGGTGAACAAAAGTGCTGTGCATTCCTTCCAAACCTTGTCCATGAAAATTTCCCAAACGTGATCCTTGCTTTTTCCCTGTCTGCAACTGAACTGAGAGGACCCAGAGGAAGGTAGAGCCACAAAATGGGAGGAGCCTGGGCCCCTGCATGTGTATGTGGAACGCTGCTTGCCCACCAACCCACACTAAAATGTGAAGGGACTAAAAAATAAACCTTTTGTATTAAGCCATTAAGATTGGGGGTTGTTTTGTTATAATACCTAGCTTTACTTAACTCTTATACAGTACTGATAAAAAAGTGAACTCCAAAAGGAGATGCCCTACTCTCTAGCCTCTGGTCTTATTACAGCTCCTTTAAAACATAACTCCCAACAAGCACTAAGCTCCACAGGTGCAGAACATTTATGAGGCTTATTTTTTTCTCACAGCCAACATGCACTTCTGGGTTTTAACTATGACATAATCCAGATGGACCTTGGCTTTCTACCTGATTATGTTCATACCCTTGGCTCAATGCATTTCAGTAACTGAGTACCGTCGAGTCCCTGGGGCCCAC
The DNA here is from genome assembly GCF_000001405.40 of Homo sapiens. Classification (NCBI taxonomy): domain Eukaryota; kingdom Metazoa; phylum Chordata; class Mammalia; order Primates; family Hominidae; genus Homo; species Homo sapiens. Next base: position 157,699,965 of record NC_000003.12, read on the forward strand.
CCCACAGCCAGTCCTTCCCCACCAATCTCCCTGTACATGATCCATAATCTATTTCAGGCTTGGGATGCAACTAATTTCTAATAAACTCATTTCTAGTAAAAAAAAAAAATTTAATGTCTATGAAGACATTCTCTTTCCAAGAAAAAAATTTGCATGATTACTACAACTATAACAATGAGTAACAATAGTTAGCATGTAATGAATACCTACCTTCAGGTATTGGGCTAGATGCTTTATCTGTATTTTTCCATAATTTTCACAACAATCTAATAAAGTAGGTATTATTATATTCATTAAATGATGAAGACCTTGAAGCACAGAGAGGTGAGAGAATTTGTCTCAGATCACACAGAATGTCCCAAAGCCAGGACTTGAACTCACATTTGTCTGATGGCCAACCCCACACCCTCTTTACACCATGCTCCATCCTGATGATAAAAAAAGAACAAATATCCAGTAGCGAGAAGCTTAGATTTCTAGAAGCTGAAGAAGTTTCTTGGAAGCTCTGATTACCCTACAGAAAAGTGTACCTGTTCAGGGAGGTCCCACTATGCACTGAGCCATCCTGACCATTTAATTCACTTCATGGGAGACTAGGGAGATCAGAAAAAAACTGAACAGCTGAATGGTGACAGCTACCCCTTGTGGTGCACATGGCAAGAAAATCCCAAGCTTCCCGCTGAGTCAAGTGTTAGAACAGTTCTCTGCAGCTTGGTCAAGGAGCTGAGAACTGAGAGGAATAAATTAGACCATTAGAGGCTTATTCCAGTTAAATAGATCTGGCCAGATTGCGTTTTCAGACATAAGATCTAGACCCATAGTCCTTGAGGGGGATTCTAGACCATCCATGGCTGAGTGGGAAGAAAATATTAGAATTTCTCTTATTGTAATAACTTCATTTAAAAAAACAGAAATTAAGCTTTTCTAACATCTAATAACTAGGCTAATGCTGGTGTTCTCCCTTCCCTCTCTTTCACACACGACAAACACACACAGGACATGTCTTGAAGGAGGAGGGCGTTCCATTGCACAGCAGGGCTCAGATCTCATTCATTTTCACTTTGTTGTTTTACAGCTCATTTCAGTTTACATGGCCCTGTTTGTGTGGATTTATATATTATCTTATCTGGTTTTAACAAAACCAATCTTTGAAATTAAAAGAAAATGGTTCTGTTACTTAAAATATGCCTGCAAAATATCTGAATGCTAAAGATAAATATTAATTAGGCAAGCACTGGTGAACAACAAGAAAATTGTTCGGCTCAAAAGAGTTGACCCTTGTCCCACTTATGGTACGCTTATATTTGTCTTGATCCCAGCCACATCATGAGGTTAAAACCACGAGGATTTACTCAAATATGACAAAAATCATCATGATTTTTCAAAATGTGAACTTATCCATTGCCAGTAATGCTGGACTTCAGTTCAAGTGTATGTTATGCTTTGAGACATTACCAATTGAACTACATGTAGCCAATCTATAAATACATGGGGAAGTGCAGCTCAATGGTTTTTTTACTGATAATACCTGACCAAAAAGTGTGATGTAAAAGACCTTGACCCAGCTCATCTTAGGGCACTTTCCATAATTCAGAAGACACTGGCAGGTATTGAATGGCTAGATCCAGATAATCCTCGGGAAATGTTTGAGCCTCTGAAGTTTCACCTTCCTGCTCCTCTGTTTGAGCCTCCAGCGCTGTACTAGCACAGCCCTAATTACCTTTGTAAACACAGGCAAAATCATTTTCAGCTGCCTGGGACTCTGCCTGGCAGGTTTTGCTTTTCACCAAATTCACTGTTGTGCATCAGGCGAGGTTGGAATGATTTGGTCTTGATTTGGATTCAGAAGCTCCATTCACTTACTGCTGTAAGCAAAGTTTAATCCAAATATTTACTTCAATAAATTTGGTCCAAAACTTTTCTCAAATTAACTAAGGCAAACTGTTCAGCCAGGTTACTGTAGAGAGCCCTAGAGCAGGGCAGAGCTGTGAAAAAAAAAAAAAAAGGTACAGTCGAGAGGTGAAGCCACTTGCTGACGAGATGCAGTCAAAAGTATATACAACATTTATTAGCTGAAGTACCACAGAAAGCATTCTAATCAGTCGGTTTCCTCTCATTAAATGTTAATTAGTTCATATAAGCTTCCTGCATAGGAAGGTATCAGGTACTTAGCAAGCATTAGGAAAGAGACAAGTCACACAGGGAGTCTTGGAAGCAACAGATACAGAGCAAGGGCATTGTCACTTTACTGGGTGACATTTGTGTTTGAAGGCATATGTGAGCTCCTGAGGAGGATCCAGAAGATCTGCCAGAGACAAACTCAGGCTAAAATTTTCATTCTGGTAATGAGTATCTGAAATAACATTTATTGAGTTTTAAAAACACACTTAATGGGATTAGCTCCTGAACCAAATATCATGATTATATTTAGATACATTTGCTCACACTGTTTAAAACCACAGACCAGGATAATCATATAATATTAAATGGCTTTTTATTGAGATTGTTTTAGCATGCTGGCTTATAAACCACCTTGGTAAGAAGTTATGAAAGTAAGGGGAATAAAACTCAAGGGCTTTGTGGACTGTGAAATCATTAAGTGATTTGGAATATGTCATGGGATCTTAGATGTTTGAGGGTAGAGGAACTGTGAAGATAACTTCTTGAGGCTGACATGCAGCCAGCCCATAGCAGCACGGCCATGCCACTGCTCACAGCAGCCTGTGTGCTGACTGGCCAGTGCCTGACCCCAGGCAGTTGCTAAATATCATTAATATTACCCCAATAGGGGTAATATTCAGACCCCAATAGGGTCTGAAGCACTCATTTCACCGATAAAGGTATAGCCACCCAGAGGGGTGAAGTGACTTGCCCCCCTACACATCTTGTTAAGAGAACAACAGAACTTGGACTCAAGCCTCATTCTACAGTGTTCCTTCAAGGGTCCACAGCACTCTCTTGCCCTGAAATTTGTTGCCATATCTATGTATTAACTGGTGATGCAACAACCAATTTTCGACATGGAGTGACAGGTGCCATTAAGCACATCAGGCCAATACTTTGATAGCAGGGAAAACAGCTATAAACTGAGCTAAAATAATGTCAAACAAGTATTGAATGCTTGCTATGTGGCAGGCATAAATACTTTACAAATACTAACCTGTTTAATCTTTACAATAGCCCCTGTAAATAGGTACTATCATTAATTCTATTTAATTGGTGGAATAACTGAGGTAGAGAGAGGTTAAGTAACTTGGGCTAAGGAGGCAGACTTCCAAGAGGGCTCCCAAGGATCCCCTCCATTTCTGGCATTCACACCCTGTGTAATTCTCTGCCTTTGATTGTGGGCTGGACCTAGTGACCTACATCAAGCAAATAGAATACAGCAAAAGTGATGGGATATCATTTTCATGATTAGGTTATAAAACACTGTGACATCTGTCTTACTAATAGACTGTTTTTCTGCTGGTTTAGATGAAGCAAGCTACTATGTCAAAAACACCCATGGGGCAAATAACTGAGGGCAGCCTCCAGCCCACAGCCTGCAAAGAATTTAGAATTTCAGTCCAACAGGCCTAAAGGATCAGAATCTTGCCAGTAACCACATGAGTGAGCTTGGATGTGGATCCCTCCCCAGTCTAACCTTCAGATGGGACCACAAACCTTGGGCTGACTCCTTAATTGCAGCCTTTTGAGAGACTGAGAAGCAGAGGACACAGCTAAATCATGCCTTAGATAATAAATGTAAGTTGTTTTAAGCCACTTAGTTTTGGAGTAATTTGTAATGAAGCAAAAGATAACTAGTACCCTTGCCCAAGACCATATAGGAGTGAGTGCCAGGGATAGGATATGAACCCAAATAGTCCGGTTCTATTATCTTAACCACTGATACCATACTGACCCCCCAAAAGTACACCATAATACTCATTATCATCATTATTACCATTATAATCATCATTACTTCACTATCATTGTCATTATCACCAATCATTATGAGTATTATGTGCTAGGTGCTTCACATAAATGATTTTATTTAATCCTCAAAATGAGACTATAACCTCAACTTTATATTTTTTTTAAAAAAATTGAAACTCAGATAACATAAGCTCACTTAAAGACACATAGAAAATTCAGAACTTGGCCCAGCTAGCTGACTCCAAAGCCCTTGCCTTCTCCACCAAACTGCTGCTTCTCTGTAACCCAATTGTTGTATCCAACCATTAATCTTAGTGGTGCCCTGAGAAATAATTCTTTCCAACATTGGGAAAGAAACTTATAACAATTTATTAGTGAATCATTGATAACAAAAGTCCACTTGCTGTAGACTTTTCTAACTCTGGCACTGTTGACAATTCCATGGAGAGTTTCAGGATGTGGGATGTGGGAATACCATGGAAACCTGGAGGCAGAAAAGAATGCTTTATGATGCCATGTGTAGCACTTCTTGTTAGCAAATATAACAGAGTGCAAACTGAAACAGCATCAATTATATGATACTAGGTTTCTTCCAAGAAAGAAAGTCATAAAATATAATGAAATAACTTGTATTGCATATAAAATCTTGAATGATTCCCTATTGCACATTCTATGAGAAAGTTCACACTCTTTAGCATAGCTTTAAGATCTCGCCTTAGCCCAGCTTAGCTTTTGGCTTAATCCTTTATATAGTTAGCACCAATGAAGCTCAAGTCTGATCACGTCATATCAGGGACTTGAATCTGAGACCTAGGTTTTTGCTTCCAGACTGCACATGTTACTTAGCACAAGCTCAAAAAAAATTTCTTCTTTAGAGAGAATGAGAGAGGATGAGAATAAGGATGGAAGGAAGAAAGGAAAGGAAAGAGGGAGGATTTTGCTCTTTTTGCTCTAGCAATAAGTTCCAAAATTCACTAAAATGTTCTAATTATAGCATAAGTGAGTCACAAAGTATTCTGGCTCACTTTGGTTTATGACCATTGTCTCTGAAAATTAAACAGAAAGAAAGCAGGAATATTGGGTACATATACATTAAGTATTCAACCATAAGCTTCATGCTCTGCTGTCCACATCCTGTTCCCATAGTCATAAGATCCCTTCCCATTTTGACCCACGGTTTTCGAGTTTCTGAACCACAATTAAACAAAAACTACCATGTGTAATTTTTAGGGCAACTAAGAACTCTAGCTAAAGTCTGATGTGTTTCTGCTAGTAAAAGCAATAGAATAATTACTGCAATGAATTATAATGGTTTTAGTTATGTCCTTTAGACTATTTTCAGGGCTAGCTAGGAAGACATGACATGCACAAAATCATCAAAATAATGGATGAAAAAATAAGCATCGTTTAAAAATAGTACTTGAGTTCACATGTAGATGGGACTATTGGCATGGTCCCATACACTAACTGTCACTTCATTAAGTGTCTGTTGGGGGAGTCCTTCTATTTCTGTATTAAGTCTCTCATCTGCATTTTGGTAGGCTGGCATCATTGCTGTTGTCTTGACAGGGTCCTTAAGCCTTCAACTGTCACCTTCATTTTCTAAGCTCACACCCTCTTGTACCTGATTGCCTTGGGTAAGGGGGGTGGGGGACATCACCTCAGTGGTGTTTATTTGGCTCAGCAGGATGGAGACTTGGCTGGAAGAGGAAGCAATGAAGCCGCTGCCCATAATTCCAAGAGGAAACCAAGTAAAGACAGTATAAAACCTACCACACTCACATTTCCTAGGTCTAAAGTCAGGCAGAAACAGTTATACTTCAGCTTTGCCACTTTTCAGTGTTTGCTTGGATTTTTTTTTCTTTTTCTTTATAACCGTTTAAAACAAAGCACCTAAAGCTGTATAACATTAAAGAATGCAATCTGTCATCCATTTCTTGTTCCTCTTTCCCTCTCAAAATCTCTGGGTTTTTAAATCCCTAAACATTTCTCTGCTCCCAATCAACCTTCTATTCACTCCCAAAAAGGCACCTTTTCTCTTTTAGGCACAAACACTATTTAAGGGCATCTTTTAAAACTTCTTTGGATGGGAAGCTTTATAAAACAGATTATGCCCTTTGACCAAGGGATGCCCCAGGGACTGCTGAGGTGTGTAGAACTGTCTGCCCCTTCACTAAATGATCCCAGATGGCTATGCTTTTCTAGTTCTTGTCTGCTTTCTATTACTTTTTGCCTTCTCTCTGTTGCCAATTTATTGTGCCTACTACATTTCCCACAAATTATGACTTACAAAATGTGTCTCCTAAAAATCTTTTTGTTTTTGGAAATCAGAAATAGCTAGGATTTTAGCCATCACTGTTCACTTTCTGACCCAGAAGTTTAAAGTTCAAACTCAATGAGATTACTTAATATGTATTCCAAGAGACTAAATAAACATAGTTGTATAAGATATAAAAGATCGTCACTATAGGAATAAAAACAAAATAAACAGTATTTATAATGATGGTAACAATCTATATTTAGCATGTTTATTTCAGAAATTGATTTCTCTTTTACTCAAACTCCTGTAAACAGCCAGATTCATCAGAGGCAGTTTATCCTACAGTCATATCTGCCTGATTTATTGAATTTCCTTTTCTTAATGAATCATGAGGTTTGAGTTAAATGTTAAATATCAATGTTTTTATAAGGAACATGCATGTTTGCTTTTTCTTCAATTAAGAAAAAACTGGTTGACCTTTGTGCCACTGAGGCTTGTGCTTGCTAATGGCATGGCTTTCCTACTTAACAAGCCATATGGTAAAACCTACTATTCTGTTTCATAAGCATAAAGAAAGCATGTGACAGTTGGCTACCTATTGAGCGGCATCTGCAAAAGGAATCCATGTTCCAGAAAGTGAAAGATGGACAACTAGGAAATCATCTCATTATGATGCTGAGGGTTGCTGGGTTGCTTCTGTCTCTGTGCAAATGTACATATTAGGATCCTAAGGATAAAAAAGATTAACAAGATCCCCAGGTGATTAATGTGGACATTAACATTTGAGAAGCACTGTTCTTCTATAAACTTGCCCTGTTTTGATGTTTGAGACATCATGCCCACTATTTCTTCTTCCTGAGATATTCTTCTTTGTCTCACACCTCAAAATCTTTTCTGGCTAATACTTTCAAGTGTCTGCTTTGAAATCATTTTCTAGAGAAAATCTCCTGTAATGCCTTATGAAGGAGTTAAGTGACCTCTCAAACGTACTTCCCTTGTATCTTCCACACTGTTCCATAGTCAAGTTTGCATAATAGGTTTCTTAAGAGGCATCTTATCTACTATCAAATCCCTAGTGTCTAAAACTAAAACTAAGATACCTTGAATCCAAGAGCTAAAACCATAAAAATTTTAGAAGAAAATCTAAGAAAAACTCTTCTGGACATTGGCCTAGGCAAAAAAATTATTTCTAAGGCCCCAAAAGCAAATGCAACAAAAGCAAAATAAATAAATTGGGCCTAATTAAACTAAAAAGCTTCTGCATAGCAACAGAAATAATCAACAGAATAAACAAACAATCTACAGAATGGAAGAAAATATTTGCAAACTGTACATCAACAAAGGTCTAATATCCAGAATCTATGAGGAACTCAAACAAATCAGCAAGAAAAAACAATCCCATTAAAAAGTGGGCAAAGCACATGAACAGACATTTCTCCAAAGAAAATATACAACTGGCCAGCAAACATACACAAAAATGCTCAACATCACTAATTATTAGGTAAATGCTCAACATCACTAATTATTAGGTAAGGGGTACCACCTTACCCCAGCCAGAATGGCCATTATTAAAATGTCAAAAAACAATAAGTGTTGTCATAGATATGGTGAAAAGGGGATGCTGGTGGGAATGTAAATTGGTACGCCTCTATGACAAACAGTATTGAGATTTCTTTTAAAGCAGATCTACTATTCTATCCAGAAATCACACTTCTCAGTATCTCCAAAAGAAAAGAAGTCATTATATTAAAAAGACAACTGCACATGCATGTTTATTGCAGTACAATTCACAATTGCAAAGATACAAAATCAACCTAAGTGCCCATCAACCAATGAGTAGATAAAGAAAATGTGATATATATTCCGCGGTGTAATAGTATTCCACTATGGAATACTACTCAACCATAAAAAAGAATGAAATAATGTCTTCTGCAGACACTTGGATGGAACTGGAAGCCATTATCCTAAGTGAAGTAATTCAAGAATGGAAAACCAAACACTGTATGTTCTCACTTAAAAGTGAGAGCTAATCTAGGGGTACACAAAAGCATACAGAGGGCCGGGCGCGGTGGCTCACGCCTGTAATCCCAGCACTTTGGGATGCCGAGGCGGGCGGATCACGAGGTCAGGAGATCGAGACCATCCCAGCTAAAACGGTGAAACCCCGTCTCTACTAAAAATACAAAAAATTAGCCGGGCGTAGTGGCGGGCGCCTGTAGTCCCAGCTACTTGGGAGGCTGAGGCAGGAGAATGGCGTGAACCCGGGAGGCGGAGCTTGCAGTGAGCCGAGATCCCGCCACTGCACTCCAGCCTGGCGACAGAGCGAGACTCCGTCTCAAAAAAAAAAAAAAAAAGCATACAGAGTAGTATAATGCAGACTGAAGACTTACAAGAGGGGGAGGTGGGATAAAAAATTACCTAGTGGGTACAATGTACACTATTCAAGTGATGAGTGGACTAAAAGCCCAGGCTTCACCACTATGCAATTTATCCATGTGGCCAAAAATCACTTTTACCTCTAAAGATATTGAAACAAAAAACATTTTAGAAACTATGAAAAAATGAAATACAACATGGTAGGTGCTCAATAGTGTCTGTTGAATGAGTGTTAAATGAATAGTAGGTGCTCATTAAATATAATTTCCAAATCTCTTCCCAAAATCCAGATGTGCTATAATCCTAGCCTTTCCCTTACAAGAAGAAATGAAGTTAGGCTGGTGTTACTTGTTTTCCATAAACTATTGCTAAACCCAGTGATCATCTCTTCTCTTTCTCAATGTTCGAACATTCATCTTTGGATAATCTTACAGATTTATAGACTGTTAGAACACAAAGGCACCATGAAATTCATAGGATCCAAACTCTGTTTCTTATTCTATAGATAAGAAATCTAGGACCCAGAGCTTGACTATTGCAAAGGGGCATATCAAGCTTGTGTGGGCTTTCACGGGACTTTCTTCATTCGATAATCAGGACATAATTGCTTCTTCCCAGTATTAGTCTCTCCATACCCCTGTTGCCACTCACAATTTCTCCCACCTATTCTAGAATTTCTCAATTCTCTTAAACCTGTTTTTTCCAGTAAGAGATATTTTAATTTATTATTAGCACTCAGAATAATCTCTCCACATTTTATCACATACTATGAATTAAGATGAGGTCTAACCACATCTACTGGGCAATAAGTTTGCAAAAGGAAAAGGATGGAAGTTTAAAAATAGTTAAGAAATACTAACATCAAATCATCTTCTTACATCAACAGACTTGTATCCTCTTTCTTACTGTTTTTCCTCTGGATATGACTTTGAAGACGTATTTTTGTCATTCATGACATTTTTACAACTATATTCTACACATTTGCTGTCTGGTATGATGGCCACTAGTCACATGTGTGACTAGGCACTTGAAATGTGACTAGTCCAAACTAAAATATGCTGTAGTCTAAATACACATTTGATTTTAAAGACTTAAAAGAAACTACCTCACAATTTTTCATATTGGCTACAGATGGAAAGGATAACATTTTTAATATGTTGGCTTAAATAAAATATATTATTAAAGTTAATTTTCTTGTTTCTTTTTATTTCTTAATGTGGCTACTGCAAAATTTAAAATTGCAAGTAGGACTCATATTGCATTTCTATTAGACAGTCTGTTATAGGCTTTAGTCAAGATTGTTCTCTCTGTTTTATATTTCTTTATTTTTTAAGCTATTTTGTAATATTTTTTTTCATGTTTTGTATACACCCTACTAAAGTACGATTCAGCCAGGAGCTTTCACTGCTGCCACACTGAACTCTGTACATCTTACTCATTTAATTTCTTACTAGCATCCTTGGCTTGAAGCTTGTCAGAAATTTCTTTTTAAGAGCTTCCTAAAATTCTCAAGTCATTTTCCCCTGACTTGATAATGTAATACCATTACTTAAAATTATGCAATAATGCTAATAATAATAGTGACAGTTTATTGAGGAATCACTATGTGTCAGGCACTGTGATAAGTATTTTACATGTTATCTTATTTAATATTTACAGTAGCTAAATAAAGTATTATAATATTCATCTTACAGATTAAAAAACTGATATTCAATGAGGTTGGAGCAAGACTGGCTAGCTCTCTCCCAACCCATTTCTTTTGTTGTTCTGTGCTCATAACAAGGCTCTTTTCCTTTTATTTGTGACAACCAAAAGTATCTTCAAATATTGCCAAATGCCCCCTGGAAGGCAAAATTGCTGCCTTTTTCCCCAGTTGAGAACCATCAACAAAGAGTAGCAATTACCTTTTTTTTTTTTAATTTGAGAATGAAATTTTTGGCAACTACATCCTTTTTTTTCAGCTACATCCTTTAGGCAAATGAGACCTCCAGCATATCCCTAATAGTTGCAGTCTGCCCTCTTTGTCTGGGTGCCAACTTCAGGTTCTATCTAGGATTACTCTGTCCATTTAGTTTTTCTGGCTGGGGAGTCTGGATAAATAATCTCTCATAGCCCCCACACTACTGTTTCTCCTCTTTACCCAAACACCCTCCGAAGTTTGTACCAGTACAAAAGTCATAATTGTGAATGGCTTGCCATTCACAATTATGTGAACATATGTAGGTGCCTACATATGTAGGCACCTCCATGCCAGGGGCAATAACCTGCCCAGAGAGTTTTTTGATTAATCAAAGTATTGGGTTTCTGATAGGTACTACCAAGAAGAAAAAAATATCAAGAGAGAGTTTTATCAAAAAGCTCTCAACAAACCGATGGAAATTTGTTTATTTTGCAGGTATATCTCATTTTATGCCTTGCAGGTAGTGTTTTTTTGTTTTGTTTTATTTTGTGTTTTTGTTTTGTTTTTGTTTTCTTACAAATTGAAGATGTGTGGCAACCCTCCCTCAGGTAAGATTATTAGCACCATTTTTTTCCAACAGCATGTGCTCATTTCTCTAGGTCACAATTTGGTAATTCTCATAACATTTCAAGTTTTCATTACTATTGTATCTGTTATGGTGATTTGTGACCAATAATCTTTGATGTTACTATTGTAATTGTCTTGGAGTGCCATGAACTACATCCATGTAAGATAGTGAACTCAATCAATAAATGTTGTGTGTACTCTAACTGCTCCACTGACTGCCCAGCTCCTGTCTCTCTCTCACTCCTCAGGCCTCACTGCTCCCTGAGACACAACAATATTAAAATTGAGCCAGTTAATAACCCTACAATGGTCTTTAAGTGTTCAACTGAAAAGAGTGGCAAGTCTTTCATTTGAAATCAAAAGCTTAAAATGATGAAGCTTAGTGAGGAAGGCAGGTTGAATGCTAAGATAGGCCAAAAGCTAGACCTCTTGTGCCAAATAGTTAGCTAAGTTGTGAATCCAAAGAAAATGTTCCTGAAAGAAGTTAAAAATGCTACTGACTTTTAATGAACACAAAAATGATTAAAAAAAAAAAAAGTACAGCAGCCTTATTGCTGTTAAGGAGAAAGTTTTAGTGATCTTGATAGAAGGTCAAACCAGCCACAACATTCCTTTAAGCCAAAGACTAATCCAGAGCAAGGCCTTAACTGTTCACTGTTATGAAGCTGAGAGAGGTGAGAAAGTCATGGAGGGGAAGTTTGAAGCTAGCAGAAGTTAGTTCATGAGGGTTAAGGAAGGAAGCTACCTCCATAACATCAAAGTACAAAGCTGGAAGTGAAGTAGGAAGTGCTGATGTAGAAACTGCAGCAAGTTTTCCAGAAGAGCTAGCTAAGATAACTGATGAAGGTGGCTACACTAAACAACAGATTTTCAATGTAGATGAAACAGCCTATTGAAAGAAGATGTCATCTAGAACTTTCATAGCTAGAGAAGAGAAGTCAATGCCTAACCTCAGATCTTCAAACAACAGGCTGACTCTATTGTTAGTAACTAATGCAGCTAGTGACTTCAGTTGAAGCCAATGTCCATTTACCATTCCAAAAATCCTAGTGCCTTAAGAATTATGCTAAATCTATTCTGCCTGTGCACTATAAATGGAACAACAAAACCTGGATGATAGTATAACTGTTTACATGGTTTTCTGAATATTTTAACCCTACTGTTGAGATCCACTGCTCAGAAATAGATGCTTCTCAAAATATTACTGCTTCTTGACAAGGCACCTGGTCACTTAAGGGCTCTGATGGAGATGTACAAGGAGATTAATGTTGTTTACACGCCTGCTAATCCCTCCATTTTACACCTTATGGGTCAAGGAGTAATTTTGACTTTCAAGCCTTATTATTTAAGAAATACATTCTGTAAGATGCCATGAATAGTGATTGCTCTGATGGATCTGGGCAAAGCAAATTGAAATCCGTCTGAGAAGGACTCACATTCGAGATGCATTAAGAATGTTCATGATTCATGGGAGGAGGTCAAAATATCAAGGTCAACAAGCATGTGGAAGAAATTGATTCCAACCCTCACAGATGACTTTGAGAGGTTAAAGACTTCAGTGGAGGAAGTAACTGCAGATGTTGTGGAAATAACAAAAGAACTGGAATTAGAAGTGAAGCCTAAAGATGTGACTGAATTGCTTCAGTCTCATAATCAAATTTGAAGAGCTAAGGAGTTGCTTCTTGTGGATGAGCAAAGAAAGGGGTCTCTTGAGATGGAATCTGCTCCTGGTGAAGATGCTGTAAATATTGTTAAAATAACAACAAAGGATTTCAAATATTACATAACCTTAATTGCTAAAACAGTGGCAGAGTTTGAGAGGATTGACTCCACTTTGGAAAGAAGTTCTACTGTAGGTAAAATGCTAGGCAACACCGTTGCATGCTAAGAGAACTCTTTGGAGAAAGGAAGAGTCAATCAATGTGGCAAACTTCATTTTTGTCTTATTTTAAGAAATTACAACTGCCACCCCAACCCTTTAGCAATCACCACCCTAATCAGTCAGCAGCCATCAACATTGAGGCAAGATCCTCTACCAGCAAAAAGATTACACCTCATTGAGTGCTCAGATGATTGTTGCCATTTCCTAGCAATAAAGTATTTTTTTACTAAGGTATGTACATTGTTTTTCAGACATAATGCTATTGCACACTTAATAGATAGACTACAGCATAAGGTAAACAGACCTTTTATATGCACTAGGAAACAAAAAAATATAGTGTGACTCACTTTATTGTGATATTTGCTCTATTGCAGTGGTCTGGAACCAAATCCACAATATCTCAAAGGCATGCCTGTATGTAGTTCAAGCTTTTGTCACTCAGTCTTTTTATTTACCCACTTCCTCTAAAGCTAGGTGATACAAAAGAAAAATTATTCCAGTGCTCACTCAAATGGCTTGGAAATAAGCTAGAGATTATTTCTCAGTCTATTACATAATAATTACTGTTTTGAAGTGCATAGTATCCATGTCTGTTCCCCATAATGCATTGCTTTTTTCTTTTCTCCAGGTGTACATTGGAACCCAGTCACATGGCCCATAAACAGATCATTTGTTCAAGCACCTTTCCTGAGAATCTAAGTCTTCATTTGACAAGTCTAACACTCTTTTTCAATGACTGCATGATATCACAGTCTGGTTAACACTAAGCTGTAGGTTCCCTAAAGCTAGGATTGTTGTGTGTATGTGTATGTGCATGTGTCCATGCATGTGTATATGTGTGTGTTTAACTACTATCTTTAAAGTAACCTAGGAGTTTATGTCTCCTCTGCTATTTTCAATTTCTAGGCTCTTTGGTATAGACAAAGAGAAATCATTGTCTTTTCCTCACTCCCTTTCAAATCAGATGCAGTTTGGAAGAAAAGTAACAATTATTTTTTAGTCCATGTCCTTTCCAATAATAAGGACAAATATAGAAACGTGTCCTGCTGCTTCATGTAGAATTATTTTAAGCCTATTAAGTAGGCCTATCCAACTTTAATCAGGTACAGACAAGAGCTTGCTGATCTGTGCATTCTGAAATTTCATTGCTCCTACACAAACTCACTGCCTGGAAACAAGGAAGCCTGACACTTGAAGGGCCGTGCTGTCTGACAAACTGGATTAATAATGAATGAACCCATCTTGTATAATCAGAAAGGGGAGGAATGCTACAAATTAGAAATAAGCATGTTTTTTGTTACAGATGGCAGCAGGACGCTGCTTAGGGTATCACTGATGCTCAAATTAGCTGTGGGGCATGGGAACCACTTGCTGCCTCTCACTGTTTCTTACTTTTCTCTCGAGATTCTCCTTCTCAAGGGATTTGCAAAATGAGAAATTCAAACTTAGGAGACACATTTGCACCACATGAGAATGACAACTTATTATTCATCTAGGGTGTACAGATACTGTAAATGGGTTACATTTCCATCTTAAATTAGGTTAAAGTTCTCATATTTTCCATATAAGTTGGATCAAAATTATGCCAAGATGGGAATTTTTGCTAGATTTCTGGTATTCTCAAGAGATGCTTATTCTGAATATCATGTGCTTTCAGAGAAAATGAGCTGCCCATCTCTGAATCTGGGGAAACGTGCTGGTATTTCAATTGGTTGGAGCTTGTTTTGTTTTGACATATGCTACCAACGACTAGCTGTGGTATCAGCGTTGTATGTGTGTGAGCACCAAAATGTGAACAGATACAGAAATGAAGTAAAATGAAAAATCTTAGAGAGAATGCAAGGGAGAACCGGTTAGCATCATTTCATTAACCAACCTGAAAATGTATTTCTATAGGGCAAAGACTAGACCACAGATATATGCAGGTACTACAAATATCTCACGAAATATCCAAAATATCTCAGTGACCCAAGAATGGTCGTTGATCCTGAGATAAACTGACAACCTGCCCACAGATCTATAGTGGTGGTGTTGGAGGGGCTGAGAATTCCTCTACCTCCTGGCTGTGATCCTATCTACCTGTCCTAGGTTTCATTTAGCACTGTCTTGATTCTCCTGCGTGATGAAGGCCTCATGTGTTGAGGTGAGAGTAGACTGAGGTCAGCTTAGGTGGTCTGGAAGTCAGTGAGTCTCTAAATCTATGGAGAGAACACATGGAAGTCCCAGCTGTTCATGGCTACTTTGTGAGGAAAGCCTGTGTTCGGTCAAAGTGGACCAATTAATGTAGCCAATGTGATATTTCCAGGTCACAATAATTATTCCCAGAACATGCTGTCCAGCGGGGGAGACATTTTTCAGACATGAACAAAGTAGGCTCCGATTTGCCTACCTGTTGGCATCTAGTATGTGGATGAGAGTATAAGTTTTGGTTTAGAGGCCTTTAAAAGGTCTTCCAAAATCGGGACAGCACCTCCAGCAGCTGATTAGATTATGGTGTCAAAGGGTTTGGGAGATGGACGATTGCAAAGAGGAAAGAGCAGAGCAGTGTGTGGTAACAGTAAGCTTTTGCAAGGATAGAAAGTGGCCACCTTAATTAGGTTAGCTAGACTGTGACTAACATATGCTCCAGGGACAAGGGCAAATCCATCAAGAAACCCCAAGTCACAATGGCTCTGTTCTTTACTCAGCTGGTCTACCCTGCCTATTGCCCATGCAGAGCCATCTTGAGAAGCTCTCACTGAGCTATGCTGTGTCACCTGTGACAAGTAAGATAATGCAAGATGTCCACGTCTGAATTCCCAGAACTTCTGGAATGTGGCAAGGAGGAATTAAGGTTGCATGTGGAATAAAGAGATCAGCTGACCTTGAGATGGCAGAATTAGCCTGAATTACCCAGGTGGGCCCAATGTAATCACAGAGTCCTTATAGGTGGAAAAGGGAAGCAGAGGAGAGGAAACCAGAGAGAAGGACTTGTCCACATTGCTGGCTTTTGAGATGGAAGAGGACCATGAGGAATTAGGGCAGTCCCTAGAAGCCAGAAAAGATAAGAAAATCGATTCTTTTCTAGAGCCCCCATCCGGAAGGCATGCAAACCTGCCGACCTGATTTGAACCCAGTAGACCCATTTCAGACTTGTGACATTCAGAACTGTAAGTCAATAAATTTGTGTTGTTTTAAGCTGCTAAGTTTGTGGTAAATTGCTACAGCAGCAATAGGAAACTAATAAAGTAACATATAAAATGAACCTTAACATATTCCTAAATATATTTAGAACCTGTGCTAGGGGGAATGATGCAGGCAAGAAGGCCTTCTGACAAAGCCTCAGAGAAGGCTGAGGGTAGGAAGAGGAGGGGAGGAATAATGAAGATGGTGTTTGTCACTGGCAGCTTTTTTTTCTTAGTCTAGCCCTTGGGGGAGAAGCTCTTGGAGGCTACAAAGTAATAATCAAAATAACTGTTTTCAATAAAACCACCATAAAGCAACAGGCACAGGGAAGTATTTTTCTGGAGCCTTGCTAACAGGTCATAACACCAGAGCGCAGAGAAACCAGCCTACTTTGTGCTTCAGCCACAGAGTGGGCTGCAAAGTGCTGTGGAGTCTCAGAAATGATGCAAACATGTTTGGCAGCTACCTGGGTCATTTTTCCCAGTGTTTGTGGAGCACAAGTGGCAAAGCACAGAAGAAATGGCCATTTGCATGGTAGACACAGCAGGGATCCTTGCAAGGGACACAAACAGACAGTGAAATGAGGTCCCAGTGAGGCAACAATACCCAGCAGATGCGCTGTGGTCACTGGTCATAATAGCTCATAAGCAGAGCTGATGCCCCCTGGAAATTGAGTAGAACTCTGTGGATGACTGATGGTCCTGTATGAAAACCAGGGGAGGGGCAAGGCTGACTTTCCTTATGCAACCCTCTTGAAACCCAAGGCTGCGGTGGCCTGAGGTCCCAAAGATTATTTTATAGTACCCAAGACTGTAGAAACGATAGTCACAAAAGGGCAGATGCATTGATAATATCAGGATAGGGCAAAACTTTCCTGGGAACTTCATATCTGGGACTTCTAAAATATTCCTATGTGGGATCTAAACCAGATTTAAGCCTAAGGCAACGGGGCTGTGAGGCAAATTAAATCGCTTTGTTACCAAACTGTTAGCAGAACATTTTTCATTGACTGTGCCTTCACTGATGTGGTATCAGCCCTAAAGAAACTCATATTGGCAAATAAAAGACATAACATTCTGGCTTAGAACCTACATCCTGGAGATGTCAGATGTTTTACATCAAAAGAGGATGTGTTCTTATTTTTGTCTGAGAGCAGTTTCCAATAAAAAGGGATTCAAGCATGTTCCTAGGAAGAATACCCTAAAGGAGCTCTCTCTAGCTTCACAAACTCCATGCAAGACCACAAAGAGGTAAGAGAGTTTTGTCCCACCTGCACCAGGTAAGAGCACTGTGGCCACCACTTCCTGAGTCCTGTGCATAAAATCGTGTTCAAAAACTCCACGTCATTCTGCTACAAGACACCAAGATGCCTCGGCTTATTTCCTTCAAAGTGTTTTCTCAGATGATAGTGTCAGTGTTGCTGATGATTTTTCCTCTAGCCCTTTCCTTACAAATTAACTGTCCTCTTTGTTAGAAGCTTCTCTGGATTCACTCTTGGAGATCTCCTGCCCTCTCTTTTTGGTTTGCCATACGTGTTAAGTAAAACCCCTGCCACTCACTTTGATGAGATTCAAGTGTTCCTCTCAGGGAGGAAAGGAAAGCCTCTTACTTGACAAGATGAATATGAAAGAGCAGAGATTGGTTGCATTTAATCAGAGTTCACACAAACCCCAAGCAAAATGAAGCTGAAAATAACCCTTTTGACTGATTCAAAGTCAAATTCAGTTACAGATTTTGGGCAGCTGCAGATCTCAAACCATGAACTAAGGCCCTTCTCCCTGAGCTCATTCACCAGCTTGAACCTGAATATAAGTAGTTATTTAGAGCTTGTTAGGATGTAGACTGGTGGATCCTTTAATTCAATTTCACAGTCATTTATTAAAGCAGAACAAAGTCAAAAGACCTGAACTTGAGTCTAGAAACTCCCAGTTCCTGGCTGTGTGACTGAAGGTAAATTGCTTACTTTTTCTGAACCTGAAGTTCTGCTTCTGTAAATTAGAGAAATCACTCCCTGTTTCATTGCTCTCACAAGATTGTTGTGAGGCACAAATAAATAAATAATATGTGAGTGCTATGTAAATATTAATATTATTAGTAGTAGTTAGATCCTATAAGGACCACGAATGTGCACAACTCATTGCCCAGAACCTCAAAAAACTTACAATCCAAGAGGTGAACCGGAAGGATATACAACTGACCTATGAAATATGGCAGAATGTGATTACTGAGATTACTGCCATGGGGGCCCAAAGGACCTAGAGACTATGGGGAATGGGAAGGTTTGAAAAACAGAGCATTAGGTCTATTGTGAATTATGGGTAGCATTCCAGGGAGATGGGGAGAAAAGCGCCTTGGCAGAGGGAGGAGAAAAACCAGAGGTGCCCAGCCAGTGATGGAAGAATGGCAGGGAGACCCTTGTGGCAGGAGTAGTGGCACCAGGCATGGAGGGGCAAGGCCATGAGATGACCTAGAATCCTAGACTTGTAGGACCCTAGGAAAAAGGAGATAGTATGACTATGAGATGTAGGTTCCCATATCCCAGCAACAGAGCTTGAATTTGAATTTGGGAGGAAAGTTAATAAGAACACTGAATGTTATCCCAGTGAAGTGTCTTATCCCTACTTTAAAGCTTTTCTACATCCAGATTCCCTCCTATTAAGCTGCTCCTTAGTTGCTCCCCACCCCATTAATTAGAGCGTGTGAGGCTTCCAACTAATATCTCACTGGATTTTTGTGCTTTCTTCATATCCTTCACCAAGTTCAAGCCGAAGAAACTTTATACTTTAAGAAAAGCCCAAGGTGAACTGTAAATATGCCAGAAGTCACACAGTCTATTATCTTTTCTGAAGCTTCCAAACAAAGCATACCAATTAACTTCCCCAGCCTACACATGCTCTTTGGTATTGAGTATCCCGTGGC
The DNA here is from genome assembly GCF_000001405.40 of Homo sapiens. Taxonomy (NCBI): domain Eukaryota; kingdom Metazoa; phylum Chordata; class Mammalia; order Primates; family Hominidae; genus Homo; species Homo sapiens. The sequence goes on from NC_000003.12 coordinate 157,719,009, forward strand.
CAAACGAGGGTTTACAGCTGTCTTGCAGCTGAAGAGTGAACTGCACTGTGCTCTATGATAAGTTGTATGCTTCTCGCACTTTGATCTCCTTATCTCAAATCTTCACACACAGAACTGCACCCCACCCCCCACCACCACACTCAAGCACTTAATTTGGGCCCATCTCCTACACTATGGAATGAATACCTTGGTCCTGTTCCTTGCTCCTCTTTTTAGTGTCACTGTGGGGAAGGTTACTGTCAAAACATTAACCTACTTGAACTGATTAGCACAAAATCTGAAGAAAGGTTTTATTTGTGTGCATTTTAGAGAAATCCTACCCACTCCTTCCATAATTGTTTCCTTTCACCAAGGAATATTTCAAGAAATATTTCATCCCTCAGATATTTTGATCTGATTTTCTATTTCTCTCATACACAGCACTCAATGCTTTAGTGTAAATAAGACAGTTATGAACTCCAGGGTCAAATAAAATATTTGCTCCTTAACCTATTAAAAGATGTCTCTTATGTCCTTCTAATATGTGAATGCTTACTTATACTAAACACTTTATTTAAAAGTCTCAATTATTTTCGTAAGCAGTTTTCAACTTGTATTTTAGATTCAGGAGGTACATGTGCAGGTTCGTTGTTACTTGGGTATATTGCATGACCCAGAGGTTTGGGATATGAATCATCCCATCACCCAGGTAGTGAGCATAATACACAATAGGAAGTTTTTCAGTAGCTCCCTGCCACAGTAGTCCCTATTGTCTTTTGGTCCCTTCTGTGTGTCCATGTGTACTCAATGTTTACCTCCCACTTATGAGAACACGCAGTATTCTGTTCCTGTGTTAACTCGCTAAGGACAATGGCCTCCAATTCCATCCATGTGGCTGCAAAGGACATGATCTCATTCTTTTCTATGGCTGCATAGTATTCCACAGTGTATAATATGTACCACATTTTCTTTATCCAGTCCACTGTTGATGAGAATCTAGGGTGATTCTGTGTCTTTGCTACTGTGAATAGTGCTGTGATTAACATATAAGTGCATGTGTTTTAGTAGAAGGACCTATTTTCCTTTGGGTATATACCCAGTAATAGGATTGCTGGGCCGAATGGTAGTTCTGTTTTAAGTTCTTTGAGAAATCTCTAAACTGCTTTCCACACTGGCTGAACTAATTTACATTCCCACCAACAGTGTATAAGTGTTCCCTTTTAACCACAGACCCACAAGCATCTGTTTTTTTTTTACTTTTTAATAATAGCCATTCTGACTGGTGTGAGATGGTCTCTCATTGTGATTATGGTCAGCATTTCTCTGATGATTCATGATAATGAGAATTTTTTCAAGTTTGTTGGCTGCTTCTATGTCTTCTTTTGAAAAGTGTCTGTTCATTTCCTTTGCCCATTTTTAATGGGATTGTTTGGTTTTTGCTTGTTGATTTAAGTTTCTTATAGATTCTGGATATTAGATCTTTGTTGGATGCATAGTATGTGAATATTTTTTCTCATTCTGTAGGTTGTCTAGGAAGTTTCTCCTTCTGTAGGTTACTGTGTTGATAGTTTCCTTTGATGTGCAAAAGGACTTTAGTTTAATTAGGTCCCACTTGTCTATTTTTATTTTTGTTGCAATTGCTTTTGGGGAGTTATTCATAAATTATTTGCCAAGGCCAATGTTCAGAGGGTATTTCCTAGTTTTTTTCCTATGATTTTTACAAAGTAAGGTCTTAAACAGAAATTTTTAATCCATCTTGAGTTAATTTTTGTTTATGGTGAAAGGTATGGGTACAGTTTCATTCTTCTGCATATGGCTAGCCAGTTATCTCCACACTATTTATTAAATAGGGAGTTCTTTTCCAATTTCTTGTCTTTGTTGACTTTTTTGAAGATCAGACAGTTGTAGGTGTGTGGCTGTACTTCTGAGGTCTCTAACCAGTTCCATTGGTTTATATGGCTGTTTATGTACCAATACCATGCTGTTTTGGTTACTGTAGCCTTATAGTATTGTTTGAAGTTGTGATGTGATGCCTACAGCTTTGTTCTTTTTGTTTAGGATTGCTTTGGCTATTTGGACTCTTCCATGGATTCATATAAATTTTAGAATACATTTTTCTCATTCTGTGAAAAAGAACATCAGTAGTTTCATTGAATCTCTAAATTGCTTTGGACAGTATGGCCATTTTAATGATATTGATCCTTTCGATCCATGAAAATAGAATGTTTATCCATTTATTTGTATCATCTCTGACTTCTGTCAGCACTGTTTTGTAGTTCTCCTTGTAGAGATCTTTCACCTCCTCTGGTAGCTGTATTCTTAGGTGTTTCAAGTTTTTTTGTGGCTACTGCAAATGGTATTGTGTTCTTGATTTGGCTCTCAGCTAGAACGTTACAGGTATATAGAAATGCTACTGATTTTTTACATGATTTTGTATTCTGAAACTCTACTGAAATCATTTGTCAGTTCTAGGAGCTTTTTTGCAGAGTCTTTAGGCTTTTCTAGGTATAGTATCATGTGGTCAGCAAAGACAGTTTGACTTCTTCTTTTCTTATATGGATGCCTTTTATTTTCTTCTCTTGCCTGATTGCTCTGGCTAAGACTCCAGTACTATGTTGAATAGGAGTGCTAAGAGTGAGCACCCAGTCTTGTTCCAATTCTCAAGGGAAATGATTCCAGCTTTTGCCCATTCAGTATGATATTGACTGTGAGCTTGTTACAGAGGGCTCTTATTATTTTGAGGTATGTTCCTTCAGTGCCTAGTGTGTTGGTTTTTTTTATCATGAAGTGATGTTAGATTTTGTCAAAAGATTTTTCTGAATCTGTTGAGATGATCATATGGTTATTATTTTTAATTCTGTTTATGTGGTGAGTCACATTTATTGATTTTTGTATGTTGAACCAACCTTGCACCCCAGGAATAAAGCCCACTTGATTATGGTGAATTAACTTTTTGATGTGCTGCTGGTTTCAGTTTGCTAGTATTTTGTTGAAAATATTTGTGTCTATGCTCATCAGGGACGTTGGTCTGAAGTTTTCTTTTTTCATTGTGTATCTCCAAAATTTTGGTATTAGGCTGAGTCTAGATTCATAGAATGAGTTAGGGAGGAGCCCTCCTCCTCAATTTTTGGGAATAGTTTCAGTAGGATTGGTACCAGTTCTTCCTTATACATCTGGTAGAATTCAGCTGTGAATCCACCTGTGTGAATCCACCTGGTCCAGGGTTTTGTTTTGGTTAGTAGGGTTTGTTTGTTTGTTTGTTTTCTGATTCAGTTTTGGAACTTGATGTTGGTCTGTTCAGGTTTTCACTTTCTTCCTGATTCAATCTTGGGAGGTTGTGTGTTTCCATGAATTTATCTATTTCCTCTATATTTTCTAATTTGTGTCCATAGTGGTGTTCATAATAGTCTCTGAGGATCTTTTGTATTTCTGTGAGATTGGTTGTAATGTCATCTTTGTCATTTCTAATTGTGCTTTTTAGGATCTTCTCTTCATTTTTCTTTTTTTTCTTCCTTCATCTACCTAGCAGCCTATCAATCTTGTTTATTCTTTCAAAGAACCAGTTCTTGGTTTCACTGATCTTTTGTTTGGATTTCTGCATCTCAGTTTTGTTCAGTTCTTCTCTGATTTTAGTCCATTCTTTTATTCTGCTAGCTTTGGGGTTGGTTTGTTCTTTTTTTCTAGTTCCTCTAGGTGTAATGTTAGACTGTTAATTTGAGATCTTTCTAATTTCTGGATAAAGGTGTTTAGTGCTATAAACTTTCCTCTTAATACTGCTTTAGCTGCATCCCACAGATTTTGGTAAGTTCTGTTCTTATTTTCATTAATTTCAAAGAAGTTTTTAAATTTTTGCCTTAATTTCATTGTTTGCTCAAGAATTATTCTGGAGTAAGTTGTTTAATTTCCATGTATTTGTGCAGTTTTGAGAGCTCTTCTTGGTATTGATTTCTATTTTTACTGTACTGTGGCCCAAGATTGTGCTTGGCATGATTTCAATTTTTTTCTAATTTATTGAGACTTGCTTTATGACGGAGCATATGGTTGGTCTTAGAATGTGTTCCCTGTACAGAAAAGAAAAATGTATATTCTGTTTTTGTTGGGTACTCTGTAAGTGTTTTTTAGTTCCAATTGACCAAGTGTCCAGCTTCAGTCCACAATTTCTTTGTTAGTTTTCTGCCTTGATGATCTGTCTAATGTTGTTAATAGGGTGTTGAAGTATCCCACTATTATTGTGTGGCTGTCTAAGTCTTACAGTATTTAAAATCCTAGGCACAACTTTCCCAGGCTTTATTTTGCTTCATGTATTACAAATGTGATAAATGCAGGTCTAAAAAACAATGATCATTTTTAACTTTATGGGTCAATTCAAATAAAATACTGCAAGAATTAAATGTAAAAACTTTAAGGCACAATTTAAATTTTAGAACCTTTAAATTTAACCTTTAGGAAATCCCTTTAGAAGGAATGCACTTTCATAGCCCATAATCCTTACTGTCTAAGAATTTGTCATTTACTGAGATACAGATACATGTAGTAAATATAACAAGAAAATTAAAATATTCATCATGGAAAACCATTATATATTTAATAGAATAAGTTCAAGATTTTGCTCTAGCTGCCACAGATGATGAACTTACCATATAGTGTTACAATATCCATTGCTCCATTTCCACTGCCCCCAAAATGAGAATAAGAAAAAGGGTCCAAACAAATACTTATTTGGCATCAAATGAAATATTTTCATCACATTTTCATTTGGCAGTATCAATTGACATACTTTTTTTTGTTTTTGTCATTTAAATTGAGATAAAATAATTATATTGGTTAATGAAACGTTCTCTGTATATTGACTGAAAGCCACCTAAACTATTTTAACTGCTACTTGAGATGGGAAGTCTCAGCATATGAACGCCCCCCATAGTACACAGTTTTCCATAGTACATATGTACATAGTGCACAGTAAATTATTTTCTATTGCATATAGAGTGCCATAATACATGAGAGTATGAAATGCTATAAAGTAATGACATTTAGCATAACAGATGTTTCTAGTCCATTCCCACACTGCTATAAAGAATACCCCTTTAACTAGTTTACATTCACAGTGTGGAGATTCCTTAAGGAAATAAAAGTAGAACTATCACTTGATCAAGCAAATCTCACTACTGGGTATCTACCCAGAGGAAAAGAAGTCATTATTCAAAAGAGATACCTGCACACACATGTTTATAGCAGCACAATTTACAATAGCAAAATTGTGGAACCGACCCAAATTCCCATCAATCAATGAGTGAATAAAGAAACCCTGGTGTGTGTGTGTATTTATATATTATAAAAATATATATATATAAATATATATACATTTGTTATATTTACATATATATATATATATATATATGATGGAATACTACTCAGCCATAAAAAGGAATGAACTAACAGCATTGGCAATGACCTGGATGATATTAAACACTGTTATTCCAAGTGAAGTAATTCAGGAATGGAAAACCAAAGATCGTATGTTCTCATTGATATGTGGGAGCTAAGCAATGAGGACACAAAGGCATAATTGTGATACAATAGACTTTGGGGACGTGGGGGGAAGAGTGGGAAGAGGCTGAGGGATAAAAGATGACAAATATGGTGCAGTGTATACTGCTCGGGTGATGGGTGTACCAGGTTCTCACAAATCTCCACTAAAGAACTTACTCATGAAGGAGCCAAGATGGCCGAATAGGAACAGCTCCAGTCTACAGCTCCCAGCGTGAGCGACGCAGAAGACAGTGATTTCTGCATTTCCATCTGAGGTACTGGGTTCATCTCACTAGGGAGTGCCAGACAGTGGGCGCAGGTCAGTGGGTGCGCGCACCGTGCATGAGCCAAAGCAGGGCGAGGCATTGCCTCACTTGGGAAGTGCAAGGGGTCAGGGAGTTCCCTTTCCTAGTCAAAGATAGGGGTGACGGACGGCACCTGGAAAATCGGGTCACTCCCACCCGAATACTGCGCTTTTCCAATGGGCTTAAAAAATGGCGCACCACGAGATTATATCCTGCAAATAGCTTGGATGGTCCTACCCCCACGGAGTCTCGCTGATTGCTAGCACAGCAGTCTGAGATCAAACTGCAAGGCGGCAGCAAGGCTGGGGGAGGGGCGCCCGCCATTGCCCAGGCTTGCTTAGGTAAACAAAGCAGCTGGGAAGCTCCAACTGGGTGGAGCCCACCACAGCTCAAGGAGGCCTGCCTGCATCTGTAGGCTCCACCTCTGGGGGCAGGGCACAGACAAACAAAAAGACAGCAGTAACCTCTGCAGACTTAAATGTCCCTGTCTGACAGCTTTGAAGAGAGCAGTGGTTCTCCCAGCATGCAGCTGGAGACCTGAGAACAGGCAGACTGCCTCCTCAAGTGGGTCCCTGACCCTTGACCCCTGAGCAGCCTAACTGGGAGGCACCCCCCAGCAGGGGCACACTGACACCTCACTCGGCAGGGTATTCCAACAGACCTGCAGCTGAGGGTCCTGTCTGTTAGAAGGAAAACTAACAAACAGAAAGGACATCCACACCAAAAACCCATCTGTACATCACCATCATCAAAGACCAAAAGTAGATAAAACCACAAAGATGGGGAAAAGACAGAACAGAAAAACTGGAAACTCTAAAAAGCAGAGCACCTATCCTCCTCCAAAGGAACACAGTTCCTCACCAGCAACGGAACAAAGCTGGATGGAGAATGACTTTGACGAGCTGAGAGAAGAAGGCTTCAGATGATCAAATTACTCTGAGCTATGGGAGAACATTCAAACCAAAGGCAAAGAAGTTGAAAACTTTGAAAAAAATTTAGAAGAATGTATAACTAGAATAACCAATACAGAGAAGTGCTTAAAGGAGCTGATGGAGCTGAAAACCAAGGCTCGAGAACTACGTGAAGAATGCAGAAGCCTCAGGAGCCAATGCGATCAACTGGAAGAAAGGGTATCAGCGATGGAAGATGAAATGAATGAAATGAAGTGAGAAGGGAAGTTTACAGAAAAAAGAATAAAAAGAAACGAGCAAATCCTCCAAGAAATATGGGACTATGTGAAAAGACCAAATCTATGTCTGATTGGTGTACCTGAAAGTGATGGGGAGAATGGAACCAAGTTGGAAAACACTCTGCAGGATATTATCCAGGAGAACTTCCCCAGTCTAGCAAGGCAGGCCAACGTTCAGATTCAGGAAATACAGAGAACGCCACAAAGATACTCCTCGAGAAGAGCAACTCCAAGACACATAATTGTCAGATTCACCAAAGTTGAAATGAAGGAAAAAATGTTAAGGGCAGCCAGAGAGAAAGGTCGGGTTACCCTCAAAGGGAAGCCCATCAGACTAACAGCGGATCTCTCGGCAGAAACCCTACAAGCCAGAAGACAGTGGGGGCCAATATTCAACATTCTTAAAGACAAGAATTTTCAACCCAGAATTTCATATCCAGCCAAACTAAGCTTCATCAGTGAAGGAGAAATAAAATACTTTACAGACAAGCAAATGCTGAGAGATTTTGTCACCACCAGGCCTGCCCTAAAAGAGCTCCTGAAGGAAGCACTAAACATGGAAAGGAACAACCAGTACCAGCCGCTGCAAAATCATGCCAAAATGTAAAGACCATCAAGACTAGGAAGAAACTGCATCAACTAACGAGCAAAATAACCAGCTAACATCATAATGACAGGATCAAATTCACAAATAACAATATTAACTTTAAATGTAAATGGACTAAATGCTCCAATTAAAAGACACAGACTGGCAAATTGGATAAAGAGTCAAGACCCATCAGTGTGCTATATTCAGGAAACCCATCTCACGTGCAGAGACACACATAGGCTCAAAATAAAAGGATGGAGGAAGATCTACCAAGCAAATGGAAAACAAAAAAAAGGCAGGGGTTGCAATCCTAGTCTCTGATAAAACAGACTTTAAACCAACAAAGATCAAAAGAGACAAAGAAGGCCATTACATAATGGCAAAGGGATCAATTCAACAAAAACAGCTAACTGTCCTAAATATATATGCACCCAATCAGGAGCACCAAGATTCATAAAGCAAGTCCTGAGTGACCTACAAAGAGACTTAGACTCCCACACATTAATAATGGGAGACTTTAACACCTCACTGTCAACATTAGACAGATCAACGAGGCAGAAAGTCAACAAGGATACCCAGGAATTGAACTCAGCTCTGCACCAAGTGGACCTAATAGACATCTACAGAACTCTCCACCCCAAATCAACAGAATATACATTTTTTTTCAGCACCACACCACACCTATTCCAAAATTGACTACATACTTGGAAGTAAAGCTCTCCTCAGCAAAGGTAAAAGAACAGAAATTATAACAAACTATCTCTCAGACCACAGTGCAATCAAACTAGAACTCAGGATTAAGAATCTCACTCAAAACCACTCAACTACATGGAAACTGAACAACCTGCTCCTGAATGACTACTGGGTACATAACAAAATGAAGGCAGAAATAAAGATGTTCTTTGAAACCAACGAGAACAAAGACACAACATACCACAATCTCTGGGACGCGTTCAAAGCAGTGTGTAGAGGGAAATTTATAGCACTAAATGCCCACAAGAGAAAGCAGGAAAGATCCAAAATTGACACCCTAACATCACAATTAAAAGAACTAGAAAAGCAAGAGCAAACACATTCAAAAGCTAGCAGAAGGCAAGAAATAACTAAAATCAGAGCAGAACTGAAGGAAATAGAGACACAAAAAACCCTTCAAAAAATTAATGAATCCAGGAGCTGGTTTTTTGAAAGGATCAACAAAATTGATAGACCGCTAGCAAGACTAATAAAGAAAAAAAGAGAGAAGAATCTAATAGATGCAATAAAAAATGATAAAGGGGATATCACCACCGATCCCACAGAAATACAAACTACCATCAGAGAACACTACAAACACCTCTACGCAAATAAACTAGAAAATCTAGAAGAAATGGATAAATTCCTCAACACATACACTCTCCCGAGACTAAACCAGGAAGAAGGTGAATCTCTGAATAGACCAATAACAGGATCTGAAATTGAGGCAATAATCAATAGCTTACCAACCAAAAAGAGTCCAGGACCAGATGGATTCACAGCTGAATTCTACCAGAGGTACAAGGAGGAACTGGTACCATTCCTTCTGAAACTATTCCAATCAATAGAAAAAGAGGGAATCCTCCCTAACTCATTTTATGAGGCCAGCATCTTTCTGATACCAAAGCCAGGCAGAGACACAACAAAAAAAGAGAATTTTAGACCAATATGCTTGATGAACATTGATGCAAAAATCCTCAATAAAATACTGGCAAACCGAATCCAGCAGCACATCAAAAAGCTTATCCACCATGATCAAGTGGGCTTCATCCCTGGGATGCAAGTCTGGTTCAATATACGCAAATCAATAAATGTAATCCAGCATATAAACAGAGCCAAAGACAAAAACCACATGATTATCTCAATAGATGCAGAAAAAGCCTTTAACAAAATTCAACAACCCTTCATGCTAAAAACTCTCAATAAATTAGGTATTGATGGGACGTATTTCAAAATAATAAGGGCTATCTATGACAAACCCACAGCCAATATCATACTGAATGGGCAAAAACTGGAAACATTCCCTTTGAAAACTGGCACAAGACAGGGATGCCCTCTCTCACCACTCCTATTCAACATAGTGTTGGAAGTTCTGGCCAGGGCAATTAGGCAGGAGAAGGAAATAAAGGGTATGCAATTAGGAAAGAGGAAGTCAAATTGTCCCTGTTTGCAGATGACATGATTGTATATCTAGAAAACCCCATTGTCTCAGACCAAAATCTCCTTAAGCTGATAAGCAACTTCAGCAAAGTCTCAGGATACAAAATCAATGTACAAAAATCACAAGCATTCTTATACACCAACAACAGACAAACAGAGAGCCAAATCATGAGTGAACTCCCATTCACAATTGCTTCAAAGAGAATAAAATACCTAGGAATCCAACTTACAAGGGATGTGAAGGACCTCTTCAAGGAGAACTACAAACCGCTGCTCAAGGAAATAAAAGAGGATACAAACAAATGGAAGAACATTCCATGCTCATGGGTAGGAAGAATAAATATCGTGAAAATGGCCATACTGCCCAAGGTAATTTACAGATTCAATGCCATCCCCATCAAGCTACCAATGACTTTCTTCACAGAATTGGAAAAAACTACTTTAAAGTTCATATGGAACCAAAAAAGAGCCCGCATCTCCAAGTCAATCCTAAGCCAAAAGAACAAAGCTGGAGGCATCACACTACCTGACTTCAAACTATACTACAAGGCTACAGTAACCAAAACAGCATGGTACTGGTACCAAAACAGAGATATAGATCAATGGAACAGAAGAGAGCCCTCAGAAATAACGCCACATATCTACAACTATCTGATCTTTGACAAACCTGAGAAAAACAAGCAATGGGGAAAGGATTCCCTATTTAATAAATGGTGCTGGGAAAACTGGCTAGCCATATGTAGAAAGCTGAAACTGGATCCCTTCCTTACACCTTATACAAAAATTAATTCAAGATGGATTAAAGAATTAAACATTAGACCTAAAACCATAAAAACCCTAGAAGAAAACCTAGGCATTACCATTCAGGACATAGGCATGGGCAAGGACTTCATGTCTAAAACACCAAAAGCAATGGCAACAAAAGACAAAATTGACAAATGGGATCTAATTAAACTAAAGAGCTTCTGCACAGCAAAAGAAACTACCATCAGAGTGAACAGGCAACCTACAAAATGGGAGAAAATTTTCACAACCTACTCATCTGACAAAGAGCTAATATCCAGAATATACAATGAACTCAAACAAATTTACAAGAAAAAAACAAACAACCCCATCAAAATTGGGTGAAGGACATGAACAGACACTTCTCAAAAGAAGACATTTATGCAGCCAAAAAACATGTGAAAAAATGCTCATCATCACTGGCCAGCAGAGAAATGCAAATCAAAACCACAATGAGATGCCATCTCACACCAGTTAGAATGGCAATCATTAAAAAGTCAGGAAACAACAGGTGCTGGAGAGGATGTGTAGAAATAGGAACACTTTTACACTGTTGGTGGGACTGTAAACTAGTTCAACCATTGTGGAAGTCAGTGTGGCGATTCCTCAGGGATCTAGAACTAGAAATACCATTTGACCCAGCCATCCCATTACTGGGTATATACCCAAAGGAATATAAATCATGCTGCTATAAAGACACATGCACACGTATGTTTATTGCAGCATTATTCACAATAGCAAAGACTTGGAACCAACCCAAATGTCCAACAATGATAAACTAGATTAAGAAAATGTGGCACATATACACCATGGAATACTATGCAGCCATAAAAAATGATGAGTTCATGTCCTTTGTAGGGACATGGATGAAATTGGAAATCATCATTCTCAGTAAACTATCGCAAGAACAAAAAACCAAACACTGCATATTCTCACTCATAGGTGGGAATTGAACAATGAGATCACATGGACACAGGAAGGGGAATATCACACTCTGGGGACTGTTGTGGGGTGGGGGGAGGGGGGAGGGATAGCACTGGGAGATATACCTAATGCTAGATGACGAGTTAGTGGGTGCAGTGCACCAGCATGGCACATGTATACATATGTAACTAACCTGCACAATGTGCACATGTACCCTAAAACTTAAAGTATAATAAAAATAAAAATAAAAAAAGAACTTACTCATGCAACCAAATATCACCTGTACCCCAATAACTTATCAAAAAGTAAAATTTTAAAAATAAAAAAAGAATACTCCCTGAGATTGGGTAATTATAAAGGAAAAAGGCTTAATTGACTCACAGTTCTGCAAACTTAACAGGAAGCATGGCTAGGAGGCCTCAGGAAAGCTACAATCATGACGGAAGGCAAAGGGGAAGCAGGCACCTTCTTCAAAAGGTGACAGGAGGGAGTGTGTGCGAGAACAAGGAAATGCCACATTTTAAAACCATCAGCTTGCATGAAAACTCACTCACTATCATGAGAACAGCATGGGGGAAACTGCCCCCATTATCCAGTCACTTCCCTTTCTTGACACATGGGGATTACAGGTCCTTCCCTCAAAACATGGGGATTACAATTCAAGATGAGATTTGAGTGGGGACACAGAGCCAAACTGTATCAACAAATCTAAGACAAACAATAAAGAAAGCAAGCCAAGAGGAAAACATTCTAGCTGAAATGACTTTCTGCCAACCATCTGGGAAACATTTTGAAAAGCAAACCTTAACACCTCTAGATTAGAAGCCCCATGAAGACAATGACTGATTCTACCTTGTACTTCATTGTAGTCCCTGTATTTCCTAGAAATGCATCTGACACGTGGTTGGTAATTGGTATATTTTTGTTGAATTAGTGAATTTAAAAAATGAAATGGATTAACTAACTATATTCCTGACTGATGGAGAAAACATAAAAAAGTGAGAACCTATGGTGAGATAAATCAGATGATTTAACAGTTCATATATGTAATGATCCAATAGTTATCTATTGAGCTCCTATTGTATGCTATGTCCTGTTGTGCATGGATAATAGAAAAGTTAATAGTCTGAGGTGGGAGATGGACAAAACAATTTTTAATCAAATGCAATGTGAAAAGTACTATGATTGGAGTTTTTAATATATTCAATGTGAATATAAATGAGCAAACTATTAATTCTTCCTAGGGAGAGAGCTCAGGGAATGTTTCCTAGAAAAGGTGACATTTGATTTGAAGCTAGATAGATGAGTAATTAGGTAATTTGGACTACCAGAAGAATTTTATGGGTGAAAGGAAAAACAGAAGCAAAAGCATATAAACATGAGAAAACATTGTTAATTATTATATTGCTTGAAAGCATGTATGAGGTAGAGATTGGACCCAGAAGCATGGACATGAGCCACAGGACAAAGAATATAATGGGCTATATTTCTCCATGTATGCCAGATTCGGTGGCAATGGAGAGCTTTTAAAGGATTTTAGGCGAGAAAGATATGTATGACCTGTGTTTTTAAACTATATCTTTCAGTTTTAGTAATAGAAGTTTGGTTCATAGCAGATCTATTTTCTTATCAGGATCAACTAGAAAAGATAGATTTAATTTTTAGAAAATCTTACTTTGGACACATAAAAGAACTACTGAATCACCATGGACATGAGGGTTCAAGGCCTCAGAAATGAGGGAAACTCACTGATGTAAACATGATATTCTATGCTATGCTGTTTTTTCCCCTTAAGGTAGTTCCAGTTCATAAACATCATAATTGGACAGGGTTATAAGCAAAGAAACAAACAGATGCTAAAAGACACAGAAACTGAGAACAGCTTTCAGCAAACTTACAGGGTTAGAAAGACAGAAATTGAAGTCCAGGGCTATCCAGGAAGTCAGGACTTGAGGGGTCAAGATTCTGGAGAGATGGTAATTGCTAAGAAGCAAAAACAATAGTCTAATATCCTCAAGGTTATTTGCTGATCTATATATAAGCTGTGTAGGAAGATCATTTAAAAACTTGTGCAGAATTATAGACCTAAATGTTAAATACAAAATTATAAAACTCCTAGAAGATAACACAGAAGAAAATCTAACTGGCCTTGAGCTTGGTGATGGCTTTTTAGATACAATATCGAAAACATGATTTATAAAAGAAATTGATATGTTGGACTTAATTATAATTTAAAACTACTTTGAGAAAGAAATGGTTAAGAGAATGAAAAGACAAATTACCATCTGGGAGAAAATATTTGCAAAAAACATATTTGATAAAGCACTGGTATCCAAAATATACAAAGAACTCTTAAAACTCTAGGACAATAAAACAAAAAACCTAATTTGAACATGGACAAATCATCTGAACCTCACCAAATAAGAGATACAGATGGCAAATAAGCATATGAAAAGATGCTCAATATCATATGTCATTAGGGAATTGCAAATTAAACAGCAATGTGATACCACTACACACCTTCTAGAATAGTGAAAATCCAAACACCGACAACACCAAATGCCAGTAAGGATATGGAATAACAGGAACTCTCATTCATTCATTGCTGGTGAGAATGCAAAATAGTGCAGCCGCACTGGAAAACAGCTTGGCAGTTTCTTACAAAACTAAACGTATTCTTACCATATTACCCAGCAACTGTGACTCTTCAAATGAGTGAAAATTAATGTCCACACAAAAACCTGCACACTAATGTTTATGGTATCTTTATTTATAATTGACAAAACTTGAAAGCAACCAAGATGTCCTTCAATAGATGAATGAATAAACAAACTGTGGTGCAGCCATGCAATGACACATTATTAAGCAATAAAAAGCACTGAGCTATTAAGCCATGAGAAGACATGGAGAAAGCTTAAACACATAGTAAAAGAAGTCAGTCTGAAAATACTACATGTTATGTGATTCCAACTATATGACATTCTGGAAAAGGCAAAACTGTGTAAATAATTTAAAGACCAGTGGTCAGTAGGAGTTGAAGAAGGGAGCAATAACTAGGTGAAGCACAAGCGATTTTTAGAGCATCTATAGAAACAATTCTGTAGGATGCTATAATGTCAGCTATGTCATTATACATTGGTAAATACCCATAGAATGCACAGCACAAAGAGTAAACCTTAATGTAAGCTATGCATGATAGTTAATCATGCATATAGTTAATATGCGTATTGACTAATAAATTATGACAAATTTACCATACTGAAGCGAGATGTCAATAATAGGAGATACTGTATTTGTAAGTGTGGGTGAAGGACCATATAGGAATTCTCTGCACTTTTCATTCAATTTTTCTGTAAGCCTAAATCTAGAACTGCTCTAAAACATAAAGATGGTTAATTTTTTAGAAAGCTAAGCAGACAGCAAAAGAGGCTGAACTGTCCATTGTCTTATAGTGCTGGGGATAGAGAAATTGGAAGTGAGGGTCTGCTAAGTGAAGAGGGCCTGTTAAAAACCAAAGACTTTCACGTGGGATTCTACAAAGATTAAACTCTAAGAGTAAGACGGAACTAGAAATAGATTCGGACTTACAAAGTTGGAAACAAAACTTTGAATCTTGTCAATCACTTAGCCAATTAAATGAAAATTCTCTCTAGAGGAAGATAACTTTATCCATATCCTCTACAATATATCATACCAAATGTCAGTAACTCAATAAAAATTTAGCTGGAATACCCAGGACAACAGCAAAAGAAAAATATGCAATAAAAAACCATAAGTAATCAAGAATTTCAAA
The DNA here is from genome assembly GCF_000001405.40 of Homo sapiens. Lineage (NCBI taxonomy): Eukaryota > Metazoa > Chordata > Mammalia > Primates > Hominidae > Homo > Homo sapiens. Next base: position 157,734,272 of record NC_000003.12, read on the forward strand.
TAACTGTGAAAATAGTGAAAAGATAGAGAATGTTATAAAAGATATGGAATCTACTTCTTAAAATAATCAAATAGGCATTCTACAAGTTAAAATATAGCTGAAGAGAAGATTCATGATCTGAAATTCAAGTTAGAATGAATACAGCTTAAAGTGGTTTGGAAGCTAGAAAATTTAGAAAAGAGGAGTCACATGAGACTCATCAAAAATATTTAATAGACAAGTGACCAAAGCCCAAGAATAGGATACAAAATAAAAAGTAATGTATGAAAAGATTTTCATTAGAATTTACCAAAATTGACTAAAAACTCCAACCCCTTAAAACAAAGTACTATAAATCCCAGGCAAGATAATAATTTTTAAAACCATGAAAACTGACTGGAACCATAAAAATGGACAGGGACTCATTCCAGACTTCTGGTCCTAAAATGGTGGCATAGAAGCAAGCTGGTTTCACTCTCTGACCACAAAAACAAAACAAAACAAATATATAGTGCAGAGATAATGACCAGAAATATCCCAGAACTCAGATATGAAGATGAGACAGTTTCCAGGGCCACCGAGAAATAAACTGCTAACAGATAAGAGAGAATTCTGTTTCCACATCTGTGTTGCACCCCCACACCCCACCTCATTCTGCCAAGCACCAACTGTGTGGAAAATTTTCTCCCAACTCATTGTTTCTAAACTGGAAAAAGTGAGATTGAAGTGGACAACCAGCACCTTAGGTCCTCTGGCAGGAGACTTGTCCCTGCCTTAACATGGAGCACCATGAAGCATCATGCCTGGATGGAAAAAATATCCATGAGAAAGGCAGAGACAAAGGAGAAAGGCAGGACTACCAACCCCGGCCCTGGAAACTCTTTCCTATAACTTGCCCAAAGGAAATGCCAAATCAGAGTGTGTGTTCAGCAGCTTCACACAGTAGGAAGTTTGTATCATGGGTCTCCTGGGCATGAACCACTAGCAAGCCTTCATACACTGCTGAGACATTCCCTTTAGGACATTCCCCATTTATGAAGGGCAGTGCTCCAATTATTTACTAGAGTCAAGGTGAGCCTGGGCTTAAGGCACCATCTAGAGCTGAAAAGAAGGCAGTAACCTAGCAGTAAAGGACCTCTAAGCAAATATACTCACTAAAAAAAACAAAACAAGCCACATAGAAAAGACTAATTAGTAAATAATCCTTCAATGCAAAGAGATAGATGTACATCAACAAGAAACAACAGCAAACAGGAAAATATGATCTCCCCAAATGAACAAAGCAAATAACTAACCCTAATGAGACGGTGATATATATATGTGAGCTTTCTGAACATTAATTCAAAAATACTAGTTTTAAGGAAATGCCATAATCTCCAAGATAACATAGAAAAGCAATTCAGAAATTTATCAGTGAAATATAACAAAGAGATTGAAATAATTTTAAAAAATCAAACAGAAATCTTGGAACTGAGAAATACATTTGTTGAATGAAAAAATTCATTAGCAGCTCTCAACAGCAGAATGGATCAAGCAGAGGAAAGAATCAGTGAACTCAACAACAGGCTATTTTAAAATACACAGAAAGAGGAGGAAAAAAAAGGAAAAAATAATGAAGATCAATGAAGATCACCTACAAGATATTAAAAATTATCTCCAAAGACCAAATCTAAGAATTATTGGTGTTTAAGAGGAAGTTGAGCAAGAGCAAGAAGTAGAAAGTTTATTTAAATAAATAATAATAATAAAAAACTTTCCAAAACTTGACAAAGATATAAATGTCCAGGTACAGGAAGGTCAGGGAACACCAAACAGATTTGACACAAGTAAGAGTACCCAAAACATATAATAATCAAACTTCAAAGGTCAAGGACAAAGAGAAAATCCTAAAATCCACAAGAGAAAAGAAATAATATATAATGTAGCTCCAATTCATCTGAGAACAGACTTCTCAGTGGAAACCATACAGGCCAGAAGGGAGTTGAATAACATTTTCAAAGTATTGAGAGGAGAAAAGCCTGCAATCTAAGAATTCTGTATCCAGCAAAGTTGTCTTATAAATACAAGGAGAGATAAAGTCTTTTTCAGACAAACAAAAGATGAGAGAATTCACCACCACTTACAAAAAATGCTAAAGACAGATTTTCAGTCAGACAGAAAAAAAACAAAAAACAAAAAACACACTAACGAAAAAAAAAAGGGGCCAGGGGAAATTCCAAAGAATTGAGAGGTATAAAACCCACTGGTAAAATTAAGGACATGGACAAATTGAGATTAATACTGTAATTGTGGGGCACAATCCACTCACAACTCTAGTATGAAGTCCAAAAGAAAAGTCTATAGAAAATAAGATTAGCTACAGCTGCCTATTAAAAGATAGGTAATATAAAAATATGTAAATTAAGACTAATAAACGTCAAAATGGCTGGGAGGTTGAAATTAAAGGGTGGGGGTTTATTGTTTCTATTCTTTGTGATCTATGATAAGTTGTCATCTCTTTACAACTTTTTATATCTATAAGATGATTTTTTTTAAGACTCATTGTAACAGCAATGCAAAAACCCATTAAAAACTTCAGTAAAAATAAAAAGCAATGAGCTAAAACATACTATCAGAGAAAGTAACTTAAACACAAAGAAGGACAATAAGAAAGAAAAGAAAAGAGTTGCAAAATAACCAGAAAACAAGCAATAAAATGGCATTAGTTAGTCCTTACTTATTAATAACAATACTGAAGGTAAATGGACTCAGTTCTCCAATTAAAAAGCAGAGTGGCTGAATGCATGAAGAAACAAGACCCAATTATACACTGCCTACAAGAAACCTGCTTCACCTATACATACATTTGGCCAAGTGCAGTGGCCCATACCTGGAATCCCAGCTCTTTTGAAGCCTGAGACAGGAGGTTTTCTTGAGGTTAGGACTTCAAGACCAGCCTGGACAACAAGGAAATACATCTCTACAAAAAGTTTTAAAAATTAGCTAGGCATGGTGGTGTGCACCTGCGGTCCTAGCTACTCAGGAGGCTAAGGTAGGAGGATCACTTGAGTTCAGGAGGTTGGTGCTGCAATGAGCTGTGATTGTGCCACTGCACTCCAGCCTGGGTGACAGAGTGAGACCCTATCTCAAAAAAAAAAAAAAAAAAAGGAAAAGAAAGAAAGACACAGGTAGACTGAAAGCAAAGGTGTGGAAAAAGGTATTCTATGCAACTGGAAATCAAAAAAGAGCAGTAGAGCTATACTTATATCAGGTAAAATAGACTACAAATCAAACAATGTAAAAAGAAACAAAGAAAGTTACAATGTAATGATAAAGAGGTCAATTCAGCAAAAGGATATAACAAATATTTTAAAAATCTATGCATCCAACAACACTGGAGCTCCCAAATATATAAAGCAAACATTAATAGCTCTAGGGGGAGAGGTGGACTGCAATAAAATAATTGTTGAGGACTTCAACCCCCGACTCACAGTAATGGACAGATCATCCAAACAGAAAATCAACAAAGAAACAACAGTTAAACTATACACCAGAACTAACTGATATTTACAGAACATTTTACACAACTGCTGTGGAATACACATCCTTTTCAACACACGCAGTGTTCTCTAGAAGAGGTCACATCTTAGGCCACAAAACAAGTCTTAACAAATTCAAAAATGTAGAAATTATATCAAATATCTTTCTGACCACAATGGAAAAAAACTAAAAATAAATAACAAGAGGAACTTGGAAACTTCATAGACACATGGAAATTAAACAGCCTGCTCCTAAATGACAAATGAGTCAATGAAGAAATTAAAAAGGAAACTTAAAAACTTTTTAAAACAAATGAAAATGAAAGTGCAACGTACCAAAATCTATAGGATATAGCAAAAACAGTACTAAGAGGGAAGTTTATGGCACTAAATGCCTATATCAAAAAATGAGAAAGACTTCAAATGAACAATCTAATAATGCGCCTCAAGGAACTAGAAAAGCAAGAACAAGCCAAGCCCAAAATTAGTAGAAGGAAAGAAATAATAAAGATCATAGCAGAAATAAATAAAATTGAGACTAAAAAAATACAGAAGATCAATGAAACAAAAAATTGATTTTTGAAAAGATAAAACAAAATTGACAAACCCTTGGCTAGACTAAGAAAAAAAGAAAGAAGAACCAGGCTGGAAGCAGTGGCTCATGCCCATAATCCCAGCACTTTGGGAGGCCGAGGCAGAGTGGATCACCTGAGGTCAGGAGTTCGAGACCAACGTGGCCAATATGGCAAAATTCTGTCTCAACAAAAATACAAAAATTAGCCAGGCATGGTGGCACGTACGTATAATCTCAGCTACTTAGGGGGCTGAGGCAGGAGAATTGCTTGAATCCAGGAAGTGGAGGTTGCAGTGAGCCAAGATTGCACCACCACACTCCATCCTGGGTGACACAGCAAGACTCCATCTCAAAAAAAAAAAAAATGCAGAAAGAAGACCCATATAAATAACATCAGGAACAAAAAAGCAGACATAAAGCTGAGACCACAGAAATACAATGAATCATTAGAGACTATTATGAAAAAGTATGTGCCAACAAATTGGAAAACCTAAAATACTCATTCATTCCCTTTACCACCCGCAGCCCGGCACTGACCCAACTTCCCTCATAAAAGACATGAACAGGGAAGAGATCCACCTTTCCTTCTTCTTTCTTCTCTTTTTTTTCTGGGATCAGGCTTTTTAAGGATTGGAATCTGGGAAGAAGGATGAAAGAAATGAGACTAGCCTTTCCATAACTGGACCACCAGTATGATTTTCTGTAGGTTTCTCTGCTGGATTCACAACCACTGGCATAGGAGCCCTCCATGTGGCAGGTGTTACTTGGAGACCCTCTGACTGCTCAAGCGAACCTCCCCATGGCATGGAATCTTGTGGGAGCTCTGCCACCAGGAAACTCCAAATGTTCTTCAGCTACTGTTCCAAAGGTACAGTCTGCAGTGTCTGGATGGCAGGAACCCCATCACCTTAGGAAATATGATGTCTTCAGCATTGTACAGGCAAGTTGAATCAAACTAGGTTACTTTCAAGGTATCCTTTAGCCCCAGGAGGAGCTTATACATGCTCATCTTGCCCAGCAGTGAGACTGCTCCTCCCTCAGCTTTCCGTTCTCTTTTTGCTTGCTAGGAAAAGCACAGAGCAGATCTAAAAGCACAGGGTTTCAGCAGATATTTCCCTAGGAGAAAAAGACTGATTCCTCATTCTTGTAGACCTACCCCCATCTTTGGGCAATTCTAGGCCCTTTAGCTTTGGAGGGAGTTGTGGTGCAGTCCTCCCTATAGGGCAGACCATTTGAGATTCTGATGCACCTCCCTCTCCCTCGCCATCAGACTTTTGCTTATACACACTGGAGAAGTTTGGCCACTTCTTGATAAATTCTGAGTGAGCAGTTGGACCCCAATTGTTTGAAGATCTCTTTTGACTGTGGGGTAACTAATGGCTCTCTGCCCTGAGCTTTGGGTCCTATTTGCCAACTCCAGGGAAACAAGTGAGATGTCCCACAACATCGAGTTACATATACGTCCTATTTAAATTCATAGGATTTAAATTAGGAGAAGGATGGGAGAAAGAAGGAAAGAAAATAACCCAAAATGCCAATGATGGTTATCTCTCTCCAATGGGATTGTGGGCAATTTTTATTTTTCTATTATATTTTTATCAAAGTTTTAAAATTAATTTTTAATTGATATATAATAGTGGTAGATATTTTTGGGATACATGTTATTTTGTGACATTGCTATTTTTCATTTTTCTAGGTACATAGTAAGTATATATTTATGGGGTACATGAGATATTTTGATACAGGCATACAATGCATAATAATCACTGTGGGGTAACTAATGGCTCTCTGCATATGAATATCCAGTTTTCCCAGCATCATTTGTTGAAGACACTGTCCTTTCCCCAGTGTATGTTCTTGGCACCTTCATAAAAAATGAATTCACTGTAGATACATGGATTTGTTTCTGAGTTCTTTATTCTGTTCCACTTGTCTATGTGTCTGTTTTTATGACAGTACCACACTCTTTTGTTACTACAGCTTTGTAGTATAATTTGAAGTCAGGTAATGTGATTCCTCCAGTTTTGTTCTTTTTTCTCAGAATTGTTTTGGTTATTCTGGGCCTTTTGTGGTTCCATATAAATTTTAGAGTTGATTTTTCTATTTCTGCAAAGAATGTCATTGGTATTTTGATAGGGATTGTATTGAATCTGTAAATTGCTTTAGGTAGTATGAACATTTTAACAATATTGATTCTTCCAATCCATCAACATGGAATATCTTTTCATTTTTATGTGTCCTCTTCAATTTCTTTCATCTACATTTTATAATTTTTATTGTAGAGATCTTTCACTTCTTTGGTTAATTCCTAGGTATTTTATTTTATTTGTAGCTATTGTAAATATGATTATTTGTTTGATTTCTTTTTCAGATTCTAAACTGTTGGCATATAGAAATGCTACTAACTTTTGTAAGTTTATTTTGTCTCTTGCAACTTGATTGAATTTGTTTTTTTAGCTCTAATAGTCTTTTGTTGAGTCTTTAGGTTTTTCCAAATATAAAATTATATCATCTATAAACAAGGATAATTTGACTTCTTTCTTTTCAATTTGGATGCCTTTTATTTCTTTCTCTTGTCTGCTTGCTTTAGCTAGGACTTCCAGTATTATGTTGAATAACAGTGGTAAAGGCAGATATCTTTTTCATGTTCCAGATCTCAAAGGAAAGGCTTTTAGTTTTTCCCCATTCAGTATGATACTAGCTATAAGTCTGTCTTATATGGTTTTTATTATGTTGAGATATGTTTGTTCTATACCCAATTTAATGGTTAAAGTTAGCATTAAAAAATAAACCAGTATAATTCACCAGATTCACAGACTAAAAAAAAAAAAATCATGTGAACATCTCAATAAATCCAGGAAGGATTTGGCAACATCCAAGGGCCATTACTCATATAATTCTCAATAAAAATAGAAATAGAAAATTCCTCAAATTGTAAGACTGAGTGTTACCCCTTAAAATCAGAAGCAAGTCTTCCCTTACCACTAATATTAAAAAGTATGAGGATTTGACTAGTTTAATAAAGCAAAAGTAAAATAAAATAAGACTTCCAGATAAGAAAGGATGAAGTAAAACCACCCTCATTCTCTCATCACATAATAGCTTGTATAAAATAACTAAACCATCTATGCAAAAGCTACTAAAATGAATCTGTCACAAAGCTACTGGAAATAATAAGCAAGTTTGCCAACATAGCAGGATACAAGGCCAATGTTTAAAAATAAATTGCATTTCTATATATTAGCAACAAAAAATTAAACATGAAATTTTTAAAATTCCATCTACAATATAGCCTGAAAATAGAAAATACTTAGGAAAAAATTTTTTACCATGTGCAAGTACTATACATTAGACATTGCTGAAAGCAATTAAGGAAGACCTAAAGTCATAGAACACTCAGTGTTATTAAAAGGTCATTTTTTTCAAAATGGATCTATTAATTCAAGACAATACTTTCTCCTCCCAAAAACATCTGGCAGGCCTTTTTTTTTTTAATTTGCAGAAATTGTCAAGCAGATTCTGTAGTTTACATAGAAATGCAAGGGACCTAGAATACCCAAAACAAATTTGTAAAACAAAAATTTGAAGGACTTTCATTATAAAATTTCAAGGCATACTACACACTGCTACAGTAAAAAGATGGTGTGATATTGTCATAGCAACAAATATATAGATATGAAACAGAATAGAGTCCAGAAATATATATATATATACATATATATATATATATATATATATATATATATATATATATATATTCAATTGGTTTTCAGCAAAAATGCCAGGATAATTCAATGGGATAGGATAGCTTTTGCATAAATAATGTGGAACTATTGGATATCTATGTGCAAAAATATAAACATTGACCCTTACATAATATGATATACAAAAATTAGCACCTAATGAGTAAAAAATCTACATGTGGGGGATGAAACTATAAAACTCACAGAAGAAAACATAAAATAAATAATTTTTTAATTTATACAAGCAAATCACAAGAATAAAATCACAAGGACAAAATCCTTGTGATCTTCAGTTAAAGGTCAAATATTCTTAAAATAAGAATAATATGAGCCATAAAAAATTGATAAAATGGACTTCATCAAAATTAAAATTTTCCTCTTCCAAAGACACTGTTAAGAAAACACAAATGCAGATCAGATCTAGAGAATATATTTACAAAACTTACATATATTAAAGAAGTTATATCCAGAATACATTAATTTATGAACTCTTACAATGTGACAACAATAAAGAGAAAGAATCCATTTTTAAATTTTTCCTTAGGTTATTGGGGTACAGATGGTGTTTGGTTACATTAGTAAGTGCTTTAGTGGTGATTTGTGAGATTTTGGTACACCCATCACCCAAGCAGTATACACTGCACCCTGTTTGTAATCATTTATCCCTTGCACCTCTCCCATCCTTCCCCCTGAGTCCCCAGAGTTCATTGTGTCATTCTTATGCCTTTGTGCCCTCCCACATATCAGTGAGAACATTCGATGTTTGGTTTTCCATTCCTGAGCTCCTTCACTTAGAATAATAGTCTCCAGTCTCATCCAGGTCACTGTGAATGCTGTTAATTCATTCCTTTTTATGGCTGAGTAGTATTCCATCATATATTTATACCAGTTTCTTTATCTACTCGTTGATTGATGGGCGTTTGGGTAGGTTTCATGATTTTGCAATTGCAAATTGTGCTGCTATAAACATCCGTGTGCAAGTATCTTTTTCTTACAATGACTTCTTTTCCTCTGGGTAGATACCCAGTAGTGGGATTGCTGGATCAAATGGTAGTTCTATTTTTAGTTCTTTAAGGAATCTTCATACTGTTTTCCATAGTGGTTGTACTAGTTTACATTCCCACCAACAGTGTAGAAGTGTTCCCTGATCACTGCATCCATGCCAACATCTACTGTTTTTTTATTTTTTTTTTATTATGGCCATTCTTGCAGGAGTAAGGTGGTATCACATCGTGGTTTTGATTTTCATTTCCCTGATCATTAGTGATGTTGAACATTTTTTCATATATTTCTTGGCCATTTGTATATCTTTGAGAATTGTCTATTCATTTTCTTAGCCTACTTTTTGATGGGATTTTTTTTCTTGCTGATTTGTTGGTGTTCCTTGTAGATTCTGGATATTAGTCCTTTGTAAGACGTATAGATTGTGAAGATCTTCTCCCACTCTGTGGGTTTCCTGATTACTCTGCTGACTGTTCCTTTCGCCATGCAAAAGCTCTTTAGTTTAATTAGGTCTCAGCTATTTATCTTTGTCTTATTGCATTTGTTTTTGGGTTCTTTGTCATGAAATCCTTGCCTAAGCCAATGTCTAGAAAGGTTTTCCAGTGTTATCTTCTAGAATAGAATTTTTATAGTTTTAGGTCTTAGATTTGAGTCCATAATCCATCTTGAGTTGATTTTTGTATAAGGTGAGAGATGAGGATTCAGTTTCATTCTCTTACATGTGGCTAGCCAATTATCCCAGCACCATTTTTTGAAAAGGGTGTTCTTTCCCCACTTTATGTTTTTGTTTGCTTTGCTGAAGATCAGTTGGCTGTAAGTATTTGGGTTTCTCAGTTCTTTATTCTATTCCACTGGTCTATGTGCCTATTTTTATACAAGTACCATGCTGTTTTGGTGACTATGGCTTTATAGTATAGTTTGAAATCAGATAATGTGAGGCCTCCACATTTGTTATTTTTGCTTAGTCTTGCTTTGACTATGTGGGCTCCTTTTTGGTTCCATGTGAATTTTAGAATTATTTTTTCTAATTCTGTGAAGAATGATCGTGGTATTTTGATGAGAATTGCACTGAATTTGTAGATTGCTTTTGGCAGTATGGTAATTTTCACAATACTGATTCTACCCATCCATGAGCACAGGATGTGTTTCCATTTGTTTGTGTCATCTATGATTTCTTTCAGCAGGGTTTTGTAGTTTTACTTGTAGAGGTCTTTTACCTCCTTGGTTAAGTATATTCCTAAGTATTTTACTTTTTTTGCAGCTATTATTTGCAGAATTCTTGATTTGATTCTCCACTTGGTCACTGTTGGTGTAGAGAAGAGCTACTGATTTGTGTACATTAATTTTGTATCTAGAAATGTCGCTGAATTATTTTACCAGTTCTAGGGGCTTTCTGGAGGAGTTTTTAGGGTTTTCAAGGTAAATGATCATATCATCAGCAAACAGTGACAGTTTGACTTCCTCTTTACTAACTTGGATGCACTTCATTTCTTTCTCTTGTCTGATGGCTTTAGCTAGCACTTCCAGTACTATGTTGAATAACAGTGGTAAAAGTAGGTATCATTTTCATGTTCCAGATCTTAGAGGAAAGGCTTTTAGTTTTTCCCAATTCAGTATGATACTAGCTATGAGTCCATCATATATGGTTTTTGTTGTGTTGAGGTATGTTTTTTCTATGCCCAGTTTGATAGTTTTTATCATGAAGGGATGTTGAATTTTATCAAATGCATTTTCAGCACCAATTGAAATGATCATGTGGTTTTTGTCCTACATTCTGTTGATATGATGTATCACACTGATTGATTTGTGTATTTTGAACCACACTTGCATCCCTGGATAAATCCCACTTGGCCATGATGAATTTTTTTTAATGTGTTGTTGAATTTGGTTTGTGTGTATTTTGTTGAGGATTTTTGCATCAATGTTCATCAGGGATATTGGCCTGTATTAAAGTAAATCTAAATACATTAATTTAAAAACTCTTACAATGTAACAAAAAGAGAAATAATTCAACTTTTAAAATAGACAAATGACTGGGACAGATACTTTAACAAAGAAGATACACAAATGGCTAATAAACACTTTAAAAGATTCTCAGCATCATTTAGGAAATGTGATCAGGGAAATGTGATTTAAAATCACAATGAGATGCCACTACACACCCACTAGAATGGCTAAAATTAAAAAGACTGAAAATGTCAAGTGTTTGTAAGAATGTGGAGCAACTGGAATGCTAATTCACCACTAGTAAGATAGTGAAATTTCACAGACATTTTGGAGAGCAATTTAGCAGTTTCTCAGAAAGTTAAATATAACATAAAATAACCATGCATATAAAAACATAATATAACTCAGTAATCCCACTCCTTTGTTTTTACCCAAGAGGAATTAAAGCATATATCTATAAGAAATTGCACGTAGATGTTCATAGCAGCTTTATTCATAATAGCAAAAAAACTAGAAACAACCCAAATGCACATCAGCTGGTGAATGGATAGACAAATTGTGGTATACAAAACAATAAAAATGAATGAACTAGTGATACCCACACAGTACAATGAAAAAAAACTAGCAATGCACATAACAATATAAAAAAGAAGCAAACTATTGATATATATAATACATCAATGACTCTCAAAAGCATTGTGTTAAATGAAAGTAGCTGGATACAAAAGGCTGTATATAATTCCATGTACAGTTGACCTTTGAACAACATGGGGGTTAGGGATATCGACCCCTTGAGCAGTAAAAATCCACATTTAACTTCTGATTCCCCAAAACTTAACTACTAATAGCCTACTGTTGACCAGAAGTTTTATTGATAGCATAGTTGATTAATACATATTTTGCATGTTACATTTATTGTATACTGTATTCTTACAATAAAGTTAGCTAGAGAAAAGAAATTGTTGTTAAGAAAAGTATATAAAGGAGAAAATATACTTACTATTTATTAAGTGGAAGTGGCTCATCATAAAGGTCTTCATCCTTGTTATCTTCACATTTTGTAGGGTGAGAAGGAGGAGGAAGGGGTTGGTCTTGTTGTCTCAGGGGTGGCAGAGGTAGAGGTAGAGGAGGTAGAAGGGAGGCAGGAAAGGCAGGCACGTTTACAGTAACTTTACAGAAACACTGTAATTCCTGTCTGACTTTTTTGCTTTTTCATTTCTGTATAAAAATGTTTCTATACAGTACTAGTCCTTCTTCCACCATTTGCTTTGGTTTCAGTGTCCATGCATAGAAGGGTTCATGTTATAAAAGAAGTCAGAAACAGTCTTGAATAATCAGAACCCTTCTGCCAGATTGTCTAATGACAATTTGCTTTCTGGTACTGCTTCTTCTATGTTTTCTTCCTCATTACCTGGCGCTGATTCAGAAGTACTCATCTCCACCAAGTCATTTTCTGTTAATTCCTCTGGTGTGGTGTCTATTAGCTCTAAGTTCCTCCAAGATTCATTGAAACCTTTCACCCCACACACATTTTTTTTGCCATAGTCACATTTTTTTTTTCATGATTTCCTTGATCAGCTCTGTTTAAAATCCTGTGAAGTCATGTACAACATTTGGACAGTTTCCTCCAGAAGAAATTTATTGCTCCAGGCTGGATGGATTTCACAGCTTTTTCTGTAACAATGATGGCATCTTCAATGGTGTAATCCTTCCAGACTTTCATGATAGTCTTTCTATCAGAGTTTGCTTCCTTTCATGATATTCTTTCTATCAGAGTTCACTTCCATAGCATTGACAGTCCTTTCCATACAGTAACATGTGTAATAAGCCTTAAAGGTCCTCATGACCTCCTGAGCTAGAGCCTGATTTGGAGATGTTGTGTTTAGGGGCAAGCAGACCACTTTGACACCCTCGGCATTGAGCTCTTGGGGTTCTGCGTGGTTAGGGTCATTATCCAATATCAAAGGAATTATAAAAGGCAGCCACTTTCTGGCAAGGTATTTCCTGACTTCAGGGACAAAGCATCAGTAGAAACCAATCCACAAAAAGTGTTCTAGTTGTCCAGGCCTTCTTGTTATACAATCAAAAGACTGGCAGCTGGTGTTTATCTTTTTCCTTCAATGTTCTGGGGTTAGCAGCTTTGTAACGGCAGTCCTGGTCATAAACCTGACCATATTTTCACAAAACACTAGAGTTAGCCTACACCTTCTTGCCTTAAGTCCTGGTTCTCACTTCTCTTCCTTACTAATGAATGTCCTTTGTGGAATTTTTTTTTTTTCCAGAATGGGCACTTTGGTGTTCATTAAAGACCTGTTTGAACAGATATCCTTTCCTCCCAATTATTTTCTAAATGGCTTCCGGAACTCATCTACTGCCTCTCGGTCAGCAGAAGCATCTTCTCTTGTTATCTTGTTACCCTGACTTTTTTTTTTTTTTTTGTTAGAGCCTTGCTCTGTCACCCAGGCTGGAGTACAGTGGTGCAATTTTGGCTCACTGCAATCTCCACCTCTTAGGATCAAGCGATTCCCATGCCTCAGCCTCCCAAGCAGCTGGATTACAGGCATGCACCACCACACACAGCTAATTTTTGTATTTTTAGTAGAGACAGGATTTCACCGTGTTAGCCAGGCTGGTCTCTTACTCCTGGCCTCAAGTGATCTACCCACCTCGGACTCCCAAAGTACTGGAATTATAGGCATGAGCTACCATGCCCTGCCCTATCCTGAGATTTTTAAAGTGAAACTTATTTCTAAAGTTATCAAACCATCTTTTGCTGGCATTAGCTTTTTCACCTTCCTTTTGCTTTAAGTTGTGATATAATCACTTTGCTTTTCATTGAATCATATTTGTCTATAGGTGTCCTTTCTTCTTTCTTCTTCTTCTTTTTTTTGGATAGGTTCTTACTCTGTCACCCAGGCTGGAATGCAGTGGCATGATCATGGCTCACTGCAGCTTTGGCCTCCTGGATCAAGGAATCCTCTCACCTCAGCCTCCCAAGTAGCCAGGACTACAAATACATGCCACCACACCTGGATAATTTTTTTATTTTTATTTTTTTACAGATGGGGTCTTGCTTTGTTGTCCTGACTGGTCTCAAGTGATCCTTCCACCTCGGCCTCCCAAAGTGCTGGGATTACATGTGTGACTATACACAAATTAGCAAATGACACATGTTAAATAGAGATTCACAGAAAGAAAAATCAAGAGATGGAAAACTTTGTATAAGGCAAACACTAATCAAGTCTAGCTATATTAACATAAGATAAATGCAAAGAGCATTACTGAAGATTGAAAAGGAGTATTTTATAATGACAAAAGGGTCAATTTCTAGAAATATGTAACAATTCCAAATTGGACTACACAAATGAACTTGCTTTAAAGCAAAACTTGACAACTAAAAGGAGACATAGACACAGCCATAATCACAACTGGAGATTTTAATACCTCTGTCATAGCAACAGATAAAATAAATAGACAAAAATAAGTAAGGATATAGATTAAACAATTGGATTAACAAAAATAACTTAATTCATGTGTAGAGAAAACTGCAGAATACAGTTTTCTTTTTTTGAAATTTAAGATAAAGTTTAATACATATTAGGGTATTTTGGTACAGCTGATTTGGTTCATATTTGTTTATAACAGCTTTATTAAGATATAATTCATAAACCACAAAGCTCACCCTTTTAAAGTCCACAATTCAGTGGTTTTTAATATACTCATAAAGTTTTGCAAGCATCGCCACTATCTAGTTTCAAAACATTTTCATTACTTCAAAAAAAAAAATCCCATACTCATTAGCAGTCACATCCCATTCCACCTTCCTCCAGCCCCTAGCAAACCCTAATCTACTTTCTGTCCTTATGAATGTGCCTCAGAATATAGTTATCAAATGCATATGAAATATTTACAAATATTGATCATATTCTGGTTTATAAAGTGAATTTTAACAGATTTCAAATAATTAAATTCTAGAAATATATTCCCTGAACATGGTGAAATTGTTAGAAATCAGTAACAAAAAAAAACTTTAAAAGTTATCCAAATACTTAGAAATAAAGGAATATAATTTAAAGAAATCTCATGGTAATTTTTTAAAGTCCTTACTGAAATTACAATGAAATTCAGCAAAACAAAATGTGTGAAATGAAGCTAAAGCTATACTTAGAGAAAATTGTAGTCTTAAACACAAATATAAGAAAAGAAAAAAGGTCTGGGTGCAGTGGCTCACACTTGTAATACCAGCACTTTGGGAGGCTGAAGTGGAAAGATCACTTGAGGCCAGAAGTTTGAGACCAGTCTACCAAAAAGCAAAAATAGAAATTAAGAAAGAAATTAACTGGGCATGGTTGCACATACCTGTAGTCCTATAAATCAGGAGGCTGAGGTGGGAAGCTCTCTTGAACTTAGGAGTTTGAGGCTGCAGTGAGCTATGATTGGGCCACTGCACTCTAGCCTGGGTGACAGAATGAGACCCTGTTGAAAAAAAAAAAAAAAAAGAGGCTGCAAATTAATTATCTAAGTATCCATCTCAAGAAGTTAGAAAAAGAGCAGCAAAATATACCCAATGAAAGAGCAAAGACAAATTAAAAAGTTAGAAAGACATAAATGAAAGCCAGGCACAGTGGCTTGTGCCTGTAGTCCCAGCTACTTGAGAGGCTGAGGTGGGAGAATTGCTTGAGTCCAGGAATTTGAGACCAGCCTATGCAACATAACAATACATCATCTCTAAAAGTGAATAAATAAATACAAATTGAACAATTTTTAAAAAGAAAGACATAATGAAATAGAAAACAAATGTACACTAGAGAAAAATTAACAAAGTCAAAAGTTAGTTCTTTGAAAAGAACAATATAGTCATATACTTCTGCTACAACTGATCAAGAAAAAGAGAAAAAGATAGAAGGTGCAGATTATGAATATCAGAAGGTATGAAAAGTAACATTGAAATGGAAGGATATTATGAACAACTTTTTACCAATAAAATTGAACATGTTAATAGAAAGGGGAAATTCCTAGAAGAACACAACCGTAACTGACCCAAAAAGAAATAGGAAATCTGATTAGTCCTAAATTTATCAAAGAAATTGCTTTCAGTAATTAAAAATCTTCAGTAATTTAAAGAAGAAACAATACCAATCATTAAACAAACTCTTACAGAGAACAGAAAATGATAAAATTCTTCCCAACTTATTTATGAGGCCCCTATGATCTGATACCAAACCCTAGCAAACACATAATGAGAAAGTAAAATTACAGACCGGTTTCTTTCATGAACATAGGTGCTGAAATCCTAAACAAAATACTAGCCAATCAAAATCAGCAATATATTGAAAAGACAATACAACATAATTATTTTGGGGTTATTCCAGGAATGCAAGGTTGGTTTAGCACTATAAAATCAATGAATGTAATTCTCTATATTAACAAAACAAAGGAGAAAATAATACAATCATCAAAATAAAGGTACTAAAAGCATTTGATAAAATTCAAAGTGCATTCATATTAGAAACTCTTAGCATTCTAGGATAGAAGGAGACTTCCTTACTCTGATAAAGAGCATCTGTAATAAATGAATGAATGAATGAACAAGCTTACAGCAAACATCATACTCAATGGTAGAAGCCTCTCTTAGATGAAGAATGAGGGAAGGATGTACACTATCTTTTACTCAGCATTGTGCTAAGGATATTGACTATTGCAATAAGGAAAGAAAAAATATAAATTACGTAAAGATTAGAAAAGAAGATACATTATTGTTCTTTATAGACAATATAACTATGTGCTTAAAAATCCAAAAGAATCTAGAAACACTGTTAAAATTTAAAAACGAATTTGGCAAAATCATTGCATACAAGGCAATATAAAAATCAATTGTTTTTCTATATTCTAGCAACAAACAATTGAAAACAAAAATTTAAAAACATTTATCATAATATCAGAAAACATCAAACACCTAGAAATAAATAGAATAAGCTGTTCATGTCCTCTACACTGAAAATTACAAAACTTTATAGAAAGAAATTAAAGAAGACCTAAGAAAAATGTGTTGTGAACTGAATTATAACAAAATGCAACATATCAAAATGCTCACAGATTGGACATTTTTAACTTTATAAGAAGTAAATTCTCCCACCAGTTGACCTATAGATTCAATATAATCTCAAATACCTGAATTTGGTTTTGGTTTGTTGTTGTTATAAATTGACAAGCTGATTTTAAATCATATTTGGCAATGCGAAGGGCAAAGAATAGAAAAAAGAAAACCTTGAAAAAGAAGGGAGGTACAAAAAGCCAGCCCCCTTGCTTGAGGAGCTATCCATATTCCAGACCTCCCAAAGGGATTACCATGAGGCTAGATTTTAGCCAAACGTAAAGCCTTCTGTTGGGAGACAATTTTTCCTAGGACTTTCACATTTCTGCCCACCTTGCCAACCAGAGGCATTGATGGCAATGTTCTGCACCATCCTTTCTAGGATGTTTGTATAGTGAACAGCCTTGGAAGATAAAAATAGTGTCTCCCTGGAACAAAGGGCAGGTTTACTACCCAGTATAAGAAAAATGACATATCCTTCCAGGGCAATGTTCAGACAGGTTACTACCCATTGTAAAAGATTCAGGTTCCCTAAGGTCAGAGTTCCTCTCCTCTAACATAACCCACTACTTGTGCAGGACATTACCTGGCCCTCTTTGCATCACTTTAGGGAAACTGAGGCTCAGAGAGCTGGTGCAAATGCTGATACTCAGGCTTCTGCTATTGCTGTCGGTGTTAAAACACTTTATTTCTGACCCAAGAGTCTGCCAGCATCCATGAAAGTGTGCCAGGCTAATTTGTTAGCTTGCAAGCAAGGCAAAATCTTGGACCCTTCACAGTTCTTCACAACTTTTCCCACATAGCCTGTTTCACTTATTCTCTCACAGGTTTCAATGGACAGTTCTCCCTAAATAAATCACTTGCATAAAAATCCCCAACTCAGGCTCTGCTTCTAGGGAACCTATCCTAAAACAACACCACTGTAGAGGTATGATTTGTGCAATTTTCTATATGCACACAATACTTCTATTTTTTAATAGGGCTTTTGTTTCTTTGTTTTTTGAGACAGGGACTCATTTTGTCATTCAGGCTGGAGTACAGTGGTGCAATCATAGCTCACTGTAGCCTCAAACTCCTAGTCTCAAGCGATCCTCCTGCTTCAGCCTCTCAAGTAGCTGGGACTATAGTCATACACCACCATGCCTGCTAATATTACAATTATTTATTTGTAGAGACAGGGTCTTGCTATGTTGCCCAGGCTGATCTTGAACTCCTGTGTTTAAGTGATCCTTCCACCTTGGCCTCCCAAAGTGCTGGGATTACATGCGTGAGCCAGCGTCCCTGGCCTAAAAAAAATAGTTTACATAACTATGCAAAGTAACTGTGGCTAGAATGTGGAACATGGATTAGAGTAGGAAGGCATTGGAGTAAAAAAGACCAGTTAAATACTACTACTAAAAAAGAGAAAAAAAAGTAACTAGCTAATAATCCCCCTTAAAAAATTATTACAAGAGTCTAGATTAGAGATAACTAAAATTTGACCTAAGTTAGTGGCATGTTAATAGAGATAAAGGGGCAGATTCAAAAGATATTTAAATAGTAGAATGTAGTCGTAATATGCAAAATATTTAGCAACAAGTGCAGCTACTGTACTGCACAGATACCACCAATACAATGAATACCAGCTATAAACAACTGCTTTGACAGAACTGATGCCTACAGGCAGAATGTCACCAGGCCTCATAAAATGGATAGAACTTGATAGCCAGTTGAAACCAACGGGTAAGAAATGAATTGAGATACTTACAAAGTTTTCAAGCTTGGAGGACACAGAGAATAATGGTTCCTTTAACTGATACGAGTAACATCATTTTTATGTACATAATCTCAATTATTTTGTTTCAGCTTGAATGACTCCCAAATCTATCCAGCTTCTCTGAAAATCAGAGAATTGTCTGAATATCTTATTCCACACACACAATTTAGAATGAGATGTGTTTTTCATTTTAAAAATATTTTCAAAATCACACCAATTAGAAGCCATAAAGAAAGGAATGTAGACCAATAAAGCAAGCCAGCTTGACAGATGATGTATCACTTTTAATCACACAGCACATGTGGCTGCCAATTGCTATTTTTTTCTCTTAAAGCACACTTTACAAATCATTTGACTTTTTCACAAATCTTCCTAAGGTAGCAGAAAAGCAGCTGGATTTTATAGACTGAGACTCTGAATTGCTAATTCACAGTCTTTTAACATATATCCCCTTTTAATGCAAACAGCTCAGAATGAACACTCCTTAAACGATTAAGAACCCATGGCTTTCCATCTTCCCTTCCCCGTAATTACCAGTATCTTTTAAGGAAGAAAGTGTGTTTTCTGTTCATTAATGGTAATACTACCTAGGCAGACCAATCAGTAAGTCCATGATCCCGCAGTCACTGTGGAAGCCAAATTACCCTCTCTACCAGGACAAAATCAATTAACACCACTAGGGATGTCATTATTGTCACATTATGTCACCCGATAGTCTCCAGGGCCTATAAGTGATTTAAATTTTTTCTTTTTTTTTTTTTTTTTTTACCTCTATGATTCTAGTATGCCTGTGTGGTATGGGGAGGAGGAATAAACTTCACATTGACGAGGGATATTTCTACTACAGGGAAATTAATTTTACAACATAGAAAAATGACAGCCACTGTTTTAGGTCTTTGGAAGAAAAATGGTTATAGGCTAGGATAATTCTGAAGCCTAAATGATTTCTCATACCGAAGTGTATTTGAAAGCTTTGCTTAAACAAAAGCCACATTGGCTGGAGTCATGAGGTACTTTCATCAGTGCAGAGTAAGCCAGGGGATGGAAATCAATCAAACCACGGCAAGCTACACAACAGTTGGAAGTCCAAGAGTCCAAAGTTGTAATCTCTCTTCTAATAAAATCAACTTGTTTCCCTTCATGATAAGTCGTGTAATTCTAGTTTTGCAAAGTTAGACACTTGATGTGTCAAAAAAGAGGTTGAAATGCCATGATTGTATCTGGCAAAACCAGGTCTCATCTGGAAAGACTAGAATTCATGCTTGGAATTCTGAGGACACATAACAGCAGAGGGTATAATAGTCTGCACTCAGAACTATTCCCTGTGCTTAATCTGTGGATTGGTTAGGTTCAGTAGCCAGACACTTGGAAGAAAACCACATTTGATATCAGTATCTTCTGACAGTTGTCTTTTTCTTCTCCATTTTTTTTAACTTCTCATTACTACCAGTGAATATTAAATGAGATCTGGATTCAGAGTTTGTTTTCGTTATTGTAGTTGCTGTTAAAAACAAATTAAAAATTCCCAAGTAAATTAAGCAGGATGTTTTTAAATGGCAGGTTTCCTTTTTAAAAAGTAGACCCAACTTCTGTATTTTGGCCTCCATCAGGGGGTATTTAATTAAGTCTATTCTGTCTAACATGATCTGATGTCATTGTACAAGGATATGTTCTTTGTTAGCAGCACTCTTAGTTTCAGACTCCTCTGTGTATTTGAAACCATGGTAACAGAGCAGTAAGCTAAAGCCAATGAGATAATGAGATATTCTCATTGTAATTGTGTTTCATGAGGGCACAAGATCCCACGGGTGGTATCTGACTGTCTTACAACTGCTAACAGAATTTAAGAAGCAGACATATATTAGCGTGGTACCGTTTTCCATAACAGCCATGTAAACACTTGTGACATGGCATTTTTAGCTGTTTCCAGCACATAAAAGTGTGTATTGTGCATTTATGTCACAAAAGCCACACAATTAATGAATATCAATATTTAAAAATCCTTAGAACTTCAAGGAACTTCAGATTTGAAATGCACCAAGCAGGCTGTGGGGATGCTGTTTTGCATTATAATTATGAGCTGGGCTATGGTTGATGAGGGGAGGAATCCATCAAAGCAAAGAAAAAGAGAGCAGCCAGCCCTTTTTCGCCTCCCAAACACCCCACATGCACCTCCTAAAGGAGGGACAAAACTAACCTTAAGCAAGGTTCCCTGTATTTTTATGAGGAAAGACAGGTTGGGGGTTTCTAAAAGCATTTTAGCTTTAAAAGAGAGAGAGAGAGAAAAAAAAACATTTGTCGAATAAAACCAAAATATTTACAAGCCATCTCTTCTTCTGAACTAAAATCAGAAAGGAGAACACCTCACTTTTGAGTTCTTTCTCTTCTGTCACTGTTTGAAGTTTCCCCACAGTTTTCATTTGAGTTGCAGATTTTATGCACAAGTCACTGGATCCATGTTCTCCATGCTGATGAGGTTGCCCTAACAGGGATTGTGTCTTTTAATAAATAATTTAAAACTAAAAAGAGAAAGCACAATATAGAACGACTGGTGATTTAAGCAGGGCTAAGATTCATATGCTCTTGTATCACCAAGGCTTTCCACCAGGAGGCCTGCTTTAGAAAATAACTGACCTGAGAATTCGCATTTTTTCAGGTTTGCGGAGTTGATAGCTTCCAAGACAGGGGTGATCCAATTCACGGGAACGATATGGGCAAGGATTCTGTTTGCTTTTCACTTTTCAGACAAGGGGGATCACTCTGGTTTTTAAAGTGCGGCGGTGCCATTTCTAAAATGTTTTGTCATAGGGAGCTAAATCGATATGAAAGCCATCTTGATAGAGCAGGGGAGTTGGTTTTCTTGAAAGTCATTCAAGTGTCTACCGTTTGGGGGGAGAGTTCTCATTCAAGATGTCAGTAGTGGCACATTCATCACTAAATGTCACTTAAAGACAGGCAGTTCTTTCTTCTGCTGTGTGTGTGAGATATACATGTGTGTAGTTGGGAAATAAAATCCGTGCCCTAAGTGGGTGCACAGAAAGAACATGCCACAGGGTTGGAAAATATGGTCTTCATCTCTGTGAGATAAGGGTGGCCTCATCACTCATGGCTGCTGTAGCAAAACACAACCACAAGTGCATAATGGGGCCACCCCTCCTGAGGGGAGATAACTTCTATATCTGAGCTGTCATGACCCATTAGGTCCTCGCACTTCCTATTCTTGGATGTATCTCTCAGCCGGCCCTTTATTTCTACATCTGAAAGGGGGAGACCTCATTTTTCTTTAAAACCTCTCCTTGTTCCTGACAAACAGGTAATGGCTGTCAGGTTTGAAGCCTCCCCTGGGCGCCATGTTGAGATGTTCAGTGAGGGCTAGGGTTGACAACATTTGCAAGACTTTAAGTATATAAATATATAAATAATTGCAAAATGGCTTAACTTGTGCAGGCTTTGAAATGGGTTACTCTATTTTATTCTAGATGAGTTCTTTATCCACTTAAGCCTAGGCTAATCCTAATTTTAGAGATGCAACAAAAAATAAGGAATTGAGTGTGTTTTCATAATATTGGAATCACAAAAGTGTCACTTATAAAACTGATTTGGTAATGTACTTTCTCCAATTTGAAGCCTTCCAATGCCATCATTTAGCCTGAGAATAGCAGATGTCCACAGAAGTTGATTCTATTGTGTTTAAATGATAGCCAGAAGCTGCCATTGACTTTTTTCTCCCCTCCTATATCCCTTGCCTTCTACCCTGACAGGAGCCGACGTTTCTAGGTTAAAAAACGTGGGTAGGGGCGGGTGTGCTTGTGCGGAGTGGTTAACAAAATCTACATTTTACAAAGTGGAAGGAAGCAGGCAGAAAGACGCAAAGGAGGGACTCGCCGTTCCCAGGTGCTGCGGTTCCCAGGTGCTTCAGTTCCCAGGTGAAAAGCAGGGTGAAATGGTTTTAGAGAAACAGGGATGAAGGGATTAGGTGGGCAGAAGGCAATAATTGATTGCATGTAGGTAACAGCAGCAAAATGCCTGCCTTTGGTTACTTAGGCTGGGACCAGCACCTTTCCACATCCACACCACGGAATTTCAGAGGCTGGGAGTGCTGTAGGTAGAGCAACCACCCGGCTCCCTGAGTGGGGAGAACCTGCTGTCTTGGGGGAATGCGCCTCCTGAAAAAAGCCATTTCCACGGACGGAGGTCATGGTGCTTAGAGACGAGCCTCCACCCAGGCCAGAAAAATGCCAGCCCTCTGTGGGGTAGGGCGGAGGTGGGAGCAAGAGCACGGGGCTTTGAGGTCGGACACATCTGCCTTTGGATCCTGGTTTCTCCATTTAAAAGCTGGGTAATGCTCACTTGTAAAAACGTAAACATATAAATAATGCCTGCTTTACAATGCTGTGGTAAGAATTATATGAAATTACATAGGGAGCATCTATGTGGATCTTTTTTCCTCCTAGTCACGCAAAAAAGATGATAGTAGGTTACATAGAATTGCTACGTGGATCAAAAGAGAAAATGTATAATAAGGACCTTGGGATTGATAAAATACACCATAAGTGGTAATTAAAATAATGTTTAAACATATTAAATTCAGCATATATGCAGATAAATATATTTACAAATATAAATGCTGAGCATTCTTTCTAATTTCAATCTTCTACCTTTTAATTTTGAAAAAGACTAAAAGAATGAAACATAAATAAGCAAAACTCCACTTTCTAAACAATGAGTAATTAGAAGAATAGCCTTGGTATTCTTTTAGCCACCCTCCTTTGAGTCCATCACTGGGGGTGCAGTGATGGGAGCTGCAGATGTTTTGCCTGGTTCAACAGTTCTTGGGGAGGCTGAAGGCAAATACTGACAGAAAAGGGATGGGGGTTGGGTCTCAAACTCAAAGCATACTTCAGCGATTGGTCTAAAAGGGCACACTTTTTGATGTGGGATGATCTGACAAAAACTATTATGCATGGGGTATACTTACCCAATTTTAGAATGAAAAACATGCTTTTAAAAAGTCATGTCAAAATATGATTCTAAGCTGTTAGAATTTCTACTGGAAAAATTTGCGTAAGTAGGGGCTTCTCATGTGTAGTGAATGAGAAGCTTTGCCAGAACTACCCCCAGATGCTTCCACCTTCTCTCTATCAGTGACAGACAGGTGAGAGCCTTTGCAGATTTACGCATTTAGAGAATAGGCAAAGAATTGACGAAAGCCCAAAGCTCTCTGCCCTTTCCCTGGCTTTGCCTGAAATCCCCCATTACTAATTTATTTGGCCCATAGGGACATTAACAGTTGTTAAAGAGAAAACCAGGACCCTTAGCACAGTATCTACCCACTACAGTTCGGGTTGAGTAAGTTTATCAAATAATTCCTGTCACCTAGCAAGATCTAGCAAGATCTGGAACTGAGATACAGGAAAACTACAGCTGGAATTGTGAAAACAGTCTGACCCAGGAGGGCAACACCAGTATGGTGCTCAGTACAAGCATTTGAAGGATGACAATTGATTACCAAAGGATGACGGAAAGAAAGTCACTTAAGCTTACTTCTGAGTTATATCCTGTTTTGCCCTCACCCATTCTTACATCAGGGAACTAAAGTCTTTGACTATCCTGCAAAGATATTTCAACTCCATTTAAGGATAATGTACATATCACTCTGTAATTATTCTTTCCCCAACAAAAACAAGTCTGTCTGGCAGAAATAGCCATGAACTACGGCTTGCCAACAGTCTTTCAGACTGTGAACATTAAAAATTGTTTCCTTAAACCCATAGCTTTTGCCCTTGAGGAACACAGTGAGGCAGAACCAACACAATGAGGACTTACTGCTCACCTGAATATATTCTGGGAGGACTGGAAGGACCTACCAGGTCAGGTGAGTTTCTCCCTTTCTGAGCGGGGGTAGGCTGTACGTAGTGCCTAAATATACTTTTTAGATTGGCCTTCCTTATAGATCATAGGCTACTCCAGGGCAATAAGGCTGTCCAATTTGTTCATTATTGTATCCTCAGCAACTAGCACAGTGCTGAGCACAAAGTAGGTGCTCAGTTTGCTAAATGAATAACAAAGGAATCAGCTGGTGTCCTATCTTACGCACCTCTTGTTTTCTCCTCTTTTTTGCAGCTCCAAGTCAAGGTTTACTATGTTTTTGCTAGTTTTGTATCTTTCTATTTCTCCATTTTTACAGTCCCCACCTCTATCTTGTCTTTTTTTCTTTTTGCCTTCTTTTCTATTCTTTTTTTTTTTTTTTTTTTTTAAGACAGAGTCTTGCTCTGTCACCCAGGCTGAAGTGCAGTGGCACAATCTCCGCTCACTGCAACCTCTGCCTCCCGGGTTCAAGCAATTATCCTGCCTCAGCCTCTTGAGTAACTGAGACTACAGGTGCATGCCACCATGCCCAGCTAATTTTTTTGTATTTATAGTAGAGACAGGGTTTCACTGTGTTGCCCACGCTGGTCTTGAACTTCCAAGCTCAGGCAATCTGCCTGCCTCGGCCTCCCAAAGTGCTAGGATTACAGGTGTGAGTCACTGCACCCGGCCTATCTTGTCTTTTATTGTCTCTGCTGGGTCTAACCCCTCAGGTTCAAAGTGCCAACTTCCAGATAAGAAACTGTATGTGAAGTATGTGAGCCCACACTACTGCCTTGCTTTGGACCATCTAACATTTCCACTCCAACCCTACTCTCGGGCCATGGGACTGAAAGCATCACACACATGCAACTGATTACAGCAGAACACACTGTATGCCACATCCATCTTGTGAAACTTCAAGTCCAGCCAGCTACAACAACCTAGGAGATTACTGTGGCAAAGAAAATTATTTTCTTTAAGTGAAGACTGGTTGACCACCACGGTGTGGTCAAAAATAACTCATTCCCCCCACTCTTAAGAAGCACTAACTCAAATGTGACAGGAATTTGTGCTCACACTCAGCCCACCCTGTCATTTTCCTGCTTCTGGCAAGGCCCCTGCAGGAGTGGGGCTCTCCACGGTGCCTATCAAATGAAAAGGGACTTGAAAATTCACAATCCTGCTCTCCTAAATTCCTTCACCAACGCTGTGATAAAAAAGAGAAAATGAGTGTCCTATGCTGGAAATCCAACTAAAAGAAAGTTTGAGAAAAATGCTTCCTTTTTAACGTTCAAAACCAACATTTATAAAAATAATGTTTGTTCCAGACCAAGGGAGTAGAATAGACTAACATTCAAAATGGAATGCATTATTAGTGACTCTTGAGACAGCAACTGAAGACACAGAGCTTAATCTTCATGGTTTGTTTGAGATAAAAACAAAATTATTGGGGAGAAAAAAGGAAAATTTTACAATTTATTTCTTAATGTACAAATTTTGAAAATTGAAGAAATCAAGAAGTTCACAAATATTGAATTAGATTTTCTGTTCATGCTTGATTTAAAAAAAATAAAACTCAAGGATAATTTTTACTTAGCACAAGATATTTAGTTATTTTTTGAAACATAAAATCTAGTCAATTAACTAATATGAATTTTCAAACTGAAATTGTTCAATAGCCACATATGTTTAAATTGGGTGCTGAAGAAATGCTTACTTAAATGATAAAAGACTGAAAATCTGCTGGGATTTACAGAGACATTTCAAGTTATCCTAGAAGAGATTTCTAGTCTCAGTGTTACGAGCTTGTCTCGGGCGTTTTACAGTCATCTTGTGAAGAACTGACTGTAAGTAGATTGCTTCTTACAACTCTGACTCTTAATACATCTTGAAGAAAGAACATAAAATAGAAGCATATAATTTCAGCATGGAATGGGACATTAGAGTTCCTTTTGTCAAACACATTAGTTCACACATGAGAACAAAAAAGGTCTTGAAAAGTCAAATGATGTGCCCAGGGTCATCCAGCTAATGACTGAACTCTATCTCAGGTTTCCTGACTTCAGTTCCAAGTAGGTGTAGAAATCACCATATTCAAACAACATATATACCAGAAAACTTTTCACTCTAATTTTTAAAATAATTTTATTAAAACATAAGTTAACACAATAAACATTTGCATTTCATTTTGCCATTTTCAAAGTTTATTCACAATATATTTTCATTTAATCTTTGGAACAATATTGTAGAGTAGTTGATCTCTGCTGTATATTAGGAAAGGGAGGCTCAGAGAGGTTTAGGGACTTATCCTATGAAACACAGCCAGAGCGTGCTAGAGGAGGTTCACCTTTGGGCAGAGCAGTTTTAGTGAACAAAGTGTGATGCCTGGACATTGTGGGCAAAGTGAAAATTTAACCAGAACTATGAGAGGTGATGAGAGTTATAATTGAAAAATAGATGAGCTATGTGGTAGTAATAATTTTAAAGATGTCCCCACACCCCCAAGCTTTCTGTCACCTGGTTATTCAACCAACACTAATCTAGATATGCTGTAAAGGGGCTTTGCAGATAGAATTAATCAGTCACTAATAAACTAAAAATAGGGAGAGTAGCCTCAATCATCCAGATGCATCCAATTTAATTATTGGAGCCTTTAAAAGAAGAAAGTGGCAGAAAGAGACGAAGCAGAGGAAATGGGAGACAGAAGAGAGGTCAGGGAGACTCAAAGTGTGAGAAGGACTCAACCTGCCATTGTTGGCTTTGAAGATGGAAGAAGGGATCATGAGACAAAGAATATGGGCAGCCTCTAGGAGCTGAGAACAGCTCCTTGATGACAGCCAACAAGGGAACAAGATCTCAGTCTTGTAGCCTTATGGAGCGGAATTCTGCCAATAACTTGAATGAGCTTAGAAGCAGGTTCACACCCAAGCTTTTATAAAGGAACACTGCCCTTCCAGCATCTTGATTTCAGCCTTGTGATATCCAAAGCAGAGCCAGCTGAGCCACACTATGCCAGAACTTCTGACCTCCAGAACTGTGAGACAATAAATGGGCATTGTTTTAAGCCACTATATTTGTGGTAATTTGCTATGATGGCAGTACTAGGAAACTAATAGAACTGAAATTCTGTTTAACTTCTAGATCATTTCAATAATTATGTTAGGAATTTGGGGCCCTTCACCTCTTTTCCTCCGCAAGGGTTCTTGCTGATAGTATATATGGTCAAGGAACCATGGAACAGGAAGTACTGCTTTAATAATCTGGACAAGAACCAACAATCCCCTGAAAGCAGGGTTCCTGCTGATCTCATATCCATGAATATGGTTTAGGCCTCCAGCCAACAGGAGCATCCCATGTCCACCTTCCCTGAATCTAAGATGACTGGAACTGCAGCTCTTCAGAAGCTAAAGACAGAGGGCTGAAAATATGGCCATGTCCCTACCCAAGTATGCTGTCAATAAGGAGTTCACTATCCCAAGGGCAGGAGGGACTTGAGGTCATTTGGAGCACAGTGACAGCACCCACTGGTAAGAGGTGGCCCAGTGAATGTTAGGCTCTTACCAATCAGATTAAGTGTTCCTGTTCCACTGAGAAAGAGTGAGTTTGAATAGGTGGGAGGAGTGTTGAAAGTTTCTTCTATGAGCAAGGCTGCAGTATGAGGAGAGTTAGAAAGGACTCTCCCTACCATTTGATGATCCAAGTATTCATTTTGGGTGGGAAGAGAATGAGGAAAATTATCTTTGAATTTTATTTTTTGGCAGACTGAGTTTCTTTAAACTCTAAATTCCAGATGCCTTTACAATAATTGTGATGACAGAAACAATCACTAGATATAAGAAAAGGAATAAAGAACTAGATCTTTCCCTATACGTCTAGCATTTTATTCTCACATGTGTTTAAAATTCCCGACTGATATAAATATGGTTCATTTGAAAAGAGTCCTTTAGGATAACAATATTCACTACTTTTGTCTCATGAATAAGAGTGAAGGGAAATTATGCTGATTGATCTGAAGCTGTGATCATTGAAAGAGTAAGGTTAATGGCTACTTTAGACACATAGAGTTTGAAGAGTTCAATCATCAGAAAATTAGTCTGAGAGGTATTATGTTGGGTGCAAAAGTAATGGCGGTTTTGCCATTAAAAGCAATGGCAAAACCGCCATTACTTTTGCAACTAATTAAAAGTAATGGCAAAACTGCTATTCCAGTGAGGAGACTGGAGAGGACCTTGAATTCTAGGAGTAAGTCATTTGTTTCAGGACATAACTTTCAAAGGTATCAGGGCATGTGAGATTATCTAGTAGCTGAGTGGTGTTTCAGTACAGATGGTTCCTGACTTACGATGTACTTAGTACTTTTCAACTTTATTACGATGCAAAAGTGATATGCAATCAATAGAAACAGTATTTCAAGCACCCATACAATCTTTCTGTTTTTCTCTTTCAGTACAGTATCCAATAAATTACATGAGATATTTAATACTTCATTATAAAATAGGCTTTGTATTAGATATATTTGCC
Source organism: Homo sapiens (assembly GCF_000001405.40). Taxonomy (NCBI): domain Eukaryota; kingdom Metazoa; phylum Chordata; class Mammalia; order Primates; family Hominidae; genus Homo; species Homo sapiens. The sequence continues at coordinate 157,763,256 of NC_000003.12, forward strand.
TAACTGTAGGCTATTCTAAGTGTTCTGAGCACATTTAAGGTAGTCTAGCCTAAGCTATGATATTCAGTAGGTTAGGTGTGATAAATACATTTTTGACTTGTTATATTTTCAATGTACGATTGGGTTACATCTGGATAAATCAATCCCCGTCAGGGAGTTTTCTATGTAAGTATAAAGATAGTATACTAAACAACTATCTACAGTGTTCTTAGCCCTGATATTTGCCCCTAGTTTGAGAATATAGTACAATGGCTGCATCTCAAGAATACACTTGAGTTCACTCTTCCCTTGGCTTTCAAAAAGAATCTTAACTTCTCTCTGATCTATAAAGAGGATAACATCACTTGGTCCTTATGCCTCCGTCTTCTTTGTATCTCTTAGACATCCATGTTGAGATGTTGAGTTCTGAGATGGTTAACTTTATGTGTCAATTTGGCTGGATCACAGTGCCTAGATATTTTATCAAACATTATTCTGGATGTTTCTGTGAGGATGTTTTAGGTGAGATTACCATTTAAATTGATGGGCTTTAGGTAAAGCAGATAGCCCTCCATAAAGTGGGTGGGCCTCATCAATCAGTTGAAGGCCTGCACAGAACAGAAGACTGACCTCACCTAAGCAAGAGGGAATTCTGCAGCAGATGGCCTTCAGACTTGAACTGTGGCATTGGCTCTTCTCTGGGTTTCCAGCTTGCTAGCCCACCCTGCAGATTTTGGTCACCAGCCTCCATAATTGTGTAAGCCAATTCCTTAAGATAAATCTCTCTGTTTCTCTAGCTCTCTCTCTCTGTGTGTGTTTGTACATATATATATAATATAGATTATATATAGAGAGACGGATATCCATATATACATATATGGATATCTACATAGCTATATCTATCTATATATAGAGATAAATATGGATCCTTTTGGTTCTGTTTCTCTGGAAAACCCTGACAAGCAGGCAGTTGGACAAACAAGTCCAGAACTGGACATTTGAGACCCATCATTGTATCGACATATTAGTACCACAAAACTAGAAGAGAATGCAGCTGGAAGAGCTCACTGTGATCAAAGCCCTGAGATCCCTACATACAGAATTCTTGTAGAGAAGGAAGATCCAGATATGGACATGAGATAAAGTGGCCCTGAGGTAGGGAAACCAGAAGATTGGTATCACAGAAGCCAGAGAAGCATGTTTCAAGCAGGATGTGTTTAAAAGGAAGAGTGTGTTCAACAACAGCTGCTACTGAGAGGTGAAGTAAGATGAGAATGGGAAATTGGCCAATAGCTTTGGCCAGATATAGGTTGTTGGTGAGCTTAATAGTGCCAATTTAATGGAATACAGGAAGAAAACCAAGATAAAGCAGGTTGGGTAGAAAAAAAGTGGTGAGTAAGTAGAGACACCAATTATAGACAACTCTTTCTGTAAGTTTTGCTGGGATGAGAAGGTAATAAATGGAGAAGTATCTCAAGAGTGTAATGTTCATTTTTGTTTGTTTTTTTTTTAGATTGGTATGCCAATGAGGAATGATGAGATAGAGGGAGAGAGAGAAAGAGAGAGAGAGAGTTGATAATGCAAGGAAGGTATGCAAACATAAAAGTATCCAATACTGGCCAGGCGCGGTGGATCACGCCTGTAATCCCAGCACTTTGGGAGGCTGAGGCAGGTGGATCACGAGGTCAGGAAATCGAGACCATCCTGGCTAACACGGTGAAACCCCGTCTCTACTAAAAATACAAAAAAATTAGCCCGGCGTGGTGGCAGGCGCCTGTAATCCCAGCTACAAGGGAGGCTGAGGCAGGAGAATGGCGTGAACCTGAGAGGCGGAGCTTGCAGTGAGCCGAGATTGTGCCACTGCACTCCAGCCTAGACGACAGAGTGAGACCCCATCTCAAAGAAAAAAAAAATTCCAATATTAAAGTGTTTCAGAAAGTACATTAATATGTAATCATTAAAGGATAGTATTTGCTTCGCATCATCTCAAATAGAATGAAAATACAAGTATCTTCCAACTTTATAATGATGTAAAAGTGATATTCATTCAACAAGGAGGTCTTCCTAATCTAAAAATGCAATATTTCACTGTCACTCTCACCCATGTCTTGAGTTCATAGCCCTTTCCAAGAAGGTAGGTGTAACAGTAAATATAGTATCACTTCTGCCATTCCTGAAGATGGCAGAATCTTTTTAATTTAATGTTCCAGAGACAAAAAAAGAAGAGCATGGTGAGGTAGTGTCTCCAACATGCCCTAGAAGCTGTGCACTAGAATTCCAGTACCCAAACCCTCTCTTCTTCATCACACACCCTGCCAACCCCTGAAATGGAAATGAGATGACAAACACAAGAGACTGGTTGCTTGCCAAAGTCTTTATCCCATCAAAAACTTGAGGGCATGAGTAACATGGAGAAAAACTACTCCACCATATGCCACTCACATCTACACAAGGTCTGAAATCTGAGAATTTCTTTCTGAATTTTCTTTGCCCAGATAGAAAAATGATGAGAAAATTGTAGGCTGACTGTTGCAGAGTAAGAGGCTCCAGTGATCCCCACATAGGTAGCCAAGGGTTAGACAAAGTATGCATTTTCTTGAATTTGATGAAGAAATAAATGTCCAGCTTTTGCTGTCTTTGTGATATAGAAGAATTCTGATATAATTTGTGGAAAATTAGAACTATTAATAGAAGCGAGACGTTTTAAAAAGCCATTGCCTTTGTTCCCTTGAAATGAGTGACACTGGTTAGCAAGATTATTCCATTTGAAATAATTAGGTTTCTGGTTCCTGTAATTTAGGTCTTACTTGTCACTGTAAATTATCTAAATTGTTATATATATATATATATATATATATATATATATATATATGTCACGTCAATATGACTAAACATTTTTAAACATTATATTCAAAGATTATATTTATTTTCTAATAAGAAAAAAGTAATATATTTCTAATATTTCTAATATATTTTGACAAAAATTAAAAGAACATTTACATAATTTTTTATTGTAAGATATTGCTAATATCACTTTGGTGAGGTTATAACAGATTTAAACTCTTGTGTGCTTGAATTTTCATCTTGTCAAGGAGATTTTAAAAGATCATTGAACATACTATTAACTAACTTTAATATTTGGAGGACAGAGATGTTTTCATCTATGGTGGTAGTGTCCCTTGTTATAACCTTTCAGATCTTACTAAATCCAGTTTTGACTGTAGGGAATTAATCTGATTCCATTATTTAGCCATTAAAAGGAAAGCACTAATTCCTTTCACTGAAGTTGAGCGTCAGACATTTTTTATTATATTTAATTACAACCCAATTGAGTCCTGGGACACTGCTAGCCCACTGATGGGCTTCTAATGTTATTATTAATTTAATAATAACTTTTATTGAGCACTTACTCCTTATTCCATGCTAGGTACTAAACTGCATACTTTACATACATTACCTTGTTTAATCTTCTAAACAACCACATGAAGTAATTACTATTTGTGTCCCAAATTTACATATTAAGAAAGGAGGTTCAGAAAGGTTGTGTAATTTGATCAAGATCACACAGTTTGTTACTTGAGCAAGAATTGCAACTAGGGCCTATCTAAGGCCATATAATTATATATTGAAATAGAGAAGTTCTCTATCCCAAACCTGATAACCCTGGAGCATAATCTTACTAGATGATAAAACCTACTCATTTTAGCCACTCAATCTCTAAAAATTTGCTGACATAAGGGGTGCTTATGGCCACTTCCTATGGTATTCTTCATTGTTCTTTATTGTTCAAGGGTGGAATAGGGTCAGCATGTAACTTACTGCAAATGTGCATATGAGTAGGTAAGAGTTGCTCATCCACCCAATCAACTGCTGTTTAGTAATAACTATCTAGTATTTACTAAGCATCACCTTGTGCCAGGGACTGTGCTAGAATGAGGAACAGAACAGACAGAGGCCTCATCCTCAACAGAGCTTTCTAGCAAATGGATGAAGTACAAATTAAACCAAAAATAAGTGAATATAGTAAGTACTTTAAAAGGGAAAAAAGCTGATATCTATGAAAGGCAATAACCAGTACTTGGTTATTCTATATTAGGGGATCAGGGGAAGCCTCTACAAAGAAGGGGCATTTGAACTAAAACCATTATATATAAAACCATTATACCCCCAAAGAGGTGCAGATGAATAGACTCTGTGTAATTCACTCATTCAATAAAATTTGTGGAAAACTTATGTGCAAAGCACTGTGCTAGCTTCAAGAATGGCATCAGTGAACAAGTGAGAAATGGTTCAATCAAATATTATGTCTCACTGAAGATGTAGGAAATGTCTCTAGGAAAAAAAAAAAAAAACTTAAAAGAGAAAGGAGCTAGTGAATGTAATACCTGTTAGTAATATGTGCTTTTTCCTCTGGTCAATTAAGATTACTTGAGACATACTCAGTGCAAAAACTGTGAGTCATAGTGCTATGCCTAGAAAGCATTATCATTAAGTTCTCCAAAACAAACACACAAAAAACCCACCCACCAGTATTTAACATGTTGCACTCATCCAATCAGAAGTTAAGGAAAATAAACTATCAGGTTTCTAAAAATTAAACCCATCCTGGGTCATGGTACAGTGCAACACCCACACATAGATTTCCTACAGGTGGTGCTGCGCAGCTAAATTATTTCAGGTAGACTTCAGTGGTGGATTCACTTTGAACCACAAACAGAGAAACATGTTAGCAAATCATTTCTTTCAGCCTCAATGTTAGCCATTGTTGGTAACATGCACAAGTGTGTGGTAGCTGGTAGCCTAGTGATGTCAAATGTCATTTGTTAGATATCATTAACTATGTAGACTCCAAATAACACCTATTTCCATAGTTCTATCGTTTTGATTTTTGTTGTTGTTGTTGTTTTTTGATTTGTTTTTTTTGTTTGTTTGTTTGTTTGTTTTGGAGACAAGGTCTTACTCTGTTGCCCAGGCTAGAGTGTGGTGGTGTGATCATGGCTCACTGCATCACTGCAGCCTCAAACTCCAGAGCTCAAGAGATCCTCCTACTTTAGCCTCCCAAGCTTCTGAGTAGCTGGGACTACAGGAGTTCACCACCATGCCTAACTAGATTTTTTTTTTATTTTGTAGAGACAAGGGTCTCTTTATGTTGCCCAGGATGGTCTCCAACTCCTGGGCTCAAGTGATCCTCCCACCTTGGCTTCTGAAAGTATTGGGAATACACGTATGAGCCACTATGCCCAGACTGTGATCCTCCCACTTTGGCCTCCAAGAGTATTAGGATTATAGGCATGAGACACCATGCCCAGCCAGTTCTGTCATTAAGAAAGAAAAATTTGGCTGGGCACGGCAGCTCATGCCTGTAATCCCAGCACTTTGGGAGGCTGAGGCGGGCGGATCACGAGATCAAGAGATTGAGACCATCCTGGCCAACATGGTGAAACCCGGTCTCTACTAAAAATATAAAAATTAGCTGGGTGTGGTAGCGTGCGCCTGTAGTCCCAGCTATTCAGTAGGCTGAGGCAGGAGAATTGCTTGAACCCAGGACGCAGAGGTTGCAGTGAGCTGAGATCATGCCACTGCACTCCAGCCTGGCGACAGAGTAAGACTCGGTAAAAAAAAAAAAAAAAGAAAGGAAAGGAAAGGAAGAAAGGGAAAGGAAAGGAAGAAAGGGAAAGGAAAGGAAGATTGATTCTTGCTTATGATGATCATATATTACCAAGGGTTCATTTTTCCTCTAGAGGTTATACACAGACCATTTGCTTCAAAGAGGGTGCCTCTGTTGGTTGAGGGTTGTTGCCCAACTCTCCCTAGGTAATTTTGAAACAAATAAATAAACCAGCCAGATAATGAACAAAAACAAAACAAAATAAAAATAAAAATTCACCCTAGAAATAAAGTACCAAAGAGCTATTAGGCAGCTACCTCTTTCCTTAGTAAAATACTGCCCAGGTCCTCTAAAGTGGGCCCTGAAGAGATAATTCCATGCAGTGGTGAAACAGCGCCAAGGCCCTGGCATTGCCTCTGAGATTCCCCATGTCCCTGCACCTTGAGCCTTGGGTATTTTTCGCTAATTCCTGCTGCTGCCACCCCCTAATCCAAGGGGCATTGCTCTTTTAACATTCTGGACTTGGTATAGCCCAAATCCTCCCCTTAAAGCCCAGCTGAGACCAGGCCAGGACATTTAAGGGAAATGTTAGTTGTTTTAAGCAATTAAGGGGAAGAGGCTGAAACAGAAACATGTAACCAAATCTTTTATATAGCTTGCAAAATACGGCTTGTTCTCCTGGGTTCAGATCCATTTCATCTCAGCCCTAACTCTGCCTCCTTGTGGTAGATGACTTCCTGGTCCCCACCATTCCAGAGCACATTCCAAAAGAGTAGAAATGGCAGAAGAGATACTATCCCTGCCCTTGCAGCCTAAGTGTCCAGTGCCTGATCATCCAGTTCAGGGTAGGCCTTTTTCCCTAGGGACTGAAACCTGGGATGACACCTCCTTCAAGAACAGATTACTCTCTACTTACAGGGTGAGGCCTTACCCTCAGGCCTAAACAGGACAACTACATAGGAACAAACTTTGATAATGTTCATACAAGTAGACCTGGTAAAGAACAGCAGGAAGATCACTTCAAAAAAAAAAATGTCCTTGAGATGAGGGATAAGGGAGGCAGATTGGTAGGCACTGCCATGCAAAGCTAGCTTTAAGGAGATGTCCTGGGATATCAGTGGCCAATTCTTTGCTGTGCACCACCAGTGCACAACATAGCAAGTAAACTTTGAGTTTCAGGGAAGCCCTGGAGAAGCCCTGGAAAAGGGCTCTTTATGGCTCTCTGAGCCAGTGATGTTGGCTGATACAGCTACATTCTGCCTAACATCCCACTTCCCCAGCATCATCACCAAATCTGAAAAATTTGTGTAACAATGACTTTCAGGTGTATCGCTGGACACAGTTCAAATTTATCCCAGAAAATAGACTCTCCAGAAAGATTATAGGGAAGTGACACGGGATGCATCAGGGCACACAACGTTGGCTTCCTCAGGGACAAGATTTTTATGCAGTCAAGAAGAAATGAGGGAAATCACTGAAGAAACAAAAGTCACCCTTTGTCCCATGCATCCATTTCTCCCAACAACCCACCAAGTCTCTGCCCGTAGTAACTCAGAGGAGATAACTGACAACAGCTCAACTTTCCAGGTTGTCAGAGGTGTTTATCTGCTAAGTATTTCTTATCAAAAGGATGTGTAGGTGTCATAGTGACTCCAGACAGCAAGTGTCCTAAGACACTTCTGATGCTCTCTACAGACAGTGAGAATGGGCTTGTAAAAAACCAACTCAAAACTCTTTAGGTGTGGTTATGTGCATGTATTTCTGTGCAGAATGTTTATATGAAACAACTCCTATCTTACAAAAAAAGATCATTGCCATCAACTCTTTCTTTCTACTTTAGACAGAAGATACTTTGATAGGAGACCTTACTGGGTCTCCTGAAATATAAAACAAGTAAACTAAACATTAACAAGATCTTAAGAGGAATAATAAAGCCAAACCACACTGGATAAGGATCACAGCATGATATTCCAGTAGATAACTAGTAATAACAGAGTCCAGTGGCATCTGGAAGGCAGCAAAGGAGATCATGACTTGTACTATTTCCATTCTGTTCTACAGCTATCCAGTCAAAACATCTGAAGTCATTCTGCGAATCTAACATATAAAGGGCCTCTTTTCTCCTTGATGTGGGGCTGTGCAAAATTCATGATCTAAATGCCAGAGAGAATAACTATGTTAAAAACTTAGTCTCTAAGCCAGAGGAAAGGAAGAAGTTCTCTGATCTTGACCAATTCCACACGTGGAATATGTATCATCCAACTAAACTCTGATGCCCAAATGGCTTTGCCTACTCTTTTGAGAACAAAGTGAAAAATGACAGATAATCTTCATCAAAAACAGAAACTCCTTTTGTGGTTCTTCATTTAAGTCAAATGATCTCAGTATTGTTGGTATTATTAGTAATGAGTACTTAATAAGTACTTTTGAATATGAATGTTTTTATCATCAGAATATTATGAAAAATGATAAATCTCCATGTTCTTATTAAAAAGTTCAGCTAATGAAGTATTCTGGGAGTATACATAAGGCAATAGATACAAGCACTTTTTGACAGTAAGCATCACATATATTAAAGTATTGTATTGTTTTACTATCATCATTATGTTTGGGTGTGATTTAAGAGCAGGCTAATTTCCCTGGGTATTGATTGACTCAAATTTAAGTGGACACTAATTAATAAAATACAATTTTAACAGTGTCTCCAAGGAGAGTTCAAATAATATATTTTTTTTTCCCAGGCCTTGGTCCAAAAGTAGCTGGAAACGGGTATGGCCTACTGATTACTAATGCTACTCCTGTAGATCTGTCTGCCAACTACCAACTAACTAAATTTCTTCTTGGCTTGTAAAAATTGGGGATTGCACAGCCTAAAGAGATATCACTGTAGGCAGTATGTATGCTGGGGGAGAGGTGAAGCAAAGATGATAATTTACCTCAAATAGTTACAACAGTTGGAAAAAAAAAAGTCTTTGCTTGCAACTAGGTAACTCCTAAGTATTTTCAAAGGACCCAGCCAGACAATCACCACTCACATAACACTTTCCAATTTTTCCCTGCCAAAATTCCTCCTCACTTGGTACCTTTTAAATTCTCATTTATATCCATATTCCTCCCTGTCTGGACAGTTGTCGTATAAAGCAGGCGGAGTTGGGGAAGAAAGGGGCAATAGGCTGCAGGAAACCGTAGCTGCACCTGCCCATGTTTTTAAACAGAAGAAAAAAATAATGAAGTGTCCCTTTGTATTACAGGCGTGCAGGATCCTTTTTTTTCTATTTGTGTGGCATGACTTTGGCATTCAAAGAAAGCTGGTGATCAACACTCCACCCCATCACAAAGGCTTCAGGCAGCACCCACTGCAGCCAAAGGCCCTCTTTCTCTGCTCTCTCTTTTCATGGTTTTCATGTCATATGGCTGTCAGGAGCGTGCAGTGAAATCAGAAACTAAAGAGTCCAGAAAGGACACACCCTTCTCCAGGAAAGGAGTTCCCAAAGATGATATTTCACTCATTTGGCCACCTCTGCTTTTAGGATGTGGACTGTCTCCCACAAAACAAGGAGGAAATGTGGGTTTCAAAGCTCAACAACAAATAGGGTTGACATTGTCAGTGTGAAGGAATGTCAAGGTGAAGCAATGTGTTCCCAACCACAATGTGTTCATGCGCACACTGACTCTTTCCAGGTCCAGCTCTTTAAATCTTCTCTATGTTCCATTTTTAATGAGCATCCTCAATGCCTGTTACCTATAAACTGCCACATCACTGAAATTCTCAGAAGGAAAAAGCAAGATTGTGATTGTAATCATTCACTCCTATGTTATCTGACCATCAAAATCTCATATTTTTAGTGAAAAGAATTCATCAAGGTTTCAGGGACTTTATAGAGGTTTATAAGTAGGAAAGTGAGGCTGTACCTGTTCAAATCTTGGGTCTTTCTGTAAGACAAAATGAACTGTGGTCCCAGCTCTACCACAGGCTTGTGCATAAACCTTGAGCAAGTGTGTGTATGCCTCCCTCAGTCTCAGTTTTCTCCTGTAGAAATGCATAGCCAGACTGAATTGTCTCTAAGGGTTCCTTCCAGCTCTGAAATTCTATAACCTAAAATTATTACATAGATGATATATTTCAATACTTAGAAGAAATTAGAAATATCAAGGGGAAAAAAATCTCTTATTTGAACATTTCTAAGACTTGGAACTCTAATTTCATAATAACCTTAAAGGCTTAAAATCCTGCCAATATTCCCAAGTTTATGTCTTTGTCGACCAGGGATGGAAGAACTAGAAGTGTCTGAGAAAATCCCAGTTTACAATGTTCTGCCCAGGGGAGTTTTATTTTTCTTAATCTTTTTTACTGATGTTAATTTTGAGGAGAATTGGGTCCAATTGTTTCTGAGTCATTTTGAAACTCAACAAAATCAATTTAGTTCCAGTTATTTGCTGTCTAATCCCAAACTCGAAAAGCTCATTTCTCTTTCAACTAGGCATTCCCTTGCCATGATTAGATACTAAAAGGTACAAGACCAAAATCTGGTTTTAGACATGGAGCCCACTGAGTCCAAAAGATTCTGAATTTGCCCAAACTTTCTTTCTCTTGACTCAGACTACTTGGCAGGCTTATATTGGGAGCATGACTGTCCTTATAGCCAAACTATGAAGTCTGCTTTTAGAACATTTGACCCAGCCTACCCTTTCTTCTCCAAAGATGTTCCTATCCTGGGCCTTCAGGAGGACATGGGTTTTTCTCGTAACATCTCCAGGCCAACCTACCATCACTTTCTGGCTTCCTTGAACCTTCATGAGGGTGGCATCACATGGCAGTTGTGTTCATTCTAAATTCCTATAGAGGGAAATTGTTAGCTAAACTTTCCCAGAGCAAGGATATTCTCTGTCTGGTTCCCATGGGCTCTCCGGTGCCAAGGTAAAGACCAGGCACACAGGAGGTGTCCAAAACATATTGGTAGAATGAATACGGCTGGGTGCAGTGACTCACACCTGTAGTCCTAGCAATTTGGGAGGCCAAGGCAGGTGGATCAGCTGGGGTCAGGGGTTCAAGACCAGCCTGACCAATATGGTGAAACCCCGGCTTTACTAAAAATACAAAAATTAGCCGGGCATGGTGGCAGGTGCCTGTAATCCCAGCTACTCCAGAGGCTGAGGCAGGAGAATTGCTTGAACCGGGGAGGCAGAGATTGCAGTGAGTCAAGATCACGTCACTGCACTCCAGCCTGGGCAACAGAGCAAGACCCCATCTCAAAAAGGAAAAAAAGAGAGAGCAAGAGAGAGAGAATGAATACACTCTACCATGAGGTGATACACACTGGAATGAAAGAAGAAGACTTACGAAAAGAATAAAATCACAGCCTCAATCCTTTAAGATTGAGCATTAGGAATTACTCCAGAAACAATTATTTTCTGGAAAAATAAGTGATCGATGTTTTATAGTTTTTCTGATTGGTAAAATTTGAATGAGAATTGAAGATTTCAAGCATGATAAGCAGCTCTGACTAGTTTAACCAAGAAACATCAATAGCTAAAGGATACTATAGAATCTCTTATTTTATCAACAGTTAGTTACGTCTATGACTGCATTAATCACTCTGATTTGTGAAAAACAGTCACTTTGACTACTTATCTTCATTGAATTGAATTTTGCTAATTGTTTTAGTGACTGTCAACAGAAACAAAATCATTTTTTTGCAACATTTCTCTTTTTTCTCAGTCAATAGTTTCTGCCTTTAGTTGGCACTCAGTTATTCAGCAGATAAACCAGAGCCTTGTGCCTTGTGTGCCAGACCCAGTTCTAGGCCCTGGAGAAACAGCAGAGAAGAATATGGACCCAGTCCCTGTCCTCATAGAACATACACTTGATCAGAAAGAGATGAATAATAAATAAACAGTTACATAAGATAATTTTGAAAAGTAAGAGCTCAAAGAAAGTAAGGTAAAAGGAAGCTGGTGCAGGTGAGCAGGCCACTGTGGGTCAGATGGCCAGGGAAGGCCCCCTTGAGGAAGGAACATTTGAGCTGAGACTTGGGAGATGACCAGGCAACCCACACAGAGATCTAGGGAAATGGCATTCCAGATGGAAGGAACAGCAAAGGCCAAACCTACGGAAGAAAGAAATTTCAAGTATTTGAGGGATTGAAAAATAAGGGCAGTGTGGGAGACAGAGATGGTGCAAGAAGAGTTTGAGAGCAAGCACAGCAGGACCCTGCAGGGTCTTATGGGCCGTAATGGAGCACGCATTGCAGGTGTGAAGTTGGAAGTGCCTAACACAATTAAAGACCACTCTGGCTGCCATGGAGGGTGGATTGTAGGTGGGCGTGTGTAGCAGCTGTTCAGGTGTGACATGAGAGTTCACAAATTCAGGTGATGGCAGTGGGGACAAAGCAAACAGTAAGAAATACCTCTGATAGGGAAAGGCAACAGGATTTGCTGACTGATTGACTACAGGGGGAAGACTCAGAGCGATGCCTCATTGAAGTTAATGAGATCTACTAATTAGGATAGCATTTTACCATAAACAAATTATTAAGCACTTTTCCTGCCAGTATCACTGTCCTGCCTTCAGGAATAAGGCTTAAAGATCATTAAAAAGGAGCCTGACAGGAGTCAGGGGACCTCTAATAATTTCTAACCATGGGGAAGGGAACTGCAGAAGTCAAGCTGTAATAATATGTCACATTTACAAAGCACATTGCTGTTTACAAAGTACTTTCATATCTGTGGTCTCCTTCACACTTTTATTTTTCTTCTATTTATATGACATTTCCAAAGAATGGAGTCATTTAGTAGGCTGATGTATTCACATAATAAAAACTGCATTCTGATGAAGAGTTTGTGACCACTCCTCTGCCTGTTATAATTTAGGAAGATTTTTTTTCTCCTAAAATCTTGCCTAATGACCAACTCATCTTCTAACAGAAATAATTTTTAGTAATTTAAAAGACACATTTTCATTATCTTTTTGTTTCAGTGCTGCCTGGAAATTACCCTGACCAGACATAAAAATAAGATTCAATTGGATTTTTAAGAATTTCAGCATTATGAAAGCTTTGAAATGATTATGCTTTTCTCTGAATGAAAAGGAAAGTCAGATTGTTATGTGTGAATTAATTAGGGCCATAACCTCCCAGGCCTGCACACAGATCAAAGCAGGTTTCTGCCCCAAAGCAGGCTGAGGGTGGGAGCTGTTTCCAAACAAGGGCTGTGATCTTTCCAAGTATATGGCCATGACCCTGTCTCAGCCAGAGAGAGCACTCGCCACAGGGCTCCGGAGTCTTGGACAAAGGTACTTGGTGGATGCTGCTTCTTCAGAAATGGAGCCAAGCAATATACCCAACCCATGTATTGTGAACCATGGGGAAAGGTAGCATGGCTGCAGGGAAGTGGCGCCCATGAGAATATACCTCCTAGACATCCCTTCCCATGAGAAATCCACATAAAGGAGAATGATCGGGGATTTTGGAGTCCAACTACTTGTCTTTGAGTTCTGGGTCCATGATGAGAATTCAGCCTCCTCTATGAGAGGGAGATAATCCACTCGTTACAGGGTTAACGAGAGGCCCAACCTGTAATGCTCTTTGTAAAATAGATGTGCAAATGATTGTTGTGAACATGACTAAACTTATCAAAGGTTATCTTTATTACATTTTATTATACATGAAAAATAAGCTGAAATTTATTGATAATTGTTCTCACTGATCACTCTGCAAGTCAATTTCGTGACCATTTACTAAGGTATGGTCCTGCATGTGTATATATATATATATATAATTCCTGTATATATATATTCAAAATGATACCATTTGAGTGTTTACTAGATTAGATAAAGTTTTTAAAAAATGTGTGTGGATGTAAACACAGTAGAAAAGCCAGATCCTGGCTATTTCATAATTATATCTGTTTCTGACTAATCATCATCACTTTCTATTGAAAAACATTTAATACTTCACAGCACTTCAGGACAAGACTTTGCTTTCAACATGAAGGTGTTGCTGTCATTCCTTATTTTTTCCTTGCTTTGTGATTACAAGTGCTGATCACAGCTCAGATCTTTGTAAAAAAAATAAACCTGCTATCATAGGTTGCATGTAATTAGTTCTAAATGTGTGGCTTATTTACAATAGCAAACTCTACATTAGGCACCACACACACTTAAAATGCCAGATATTGCCACATTTTTATGACAGCCATTAACTGAGCCAACAGCAGCAAATATTTAATGTGACAGTTATATTAACATACATCTCTGCTGATAAAGAAGCATGTCTTGTCATTTGCATTGCATGATGCAATGCTGAGCTGTATACTCCGACAAAATGATGTTCTTCTGCTTGATCTAGAAAGCCTTGAGGAAACATGGAGTTTCTGAATCCTCTACCATGTTCGCAAGTGAAGGAGAAACATTTTCATTCAGATACCGATTGAACAACACCTACCTATGGTAAGCACATCTCTCATTTGACACATGTCTCTGGACCTCTGACTAAATGTAATTATAGGACATCGCCTTTGGAGCACTGTAGTTTGAAGAACAGAAATACCCTTTTATTCCATGACTTGTTTCAAAAGGTGGTTCCAGGGCCAGTGTGATGGTTTGGTGGGAGTAAACACACCTACATTTAATATTTAAGATATATTCCCCATCATCCTGGATATACTAAAGATCAGCCACATTGTTCCTTCGGCCATCCTGCTTTTAATTCTCTAAGTAGGAACTTGGTACCCAACTTAAAATGTCCAACTGCTAAAGATGTCCCTACAGTTGGATTCCAAATGTCTTTGTTTTATTCTCTGGTATTCAGGAAAACTATTTTTCCAGAAGCATTATATTACAAAGCCATAATTATCAGGGATTATTTTCATTTAAACATATGTTGTGTAACTCTGACAATGGCATGTTAATATAGGTACCCTTTTTAGTGCCATGTCCTGATGGTTTCCAATCTATACTGAACATTTTCTGGTAGTAACTGCCAGTGTTAGATATCAAGGTGGTACACCTGAGATGCATAAATTGACTCTACTTAGAGGTATTGATAATAACTTATGTGAAATGACCAATTTTTAAGCTGAGGAAACATGTCATGAATCAAGACTAGATGAACAGTATCTCTCTCCACATTGCATATACCATCTTCTGCTGATCCCAGCAACACTTCTTTCATATTAGTTTACAGTAGGAGCTGCAAACTCAGAGGCCTACAGGGATCAGACAATAACACAGATGACTGAAGTGGGCCAGATATAAAGTAATAAGAAGTGGTGGGGACTGTGGAGAAGAAAAGTGAATGAGCAATCTAAAATGAGCAGCTCTACAGTTAAAACAGATGGCTGCCATGAAAGAGAGCAAGTCCAGAGCTGTAGATCCTCTCATTGTTTGAGAGGAAGGAAGTCCAGAGTTTTATGAGAAACAGCCCCAATTTTAAATATTGGCAACCAATTTATCTTTTTTATTTCCTGGGCTGGCTAAACAGAACCTATCTACGGGCACAGTTGGGTTCATAGGCCAACAGTTTGCAAGTGTAGCACATGATATTTAAGAAACACACAACCACCTGGTGTCCGGAGGAGCCTGGATCAAGGCCTGAAAGTCCCAGCCAACTAAGCCAACTAAGCCACTGCCTTCTGCAGACTTTTGTTGCTACCTTACCTACTGCTAATAATTCCCAGTTCTGGTACTAGAAATCATTCTACGTCTAGAATTATTCTCAAGAAGTTGGAATTTAGATTCATGGATCAAAGATCTTTAACCATGTTTTGTAGAAACAGCTAACAAGGAAAGTCTTAGCCAGAGTAATAAGACAAAGAAAAAGAAAAGGCATCCAAATTGGAAAAGAAGAAGTGAAACTTTCGCTCTTCACCAATAATATAATCATATACCTAGAAAACTTTAAAGACTCATCCAAAAAGCTCCTAGATCTGATGAATGAATTCAGCTAAGTCTCAGAATACAAATCAATGTATACAAATCAGTAGCGCTGCTATACACCCAAATGACAAAGCTGAGAATCAAATCAAGAACTCAATCCCCTTTACAACAGTTGTAAAAATAAAATAAAATAAAATTCTTAGGATATACTTAACCAAGGAGGTGAAAGACCTCTACGAGGAAAACTACAAAACACTGCTGAAAGAAATCATAGAGGACACAAACAAATGGAAACGCAACCCATGCTCATGGATGAGTAGAATCAATATTATAAATACTGCCAAAAGCAATCTACAGATTCAATGCAATTCCCATCAAAATACCATCATAATTCCTCACAGAACTAGAAAAAACAACCCTAAAATTCATATGGAACCAACAAAGAGCCCAAATAGCCAAAGCAATACCAAGCAAAAAGAACAAATCTGGAGGTGTTATACTATCTGACTTCAAACTATACTACAAGGTTATAGTTACCAAAACAGAATGGTACTGGTATAAAAATAGGCATGTAGATCAATGGAACAGAATAGAGGATTCAGAAATAAAGCCAAATAGTTAGAACCAACTGATCTTTGAACAAAGCACACAAAAACACAAATTGGGGAAAGGACATACTATTCAATAAATGGTACTAAGAAAACCAGCCACATGTAGAAGAATGAAACTGGATCCCAATCTCTCACCTTATACAAAAAGCAACTCAAGATGGATCAATGACTTAAACCTAGGACCTGAAACCATACAAATCCTGGAAGATAACATCAGAAAAAATTATTCTGGACATTGGCTTAGGCAAAGAATTCATAGCTAAGACCCCAAAAGCAAATGTAACAAAACCAAAAATAAATAGATGGGACCTAATTAAAGTAAAAGCCGTCTGCACAGCAAAAGAAATAATCAGCAGAGGAAACAGACAGCCCACAGAATGGGAGAAAATATTTGCAAACTGTGCATCTGACAAAGGTCTAGTACCCAGAATCTACAAGGAACTCAAACAAATCAGCAAGAAAAAAACAAATAGTTCCATCAAAACATGGGCAAAGGAGATGAATAGACATTTCTCAAAAGAAGATACCCAAACAACCAACAAACATATGAAAAAATGTGCAACATCACTAATCATCAGGGAAATGGAAATTAAAACCTCAATGAGATATCACCTTACTCCTGCAAGAATGGCCACAATTCAAAAGTCAAAAAATGACAGATGGATGTGGTGAAAAGGGAACACTTTTACATTGCTGGTGGGAATGTAGATTAGTACAACCATTATGGAAAACAGTATGGATATTCCTTAGAGAACTAAAAGTAGAACTACCATTTTGTACAGCAATCCCACTACTGGGTATCTATCCAAGGAAAAGAAGTCATTATGTGGAAAAGACACATGGAAGAAAAAGATATGGAACCGACCTAAGTGTCCATCAACCAATGTGTGGATTTAAAATGTGGTATATATACACCATGGAATACTACTCAGCTATAAAAAGGAATGAAAGAATGTCTTTTGCAGCAACTCAGATAGAGCTGGAGGTGTTATTCTACGTGAAGTAACTCAGGAATGGAAAACCAAATATCATATGTTCTCACTTACAAGTGGGAGCTAAGCTATGAGCATGCAAAGGCATAAGAATGATATAATGGACTTTGAGGACCCTGGGGGTAAGTTTGGGAGGGGGTTGAGGTATAAAAGACTACATACTGGGTACAGTGTACACTGCTCAGGTGACAGGTGCACTGAAATCTCAGAACTCACCACTAAAGAACTTATCCATGTAACCAAAAACCACCTGTGCCTCCAAAAACTATTGAAATTTTAAGAAGAAGAAACAGGTAACATGTACTGGACACTATTCTAAATGTCTTATGGGCACTAAAAAATATGGTAGCAACAATCACTGTTAATAGCCCTTACTGGCACCAAGCACTACATGCTTTGTGCATATTAATTCATTTAATCCTCAGAACAACCCAATGAGGCAGGTTATATAATTATCATTCCCCCCTTCCTTTGTAATAAAGAAATTGAGGCACAAAGAAGTAAAGAGTCTCTCCAGGATGATGCAGTTAAATGGAGGTGAAGCCTCAATTGAAACCCAGTCAGTCTCGTTCCAGGGATCATGTTCTCACCACTGTGCCATCCTGCCACTTACCAATGGGTACTTTATGACCAAAACAAAACACCCACAGCTGAGACCCATGGAACTACAACATTCAAGTTCTAAATAATTTAAAGAGTACATAAATGCATGAAAACATCAATAAACATTAGGAAAACCAGGATATAATTCATTGTCAACTGAAGTGAATTAGTATTGCTGGCTCTCTATGTGCAAGTGATTCACCTGTGTTAATATCTCATTTAATCTTCACCAAAATATTATACAGTATATTCTCTTCCCATTCCACACCTGAGAAAATGGAGGATCTCCAGTGGAGGTGTGTCTGATTAAGGAAGTGCAGTAAGGAAAACCACAAAGAAGACTCCAGAGATTATTTTGACTGGAAACATACCACTCTATTTAGAATGAACAATCTTTTCTAATCATGTCGGTATTTGGCTTTGAAGCTATTAATTCCCCTAAGAGAAAGTTTGGGTTGAAGACAAAGAAGAGAAGATGTATATTAGTATCATTGTGGTGGGGAGAGTGGGGAGATGTCCAAGATACACTTGACCCCCACCTCTTCTGAAAGGCTGGTGTGTACAGAAGGAAGAACACAGTCCCTCTAGCACCAGGAAAAGGATAAAATTCAAAGACAGCACACCCCCAAAAAAGAAAGATGCTTTTGGATGAGTGACTTCTGCAAGTTCAAATGAAAGAATATTTCCACTTTCCCTGGTCTAAGAATATGCTCCTATCCAGCAGTTTAGACTGCTGGGACGTCTTGTCTCATGCTTCCCTCCGCTATCCAAGTTCTCCTAATCCAGCTCCAACCCTACACACTTAAAATACTCATCCTTCCTGGTGTTTACACATTTCAAATATTTGTAGTCCATTAAAAAGATATCGAGCTCATGGTAAAATAGGTGTCCACATTTGGAAAGCATAAATCTGAGGCACCGGGGATTACAGACTCTCTTTATACATGTTTCTTAAAGATGAGAAAGGTTTCCTTTGATATTAAACAGAACTCTAACCCTAACAAGCTGTGCATTCTTTTTAGGGTATCCCTCCCAAAGAGAGTTACCAGCCCTCAAGGGACTTCTGGATTGAATGCTATGCCTTCTCATCTCTCCCATTTTAAGTTACGTAAGATCGCACTACATAGCTTCTCTCTGTTGACAGACAGTGACAGGGACTTCTCACAGTCCCAAAGGGAATATGTATCTTCCCTGTCCTCTCCCATAGTCTCTCACATTTGCCTTCCACAGGACCACATGCAAACATACTTCAATGTGTAAGCAAGGCAAACCTTGACAGAGCACAAAATCCCTAGGTTGCCTATGGGAAGTAAGGTCCTGCCATTCCCTAACCCCCTAGCCAGGCCCCAGCATTCCCTTTGGGAACCTGGAAGGTAAATATAGGTGGCCGAGAAGCCATTTACCTTCAGAGCTCCAGCAATTAAACCTTCTATTCCCAAGATGGGGCCCTTCCTCCAAATTAACTCAATGTGGTCCTCCCACTCATTTTTTCCCCAGTGACACTTTTTCCCAGGAAAGGAGCTGACTCATTCCTACAAAGATAGGCATGGCTGGCTGGCCTTTCTTCTTGATATATTTGCCTTAACAGAAGATAATGACCCTGATTTGAAGGAAAGATCTGGTTGTGAACTGAACGAAGAAGGTTTTGTAGAGAATCATAGGATAGATGTAGATATACTTCTTGGGAATTCATGAAATCAGTCTCAAACAAAACGAAATGGTTTTTCCTTCCATTCCATGTAAAAATCACTTCCTCACTAAAGGGAGGGGTAGAATACCTCACTCGCTTCTCTCTTCCAAATCCTTACTCCTCAACATGCCCATCTCTGTTCCTACTCCTAGGTTGCTGAGCATTGGTCAGGGAAGATATATATATATATATAATATATATTATATAATATATATATTATATATGATATGTATAATATATATCATATATAATATATATAATATATAATTTATTATATATATAATTTAATATATATAATATATAATATATTAAATATATATATTATATATATATTATATATATATATATAATACAACCTCAAAAAGTGATGCCAAAAAGGGCAAGGCTTAACACCACTAAGCCTGCCCCACCCCCTCCACTCTGCACAGGGGCTATTGTGAACCTCTACCTTCCTGGCTTTCAGTTGATGCACTCCCCTTCTTCTCCACAAAGAAATAGAGAAGCCCTCATACCTGGGTGCCTCCATTTCCTTCTATCCATGCCCAAATACTCCCATTCCTACCATCACTATCACTCCACCATCTCCATCATAAGCAGCATCACTAGCATTGCTCCAAAATTCCACCAGAAATAGTGACACTCTCCCTCGCAACACATCCTGCCTATCCCACAGGCTGACACCTGTCTCTTCTTTTCCTACGCACTCAGACACCTACAACAACAAGTGTCTCTCCTTATCCTCAATTTTTTTATTTATTTATTTTTATTATTATTATTTTTTTGAGACGGAGTCTCGCTCTGTCGCCCAGGCTAGAGTGCACAGGCTGGAGTGCAGTGGCGCGATCTCGGCTCACTGCAAGCTCCGCCTCCCAGGTTCACGCCATTCTTCTGCCTCAGCCTCCAGAGTAGCTGGGACTACAGGCGCCCGCCACCACGCCCGGCGTTAATTTTTTGTATTTTTAGTAGAGACGGGGTTTCACCGTGTTAGCCAGGATGGTCTCGATCTGCCGACCTTGTGATCCGCCCGCCTCGGCCTCCCAAAGTGCTGGGATTACAGGCGTGAGCCACCGCGCCCAGCCCCTTATCCTCAATTTTTAAAACGTGCTCATCTCTGGCTCCTTCTCTTCAGCTTTACAACATTTATTCTACAAATGCTTTGCCAAACAAGCAAACAAACTCAAATCCACTGCCTTATGGTGGACTCTGACTCTCTGTTGTTTTGTCTTTACAGTACCTCCTAGTTCATCTCTCTGCCTTTAGCCTTGGCCCCAGTGATCCAGGCTCTACACTGCTAGTGCAAGAATCTCATGAAGACAGCAAATCTGATGATGCCCAGACTCTGAGGAAAATCTTTCAGTGCCATCTGCATGAGTTTACTATTGCTGCTTTAACAAATTACCACAAATTTGGTGGCATAAAACAATTCAAATTTTTTATCTTACACTTCTATAGGTTAAAAGTTTGACATGGATCTTACTGGGCTAGAATCAAAATGTTAGCAGGGCTGCGTTCCTTTTATGGAGTCTCTAGAGAAGAATCCATCTCCTAGCGCCTTGCCCAGCTTCTACATGATGTCTGTATTCTTTGAGTCATAGCCTCTTCCTTCCCTTTAGCAAAAGCAGGTTGAGTTCTCACTCTGCCTCATTCTGACTTCTACATAGAAGGTTTTTTCTTTACTCGTTTTGTTCATAGCTATATCCCCAGCACCTAGTAGAAAGTTTTTACTACATGTTTGTTGAATAAATGAAAAAAAATCAAAAACTTAAAAACAATGTACTAAGTGTACTTAATAAATGCAGTTGTTCCACATTCCCATCAGACCTGCAGTGTGAAGACAAAATTAGTACATCCCTTGGCTGGTTCACACATTTTTCAAGCCTCGGTAAATGAAGAAGAATATAAGCTCTGTGGGCAGATAGGCAGATTCAAATTGGTCAGTTACCCCTTATTAGCATGACTTCCGGCAAGTTATTTATCCCATCAGCTTTGGTTTCACCCTCAGGCCAATAATATTAATTACAGGGTTATTTCAAGAAGTGAATACAATGATCTAGGTGAGTAGTCTAGCAATAAGTTAGTGTTAGAAATTATTACTGAGAAAAAACAGAGAAATACACTTTTTAAGGACACAAAGTAAATGAGCTCTCAACTCCACACAACAATGGCAACCACTTGAAAACAAAGACTGGCATCTTCCTCCCTTCTCATCCTAGGAAGCTCACGTCCCATGACCTAGGGAAGCAAGCTAGGTTAATAGCAAAACTAGCCTTCCTTACCTCACCCAAGTGAGGTCTGCTAACGAAAAGATGTTAAACTCATATTTTAAAAAGTCAAGCTTCCTTTCTAAAACTATGTCTAGTTGTAACTATAAAGAACTTAAGGAACATGTTCTATCACGGACTCTGGATTTCATTGTAAAGCACTGGAGGTAACGGGGTTATGAAAGTTATGTGTATGCATTGTTACACTACTATTACTCTCTGGAATTAGTTTCCTACCATGTAGAAAAATGGGAGTGTGAACATGAACGAATCTCCCCTTCTGTTGATTGCTTCAGCTGAACCTGGAGCTGGGCAGCCTGCTTCGCCGGCTCCATAAGTCCCATTTTGTGGTTTCAGCCTGTCAAGGAGGTCACTCACTGATGACTCAGACACACTGGCCTGAAGGTATTTATGTGATCTCCGGAGTCAGCAGAAAGCCTGCCCTCAGAACAAGGCAAATATATCCCTGCTCTTGATGGCTTCAAGCTCTGCAATGGGGGGCTGACCTGACAGCTGCTTGTCCTGAGGGAGAAATAAAGGAAACTGGTGAAACACATGCTATTTCCATGAATTCCCACTCATGTGCTGTTAGAAAATTCAGCTGAGACCCTGACAATAAAGGTTAGACTTGTAGTGTCACAATAGAAAGGAAGGGAACTTTAACTTGCCTTCAGCATACCAAACAGGCTGCACTTCACAAGATCTGTAACTCACTGAACCATCTAAGATGCACCACAGAAAAACTATCAATGGGCATTTGTCTGAATTCATATTTATGGCATCTGTTTGACATGCGGTTTTCATTTAGATGGCAATCCAGATACTGTTTTGCATAAAGTTCTGGCTTTTTGAGCTGTCCATATCAATTGTCTTTTACCAAATATCGAATTTTCAGATGTTTACAGATGCACCAGAAAAATATTTTCAAATCATTCAAAAGAGTGGCATCCAACAAAAAAATCTGAACTGAATGCTAATGAAAATTCTTGGGTTCCATGTAGAAAAATGCTCTAAAATGGGAAAAATATTCTACCCAAATTTACTGCAAAAGTATAATTTTTCTGTCTTTGAGTTACAGTATTGCCCTCCTCTCCTCATTCCTAATTTAGGCAAAAGGCCCATATCAAATGCATTAAATGAGAGTTTAATCATTTTTATAACTAAGTGTAGCTTTTTTAAGAAAAGCTGTAAAAAAATCCCAGTGCAATGACACAAGCATCTCTGAGTCAACTGTTATTTCAGGGATTTATGATAATTTCTCATCTTGAGGAGAAATGAAGCTAATTGAAACAAACTCTATACTTTATATTAATGCCATTTGAATACAGTGTGCATTGCCAGTTACAAAGTGACATGGAAAATGAGGCCGCTCTCAACAACACCATCGTTTCTCAGTTTTATGTATTTTTAAATTTCCTCTATGGAAAATCTGTTCTTCATAAAAGAACTGCTAGAGAAAAATGTGGAAAAAGTTGATTCATTCCATATTTACATTCTTTCTGGTACCTGGAAATGAACCAAATGCAAAAGTATGCCAAAAAGTAGTTGAGTCATTTAGAAAACTCATCTTCCCCCAGGCAAAAGGACAAACTGCCTTGAGAAAGCCCTGCTTTGATAATATAAAACACCTTTCAGCCTAATGAGATCTGTCCTTATAACCTTTTACCCAGGCCTCAAGGAGGCCAGCCTCAAGGAGGCCAGCCTCAAGAAATGGTTAATTTTCTTTATCACACAATCTACCCTGCAAACTCCCTACCAACCTAAGAGAGTCAGTACTACCCAAATTCAAAAATTCCTCCTCTGATATTTGAATAGATGGGGGCACTTAACACAAATACATCCAGCAGCAAAGAAGCACCAAATTACGTACACCACAAAGTTGCCTTCAGTCCTCCCGGCCTGATCTGCTAATGCTATTTGCCATTTCACTTTGAAGAGCTGGGCAAAATAAAAGCAAGGTGTTGCTCTCACGAGGAGAGGGCAGCTGATTCATCCCTCACAGGGCTGCCAGATGCATTTCCCATTCAGCTTGTCATTAACAGCTTCATTTCATTTCATCTGTGATAAAAAACAATTTAGAAGCATGGAAATGACATTACAGTCAGGTTGTCCTGAAACATCACGGCAGTGAGAAAGCTATTACACAATTGAATCTTTCTTTATGAAAATCCATGGTTTTGCCTGAGTTCACAGAGCCATGGAAATCATGGCTTTTGACTTGTACAGGTGACAAAATTTCTCCCAGAACAAAGCAGCCCTTCATAACTCTCACATAGAGGCAAAGTGACCCCTCACCTAAACAAAGGGGGAGAAATCTGGGCCTCCAGAAGGTGGACAAGCCGTGAAAATTTGACTGCCTTTTAGGAATGCCATTCAAGAGGCCTCTCCCCTGCCTACCATTATAGGACCTCAGAAGTTGGTCTGGTGTGTTGGTGTTGGGTGAGAGTCAGGGATGGTCACCTCATTTACCACTACTTGGTAGCAAACTCCTGCTTCTTGCTCTCACCAAGCCAGTTTCCTCTTTCATGCTTTTCTTCATTCAGTTCTCTCTTCTATGTCCACCCCAGCAGCAGTATAGAGCAGAAAGACAACTGGATCTAAATTCATAAAGCCTAGGTTTCTGAATCCAACTTAAGTTACTGTGTAATCTATTAGACTAGATGGTCCTTGAAGCTTCCTCCAATTCCAAAGAATCCACAACTCCATTAATTTATTCAGTGATATATTCACTTGCATCTGCATCCTATATGTGCCAGACACACAGTACTAACTTCTTTAATGTCTACTTCAGATTTTAGCTCCCTCACCTGAGAAATCTTAGTAAAATCTCTCATCCAAAGTCTAGATTGATATACACCACCACCCATTAGATTTTTTTTCATCACACTGCTATCCCACAGAATCCTCCAACTCAATGTACCAAAATTGAGCTTACCAACCCAAACCTGCTCCTCCTGTTTTCCCCTTCTTAGGGGAGAGAAAGATCTCATTCTCCAAGCCAGAAACCCAGGGATCATCCTTGACTCTTCTCTTTCCCTCACTTTCTACACTCCAACACCAAGTGTTGCTGATTCCTCTTCATGAATAGCTCCCACCTCCATTTTCTACTCTTCAGTCCTGCTTACCCGATTCAGGCTCACGATTCTCTTTCTGCATCATAGCAACAGCTACAGGGGTCTTGGGCTTCCCTCCAGGTCCATCCCAATCATTCAACACACTACATCCAGAATAACTTTTCTAATTATGTTGCTCCCTTTGCTAGTCTTCCAACGACTCCCCACTTCTTACACGACCAAGTCCAATATTCTGAGCATAGCAAATAAGACCATCTGGACTTGCCCTCTATCTTCAGCATCACTTGCCCTCTATACCAGCTCTATGAATAGCCAAAGTAAAAGCTTCTACGAGTTGCCCGAATGTGTCACACTTTCTTACTTCTGAGAGTTTGCATATGATGCCTTCCCCTTCCTGGAAGGTACTTTCCCCAAGTCCTTAACTCAACTTCTCCATGTTATTCAACACTCATCATAGACACCATCTTCTCTGGAAAGCCTCTGGTGCCTTATTTGATGTGTTCCCTTAAAATTCTGGTAAGCTCCCTTGATCTCATTCATCACACTGAATAATTGCTTATTTACTTTTCATTTCTTACACCAAATTCTAAGATTCCTGAAGATAGGGAGTATGTTTTGTTCTTTTCCTAAGTCATCAGCATAGCCCCTAGCATATAGAGGTTCTCGATAAATGAGTCTGATAATCCAAGCAAATTTCATCAAAGCCTTTTTTTTTTACTTGTGTTTTGCTCATATTATAAATTTTCAGGAAATTCCATGGCTATGATCTTCAGAATGATGTAGAGAATCTGTATACTAACGCAAACATCTAGAACACAAAATACTAGAAGCTAACTATGAAAATATCACTTCTTTAGACAGGCGAAAAAGGATCATGTTCATATTGTAATAATCATTCACATGGAAGTTTACAAAGTACTTTCTCATATGATATCTCATATTAATATTTTCACACCCATACCCAGCAGCCCTTGCAATTTAAATGTATTACATGAAAAATATTATAACCACAGAAGTGACTTTTTTAGAAAATTAATGGAGTCTTATGACACTGCAAATTCTTTTTTAAAAGAGGCAGAATATGAAAAATTTTAAAAGAACCCACCATCTTAACAAATCTGCTGTTTAATTTTTCTATTTCCCTTTCCTACTTTTATCTGTTTATAAACACAATTTTTATATAGTTGAAGTCACAAAATAGATACAATTTTTACCCTGTTCTTTTTATGTTTTCACATTCTACTTAGTAATTATCATTTTAAGTAATTATAATTATCAAGAGCTGAATAATATTCTACCACAACTTAGGGTGCCAATGACAACTCATAGGCCTTTACCTTTAACCGTCTCTCCTCATAGTCTCAACTGTGTACTGGGCTGTTCTACCTGGATTCCTCATAGAAGACTCACACTCAAGATATATTATGACTAAGTCCATTGTTATCCCATTAACTTCTCCTTAAACCTGATCATCCTCCTATGATCCTGATTACAAGTAATATGGCACCACCACCCTGCAAGTTTTCTTAACCTCTCTCTCTTTCCCATTCCCTTACTTTTAAATCCAAGTCAACAATTCTCATCAACATTACCTTTTAAAATATTTTGAATCTCTTTCCTTGTTTTAACCTCTTTGATATTACCTTTGTTCCTCAATTCTAACTTGAGTATTGGCATAGCTTCCTGTTATTCCCCACTTCGTTCACTTTCCTCCAGACCGCCAAGGTCATCTTTCTAAAATGGATATTGATCATCTCACTCCACTACTTAAATTCACCCAGTGGCTCACCAAAGCTATGGATAGACTCCAAATACCTTAATGTACCATGCAAGGGCCTCAGCAATCTGGCCCTTTCTTACCACTCTGGTTTTGCATCCTGGGTACCAGTGATCCCCATCCTAGTCATACAAAAAGGACAAGATCTGGGCCAGGAGCCTGGGACAGAAGCTGGTGTCACTTCCCTGCAGGCTGCCCCCAGAAAGGAATCCAGTGAAAGCTGAGACTGTTTTGGGGAAAGGCTGGATAAAAATCCTGGCAGACATCCACGCTAGCTGTTGTTTCCAAGACCAGCCAGGAGAAAGGTGCTTGTCTGAAGGCAAAGGAACCAAATTCAGGGAACCCACATGGAAGTGAAGGCAGTTTTAGGACATAAAAGGAACAGCAGAGACCAAAGCAATTCTCTGAATTGAAAAGCAAGCGACTGACACACTTTCACTCAAAAGCTGCAGGCTGAGAGCTTCCCAGGCTGAGTTTAGGACTATAGTTTGGAACTACAATTGGCTCTGAGGCACCACTTAAAGTGCCCCAAGGTGTCAAGCTGTCTCCAAACTACATATAAATGTGCTGTTCCTTCTGCCGAGAGCTCACTGACATTTTATCTGCCTGACAAAGCCACCCTTAAAGCATTGCCTCCTGTAGAAAGTCATCCATGAATCCAAAGGCAATATTAAGTCTAGGTGACATTCTGGGATCAACAGAATGTGAAGTATGTTTGCATTTGGTAGGGAGCATCCAGTTCATCTTTGAACCACAGAAAATCATTAGAAATGCGTATATATATGGAGGAAGCCCTTTTTCATGCCACTTACAAATGGAATTCGCTTTCCCCACTGTGATTTTTGATGTGGTATGTAGACAAACGCTAAAAGAAACTTTAAAAGGCTAGATCAAGATCAGATGACATGCCTAACTGACAGTTCCTGTATATGATCCAAAAGCCATTGATAAACCAATAAACCCTACAAAGTGTCTAAAATTATTTTTAAACTTTTTCAATTTAGTTATACTGAATATGGTCCTGGTTAGTGATAAAATTAGTAAGCCTATAGCCTACCTGCTCATCCTATGGAGTAACAGATGGAGAGACTCGGACCTGCAGCTTGTTGAAAAGAAAGTTAATTTAGAACTTTGAGGAGACACTCAAAAGCCAATTGGATGAATTTGGTTATCACAGGTTATTGCTTTTTGTAAATTAGATTGACTTTTCTTTGTGTCCATTCTACTTTAACTGTATCTGAAGAGTTAAGCCAGGTGAGCCACCACTCAGAAAAGGATCTAAATAGTT
This sequence comes from Homo sapiens, assembly GCF_000001405.40. Taxonomy (NCBI): domain Eukaryota; kingdom Metazoa; phylum Chordata; class Mammalia; order Primates; family Hominidae; genus Homo; species Homo sapiens. Next base: position 157,791,013 of record NC_000003.12, read on the forward strand.
TTGCAGCTAAAGAACTCCCTTTAGTAAGGGCTTTCTTCAACCTAAGAGAAATTAACAAAAAGGCTACAATGAGTATGGTTACCTAGATTTAAATGCACACATTTTGGCTAGCAGTAAATCAGGGAAAACTATTTGTCTCATTATCAAGGGGATTTGGCTTACAGAATCCCTCTCTGGGAAACCATGCTAAGAATACCCTGAGATTTGCCCTCAGGCTTACCAATAGTACCACTTGGGGACAATATTATTAAAGAGTAGAGAAAGGGGTCTTGATTATTTTTTACAGTATTTAAACTGTCCTCATAGAGACAGGCAGGAAGGCAGTAGTTACTTTGATACCCGTAGCCCCTTGATTAGAATTATTATTGAAGTTTCCCCTTAGAATAACCAACAGGTTACTATTTAACAGCCTGAAAATGCAGTTATAAATTAATTTGATCAAATGTTTTCATCTCTGTCTCCAGAGACTAGTCTTGCGGTGAACCAAGAGCCTAGTTCAGATCTCCTGTAGATGAATATTTAGGTGAAATTTTCCTCTGAAATTCAAATTTCTAAATATTGATACACCTCAGAAGAGGTTCTAAATTTCTCAAGGTTGGAACCAGGCATAACCAGCCTACACTTTCTACCATGAGTTACATTTGTGACCAAATAAAAGTTACTGTGAACAGCCAAACTAAAATGGATTCCAAAATATTTAATTTGAAGGAACTCATTCTTGAAAATTTAGCTTCCTTATAAATGAGTTATTTTAAAGGATTGTCAGAAGACTATCAGGTCAGGACATTGAGCTTCATTCGCTATGCAGCTATGTTCCATGCTCCAATGTTGAGACACTGTGAGTTCTGCTCTAGAGAGCCCTGGACATCAGGGGAAATGCAGGCTGGCCTCATGAGGTCTGGCCTTGTATGTTTCTTGTGCCTGCTAATTTTGCTAACCCCATTGTAGTTGCATAAGCCCAGAATGCTAAGCCGAGGTATAGCACTGCCAACCTCATAAACCCTTTAGACCCTTTCCTCTGGAAAGAGGAGAAATTTGAGTGAGAGCCAGCCACAATGCTGACATTCTGTAACAGATGAAAATGGACTGCAGGTGTGTCAGCAACCCTGGGAACCAAAAAATTACCACACAGGGGATTTGTAGGTGAGGAGACTGGACTAGATAACAAAGACATATCAAATACTTACATCTATTATACTTTTGCAACAGACAGTTTAAGAGAAAACAGTTTATTTAGATCCACAATCACATTCTAGAGGTGACTATTTACCTGAAGCAAGAGTATCAATTGCCAACAGAACACTGCGAGGCAACCAGCATCTTGTCTCTTCCAGTATGTTAAAAATAACCAATACTTATAAAAGAATTCAGTGATATTCTATGACCATATCTGTGCCAGTTACCTCTAAGAGCCTACCAAGAATTTATAATCTATTTGGGAAGAGAGCAGCTACATATGAAGCATCAGGGAACTATTAGATTCTTACCTGTACCAGAGTAAACGTTCAGTACTCTCCAAACAAGGTGTATTTATTTTCTATGGTAACAAATTACCACAAATTTGGCAGCTTAAAGAAACAGAAACTTATTCTCTCCCAGTTCTGGAGGCCAGAAATCCAAAATCAGGGCCACACTCCTTACTAAGAATCCAGGGGAGAATTGCATCTTTGCCTCCTCCAGCTTCTGGTGGCTGTAGGCCTTCCTTGGTTTGTGACGACATCATTCCAATCTCTGCCTCCACGGTCACTTGCCTCCTCCTCTTCTGTGTGTCAAATGTCCCTCTCATTTCTCTTATAAGGATGCTTGTGATGGCATTTAGGGCCCACCCAGATCAGCCAGGAAAATCTCCTTATCTCAAAATCCTTAATTGTATCTGCAAAGATGTTTTTTTTTTTTTTTCAAATAAAGTAATATTCACAGGTTCTAGAGATGAGGATTAGGCATATCTTTGGGGTGCCATTTTTCAACCTACCACAGAAGTGGAAGTTCACTGTAGGACTGAGTAGTCAGTTTCCTTCTCATCCTGAGATGATGGATTTTATGCAGCACCTTTAAAAATAGCTAACATTTCAACTGGCAGGCACAAAAAGTTGAGCGAGCATTCAAAGTAGAGGGAAGAGCAGGTGCAAAGACCATCATGCATTTTCAGCAAATGAGGTATGAGGCCATATGTGGTGCCCATGGGGAGTGATTATCACTGCTCACCAATCCCTAATGGAAGGCATGTAGTAATGAGCAGGGTTAATCAGGCTGGACAGGTAGGGTGAAGCCAGATTATGAAAGCACTTGAAATACAAGTAAAGCAGTCCAAACTTGATTTAACAGACAACAGGGAATTATTATGGATTCTTAAATAGGGAAGTACCATGATGGCTAATTTTCTGGGGCCCCAAAGCAATCACTACATCTTCCCAGCATTTACTCTATCCTATCTCATTAGCAAAATCTCAGCCACTGTATTTATTTTCCTAAATTATCTTTTTTGGGGGAAACATTAACAAGAATTCAGTATAATCCACATAATGAAAAGATTTTGCTACTGGATTTATTCTATTAGAAAAATAAAAAATTAAACATAAGCCATATTTGTGTATATATATATATATATACACACATCTGTGTGTATATATACATACATATATTTCCATTACTTTGCTTGAAGGAAAAGCTCTGTTTATGAGCAATTATTTATACATCTGGCTTATAATAAAATCATATTATGCAAAAGAACAGAATCAACTCAAAGATGAAATTCTGATTATAACAATATGGGGGCTTTACAATATTCCATTAGGGAGAAAGGAAATGCTAGTCAGCAACCCAACCAGGAAAAACTATTTTGGTCCATAAATTATGCAGCTTTGTGTTTATTCAATTAAGTTAATCCTAAATGAATCCTTCTGTGAAAACGCTATGTAAACACTGCAACATACAACAGGCAAGCAGTGCTGGGGGATGCCTGCGCAGAGGATTGCCAATTGGATCTGTCCCACCATGGAGCGGCTCCAGTTGCTCATTCGCTCAACTCCACCGACATCTCCAACAGTGTGAGATCAGGTTTAATAAAAACTCCGTCTGGCTCCAGGGCCGCGCAAATCCAGGTGAGGCCTCGCAAGTCCTTGAGACTTGATTGTTTGGGGCTACAGCAACAGAAATTTGATGGAGGTTTTATTAAATCTGTGAGAGACTTAAGAAGCCTCCTATTGCTTTAAAAGGCAATATAGAGTATTGGGAGGGCTGCCCTTCTGGGTACATATTGAAAGTTCTATTGTAGTATGAGGATTTGATAGGCAATTGTCCCTTTTCATGACTCTGCATTGAGTAAAGCAGGTCAATATTGGAATTCATATACACATCTGCATTTGCTATAATTCCATTTCTACATTCACAATAAATAATTGACTTAGCAGGGTTAAAACTAATAGCTATGAGAACCTCTGTACTTCAGGAAAGAATTTTCCCTCTGCAATTTGCCCTGTGGCTGGTATCCTTCTCTAGGCCTTGATGATAGTCACCTGGGAGCTCAGAGTTTGATTTCTAATTGATAGAGAGCTCCATGATATAAACTCAGCTCGTTCTTTTTTTTTTTTTAATCTATAATAGCAATACAGTCAACACTGATTCGACTATTTGGTTACAGTGAAGAGCAAGTGGTGGCCCAAATAAAGGAAACAAGGAAGAGGTGGTAATGGGACAGCTGGAAAACATTATCTACCCCCAAGAAAACAACGCTGGTGGTCAGCTAACATTGCAGGGTTTTGAGATAACAGTACATGAAAAACCTTTGTGATTTTCTTCTCCCAAAATGTGGGTTATGTTAAAATTCCATGAAACTAAGATTTTAACTTGATGCCTTTGGATACCAACAGAAACATATTTTCAAAATGGTATTCATTGTAGTAATTTAACCTCTCTAAGTCATCTGGAAGACACAACAATTTGGAAATCACCAATGGTAAATAAGGTATTTTGTTTTTCTTTCTGCCGCTACTATTTAAAGTAGGATGACTCACAGCCTCTTGGAGCTAGTACACTTCTATCATGAAATTTTTTTTAAAAGGAAACAATAAATACATAGTAGTCTCACAAGGAGATATTTGGATGACTTATTAAAGCTCTAATCTCTACCAAACTTTGGAAATATGCATGGTCAATCTAAAAGTGCTAATATAAAAAGTCACTGAGTTATAAAACTAAGGAAGTATTTTGGATTACTTTGAATAGAAGGATGTGCAATTGTGGACCTTAATTAAAATTTGTGGATCTCACAAAAAGAACCACACAGTGCCAGCAATTCCATGTCTCAGGCCCACAGTCAGCTCAGTATTTTGCTACCACTAGTTTTCTCCATTTTTTTTTAATAGCATGTAGTAAGTGAACAATAATAGAACTGATTCTGAAGGTTATTTAAAGCAAGGCATTTGTAGGTGCATAGCTGTCAGATTTTTGAAGAATAATTCCAACTATGTCTTAAACTAAAATTTTGTTATTCTCCTGCACAGTAGCATAAAACAAAATGTCCCACAGCAATTCAGATTGAAGTTCCTTGTGCTCAACGTCCAACAATAAAGGGAACAATCTTTAAATAACTTAAGTAGTTATTTTAAAACTGTCTCCTTTCAAAAATATGTTATCCAACGTCTGAGTCTTTCAGAAGTTAAATCTTTGAGAAATGAAATGAGGAATCTGGCGATTAGAACTAGGGTACCATTATGGCCTTGGTCAGATATGGACACTGCAATTTTTCAGATACAAAAAGACTGCCAAGTAAGTCTAATAGTTTCCCATTCCACACCCCCCCACCCCCGTTACTTTCTCTGTCTCCTCTCTGTGTGTTGGGTGATGGAGGAGCAGTGAGTGTGTGCATATACACATGTGCCTGGGTGGGTATGATAAGTAAGCCTGTGTCTGTCTTTGATCTTAATTTTCCCAATCAGGAGGATGAAAAGAAGACAGATATGGTGAACCCTAGAGGGACAGTTTTTTGTTTTAAAAATGTTAACTGATGTAGATACCATTCAGGTCCTGTATTTTATTCAAAATTCAGAAAGGAAGACTCATTCCACCTGTGAAGGAAATGGGCACTCTCACCCCATAGAAAGCCTATGATTCGGAAAATGTGAACACTAAGGAGGACCATTTGGAAATGTTTTTGGTCTTGCTCCAGTGCCTGCAGAGGCTGTGATGGATATGTTGGCTGAAGGCTCTTCTGACTTCCACCCCAAGCCACCACCTTGGTACACCGCTGCTGCTCCCTCCCTGAAGTATTTTCAGGCCATGGACAGGGATCATCCACAAAAAGTTTTTTGCTCTTATAAATGTTATTGTTACAAACTTGTAAATGAGTGAAAAAAAAGAGTTGTCAATAGCCCTTCATATGTTTGTTTAACAAATATTAATTTCCTGTCACTCTGTGCTCTAAATAAGATGGAAACAAAAATATATACAACAGTGCCAGTCCACAGTGCAAACATCAATAAACAACAAGCCAGGCCACTGAATTGCTTCCTCCACGTTGTTAATAATGTTATCATCGTTTATTACTAGTAAACTTTTGACATAGAACCTGGTTCTGTTTGGCCCATGAAAAACAAGGCTTCTATGACCTAAGTGGTATAACCTCAGATAGACAGTTCTGCTTAGATAACACCCAGGATGATGATTAATCCAAGGAAGAGCAGAGTACAGCTGGTACAATGTCTACCCCTTCCACCATACTCACCCACAGCCTTATTTTTAATCATTTTTCTATGATTCAAATTTAAAACTGGAACAAAAATATTACTAGTTTTTTTTAAGTTGTTTGAGGACACAGAACAAGTGTCACTTTCTTCATGTTCTCCTGTGCCTAATGTGGTGTCTTACACAGAGTAGTCATTTAATAAGTAGTTAAGTTGACTTGGACCTACTCCATTTTCAAAATATCTAAACAATGACTAAAAATAAATTGTAAATCTTAGGAAGAAAGCTCTGGTGTAATAAGAAGCCTACCCACTCTAATTTAAGGGGAAAAAAGGTGGGTAAAAAATTTCAACATAACTACTCCTCAAAATCAATCAGTTTATGAATAAAATGTATCTTTGTTCAACAAATTCATCTATAAACATAGTTATTAATTCATTGAGTGCACATATATTTTTTTGAGACAGAATCTCACTCTGTTGCCCAGGCTGGAGTGCAGTTGTGAGTCAGAGTTGACTCACTGCAGCCTCTGCCTCCTGGTCTCAAGCGATTCTCGTGCCTCAGCCTCCCAAGTACCTGGGACTACAGGCATATACCACCACACTTGGCTAATTTTTTTGTATTTTTTAGTAGACACGGGGTTTCACCACATTGGCCAGGCTGGTCTTGAACTCCTGACCTCAAGTGATCCACCCACCTCAGCCTCCCAAAAAGCTGAGATTACAGACATGAGCCACCATGCCCAGCCACATATTTTCATTAAACACCTACTATATACTTGATCTTTTACTAAGGTGTAGAGTTTTAAAATGTTGTCATACAGAGAGATGGGTAAGAGATGGATAGAGAGATAATGATGACATCAAAGCTGTCACTAGGTTATCATGGTCCTTTCTGCACAATGGTTTAAACCTCACAGAAGGTAGAAACGTCATGCACAAGACCAAGTTTTGTACTTCCTTGCTGTAGACTTGCTTCTTTCTTTCTCACTGGCTTCATGTTCTCAACTCACACTCAATTCCTTTCTCTCTAGCTCTAGGTTTCTTTCTCCCTGGCTCTAGCTCTAGCCTAGAGTTTATAATTACATTTCATGTTGGAAATGCCTACATCAGTAAAGGGAGCTTTAAAAATTCATTTTTGAAATGTTCATCTGGTAAAATAAAGTTGCTATACATTTTGGCATATCAGCTCTGGCTTCTCTCATCCTCTCTGACATGGTAGGCTCTCAGAAAGTTTACCAACAACTTGATGGCTACTGCCAATTCTGATTACCTTTGACCTTCTTAAGAGGAAAACAGCATTACTTTCATCTTGCCTTCTGCCTCTGCCTTCTCACTCCAGAAAACCAACTAAAACCTTTCCCCTGGCTCCACCTTGGAAAAGCCTGGCAATTCCTCAAATGACAAACACCGAGTTACCACATAACCTAGCAGTTCTACTCACTGGTATAAACCCCAGAGAAATGAAAACCTATGTCCACACAAAAACTTAACATAAAAGTGAAAACAACCCAAATGTCCATGAGTTGACGAATGGAGAAACAGAATGCAGTCTATCCATAAAATGAAATATTATTCTGTGATGAGAATAAATGAAGTACTGATACATGATACAACATGGATGAACCTTGAAAACATTATGCTTAGTGAAAGATGTCAATCACATAGGAGAACATATTATATGATTCTATTGATATGAAATGTTCAAAACAGGAAAATCTAGAGGGACAGAAAGCAGATTAGTGTGTTTGTTCATTCCTAGGCCTAGGAGGGATGGGGATTTGGGAGGTGATTGTTAAGGGGTACAGGATTTGTTTTTTTTTTTCTTCTTCTTTTTTCACTTTTTTTTTTTAAATTATACTTTAAGTTCTGGGATACATGTGCAGAACGTGCAGGTTTGTTACATAGGTATACATGTGCCATGGTGGTTTGCTGCACCCATCTACATTAGGTATTTCTCCTAATGCTATCCCTCCCCTTGGCCCCCCACCCCCCAACACCCCCAGTGTGTGATGTTCCCCTCCCTGTGCCCATATATTCTCATTGTTCAACTCCCACTTATGAGTGAGAATATGTGGTGTTTGGTTTTCTGTTCCTGTGTTAGTTTTTGCTGAGAATGATGGTTTCCAGCTTCATCCCTGTCCCTGCAAAGGACACGAACTCATTCTTTTTTATGGCTGCATAGTATTCCATGATATATATGTACCACATTTTCTCTATCCAGTCTAACAGTGATGGGTATTTGGGTTGGTTCCAAGTCTTTGCTATTGTGAATAGTGCTGCAATAAACATACATGTGCATGTGTCTTTATAGCAGAATTTGTAATCCTTTGGGTACATACCCAGTAATGGGATTGCTGGGTTAAATGGTATTTCTAATTCAAGGTACTTGAGGAATCGCCACACTGTCTTCCACAATGGTTGAACTAATTCACACTCCCACCAAAAGCATAAAAGAACTCCTATTTCTCCACATCCTCTCCAGCACCTGTTGTTTCCTGACTTTTTAATGATTGCCATTCTAACTGGCGTGAGATGGTATCTCACTGAGGTTTTGATTTGCATTCCTCTAATGACTAGTGATGATGACCTTTTTTTCATATGTTTGTTGGCCACATAAATCTTTTCTTTTGAAAAGTGTCAGTTCATATCCTTTGCCCAGTTTTTGATGGGGTTATTTGTTTTTTTCTTGTACATTTATTTAAGTTCTTTGTAGATTCTGGATATTAGCCCTTTGTCAGATGGATAGATTGCAAAAATTGTCTTCCATTCTGTGGGTTGCCTGTTCATTCTGATGATAGTTGCTTTTGCTGTGCAGAAGTTCTTTAGTTTAATTAGACCCCATTAGTCTATTTTGGCTTTTGTTGCCATTGCTTTTGGTGTTTTAGTCATGAAGTCTTTGCCCATGCCTATGTCCTGAATGGTATTGCCTAGGTTTTCTTCTAGGGTTTTTATGGTTTTAGGTCTTACTTTTAAGTCTTTAATCCATCTTGAGTTAATTTTTGCATAAGGTGTAAAGAAGGGGTCCAGTTTCAGTTTTCTGCATATGGCTAGCCAATTTTCCCAACACCATTTATTAAATAGGTAATCCTTTCCCCATTGCTTGTTTTTGTCAGGTTTGTCAAAGATCAGATGGTGGTAGATGTGTGATGTTATTTCTGAGGCTTCTATTCTTTTCCATTGGTCTATATATCTGTTTTGGTACCAGTGCCATACTGTTTTGGTAACTGTAGCCTTGTAGTATAGTTGAAGTCAGGTAGCGTGATGCCTCCAGCTTTGTTCTTTTTGCTTAGGATTGTCTTGGCTATACAGGCTCTTTTTTGGTTCCATTTGAAATTTAAAGTAGTTTTTTCTAATTCTGTGAAAAAAGTCAGTGGTAGCTTGATGGGAATAGCATTGAATCTGTAAATTACTTTGGGCAGTATGGCCATTTTCACAATACTGATTCTTCCTATCCATGAGCATGGAATGTTTTTCCATTTGTTTGTGTCCTCTCTTATTTCCTTGAGCAGTGGTTTGTAGTTCCCCTTGAAGAGGTCATTCACATCCCTTGTAAGTTGTATTCCTGGGCATTTTGTTCTCTTTGTAGTGATTGTGAATGGGAGTTTGCTCATGACTTAGCTCTCTGTTTGTCTATTATCAGTGTATAGGAATGTTTGTGATTTTTGCACATTGATTTTGTATCCTGAGACTTTGCTGAAGTGCTTAAGAGCTTAAGGAGTTTTTGGGCTGAGACCACAGGGTTTTCTAAACATACAATCATGTCATCTCCAAACACAGATAATTTGACTTCCCCTCTTCCTATTTGAATACCTTTATTTCTTTCTCTTGTCTGATTGCCCTGGCCAGAACTTCCAATACTATGTTGAATAGGAGTGGTGAGAGAGGGCATCCTTGTCTTGGGCTGGTTTTCAAAGGGAATGCTTCCAGTTTTTGCCAATTCAGTATGATATTGGCTGTGGGTTTGTCATAAATAACTCCTATTATTTTGATATATGTTCCATCAATACCTAGTTTATTGAGTTTGTTTACCATGAAGGGGCATTGAATTTATTGAAGTCTTTTCTGCATCTCTTGAGATAATCATGTGGCTTTTGTCATTGGTTCTGTTTATGTGATGGATTACGTTTACTGATTTTTGTATGTTGAACCAGCCTTGCATCCTAGGGATGAAGCCCACTTGATCATGGTGGATAAGCTTTTTGATGTGCCACTGGATTCGATTTGCCAGTATTTTATTGACGATTTTTGCATTGATGTTCATCAGGGATATTGGCCTGAAATTTTCTTTTTTTGTTGTGTCTCTGCTAGGTTTTGGTATCATGATAATGCTGGCCTCATAAAATGAGTTGGGAGGAGTCCCTCTTTTTCTATTTTTTGACATAGTTTCCAAAAAAAAATGGTACCAGCTCCTTTTTGTACCTCTGGTAGAATTCAGCTGTTACTCCGTCTGGTCCTGGGCTTTTTTTGGTTGATAGGCTATTAATTACTTCCTCAATTTCAGAACGTGTTATTAGTCTATTAAGGGATTCAGCTTCTTCCAGGTTTAGTCTTGAAGGGTGTATGTGTCCAAGAATTTATTTCTTCTAGGTTTTCTAGTTTATTTGGGTAGAGCTGTTTATAGTATTCTCTGGTGGTAGTTTGTATTTCTGTGGGATCAGTGGTGATCTCCCCTTTATCATTTTTTATTGTGTCTATTTGATTCTTCTCTATTTTCTTCTTTATTAGTCTGGCTAGTGGTCTATCTATTTTGTTAATCTTTCCAAAAAACCAGCTGCTGGATTCATTGATTTTTTGAAGGGTTTTTCAAGTCTCTATCTCCTTCAGTTCTGCTGTGATCTTAGTTATTTCTTGTCTTCTGTTAGCTTTTGAATTTGTTTGTTCTTGCTTCTCTAGCTCTTTTAATTGTGATGTTAGGTTGTCAATTTTAGATCTTTCCCACTTTCTCCTGTGAGCATTTAGTGCTATAAATTTCCCTCTAGACACTGCTTTAGCTGTGTCCCAGAGATTCTGGTACATTGTGTCTTTGTTCTCATTGGTTTCAAAGAACTTATTTATTTCTGCCTTAATTTTGTTATTTATTCAGTAGTCATTCAGAAATAGGTTGTTCAGTTTCCATGGAGTTGTGTGGTTTTGAGTGAGTTTCTTAACCTTGAATTCTAATTTGATTGCATTGTGGTCTGTTTGTTATGATTTCCGTTCTTTTGCATTTGCTGAGGAGTGTTTTGCTTCCAATTATGTGGTCGATTTTAGAATAAGTGTTATGTGGTGCTGAGAAGAATGTATATTTTGTTGATTTGTGGTGGAGAGATCTGTAGATGCCTATTAGGTCCCCTTGGTCCAGAGCTGAGTACAAGTTCTGAATATCCTTGTTAATTTTCTGTCTCGATCTGTCTAATATTGACAGTAGGGTGTTAAAGTCTCGCATTATTATTGTGTGGTAGTCTAAGTCTCTTTGTAGAACTTGATTTCTAAGAACTTGCTTTATGAAACTGGGTGCTCCTGTATTGGGTGGATATATATTTAGGATAGTTGGCTCTTCTTGTTGCATTGATCCTTTTACCATGATGTAATGCCTTTCTTTGTCTTTTTTTATCTTTGTTGGTTTAAAGTCTGTTTTATCAGAGACTAGGATTGCAACTCCTGCTTTTTTTTTTTTTTTTGCTTTTTATTTGCTTGGTAAATCTTCCTCCATCCCTCTATTTTGAGCCTTTGAGTGTCTTTGCATATGAGATGGGGCTCCTGAATACAGCACACTGATGGGTCTTGGCTCTTTATCCAATTTGCCAGTCTGTGCCTTTTGATTGGGGCATTTAGCCCATTTACATTTAAGGTTAATATTGTTATGTGTGAATTTGATTCTGTCATTATGATGCTAGCTGCTTATTTTCCCCATTAGTTGATGCAGTTTCTTCATAGTGTCAATGGTCTTTACATTTTGGTTTGTTTCTGCAGTACCTGGTACCGGTTTTTCCTTTCCATATTTAGTACTTCCTTCAGGAGCTCTTGTAAGACAAGCCTGGTGATGGCAAAATCCCTCAGCATTTGCTTGTCTGTTAAGGATTTTATTTCTCCTTCACTTATGAAGCTCAGCTTGGCTGGATATGAAATTCTGGGCTGAAAATTCTTTTCTTTAAGAATGTTGAATATTGGCCCCCACTCTCTTCTGGCTTGTAGGGTTTCTGCAGAGAGATCTGCTGTTAGTCTGATGGGCTTCCCTTTGGGGGTAACCTGACTTTTTTCTCTGGCTTCCCTTAACATTTTATTCTTCATTTCAACTTTGGTGAATCTCATGATTATGTGTCTTGGGGTTGCTCTTCTTGACTAGTATCTTTATGGTGGTTCTCTGTATTTCCTGAATTTGAATGTTGGCCTCTCTTGCTAGGTTGGGGAAGTTCTCCTGGATAATATCCTGAAGTGTGTTTTCCTACTTGGTTCCATTCTCCTCATTACTTTTGGGTACATCAATCAAATGTAGGTTCAGCCTTTTCACATAGTCCCATATTTCTTGGAGGCTGTGTTTGTTCCTTTTCATTCTTTTTTCTCTAATCTTGTCTTCTTGCTTTATTTCATTAAGTTGATCTTCAGTCTCTGATATCCTTTCTTCTTCTTGATCAATGCAGCTACTGATACTTGCATATGCTTCGTGAAGTTCCCATGCTGTGTTTTTCAGCTCCATCAGGTCATTTATGTTCTTCTCTAAACTGGTTATTCTAGTTAGCAATTCCTCTAACCCTTTATCAAGGTTCTTAGCTTCCTTGCATTGGGTTAGAACATGCTCCTTTAGTTTGGAGGAGTTTGTTATTATCCACCTTCTGAAGCCTACTGCTGTCAATTTGTCAAACTCATTTTCTGTCCTGTTTTGTTCCCTTGCTGGCGAGGAGTTGTGATCCTTTGAAGGAGAAGAGGCATTCTGGTTTTTGGAATTTTCAGCCTTTTTGCACTTTTTTTTCCTCATCTTCGTGGATTTATTTACCTTTGGTCTTTGCTGCTGGTGACCTTCAGATGGAGTTTTTGCATTGTTGTCCTTTTTGTTAATGTTGATGCTATTGCTTTCTGTTTGTTAGTTTTCCTTCTAATAGTCAGACCCCTCTTCTGCAGGTCTGCTGGAGTTTGCTGGGCATCCACTCCAGACTCTGTTTGCCAAGTTATCACCAGTGGAGGCTGCGGAACAGCAAAGATTGCTGCCTGCTTCTTCCTCTGGAAGCTTCGTCCCAGAGGGGCACCCGCCAGATGCCAGCCAGAGCTCTCCTGTATGAGGTGTCTCTCGACCCTTGCTGGGAGGTGTTTCCCCATCAGGAGGCACGGGGGTCAGGGACTCACTTGAGGAGGCAGTCTGTCCCTTAGCAGAGCTGGAGCGCTGTGCTGGGAGATCTGCTGCTCTCTTCAGAGCCAGCAGGCAGGAACATTTAAGTCTGCTGAAGCTGTGCCCACAGCTGCCCCTTCCCCTAGGTGCTCTGTCCCAGGGAGATCGGAGTTTTATCTATAACCCCCTGACTGGGACTGCTGCCTTTCTTTCAGAGATGCCCTGCCCAGAGATCCAGGATTTCTTTTATAGAGTAATGAAAATGTTTTAAAATTGACTGTGGTGGTAGATGTGTAACTGTATGAATATATTAAAATCATTTGACTGAAAAAAAAACTTTCCCCTGACTCCATTGATGGGCAGTTCCTCAATGGTTCTGGAATCCTGGGCCCCTGCTTTTTCTTCTCTAATCTGTAACTCCAGCATAGATCACTGTTGTTATGGGCTAAGGCATGGGAAGAGGTCATAGTTAATTTATTATTCTCCATGATGACCCCTCCACTGATTCCTGGTGGCTAACATAAACCACCTTTTCTTAACCGCTCCTAAAACAAGTTTGATAAGCTCATAATTTAGGCAGCATTTATGACCACAGCTAGATCTTCCCGGGGCTAATCATTGTCTCCCATAGGTAATTATTTTAGGCTACTGATCATTTGTCTCACTAATCTCTCTATTTGTTCCTGCAGCTAATAGCAGATCCCCAAATACCCTCTGTAATTTTCTTACAAGCAGAATTCCAATTCCCCATTAAGAAATCCTGCTTTAAAGTGTAATTAAAGATCATCTAAGAAAAACAGGGCCAATTTTGAACACCCCACAAGCAATTTTTTTCCTCTGCCAGAAGGAAGGGTGTGTAGAGGGAATTAAAAATCACTTTAAAAATTATAAACAGGTTTAATACGACCATTCTAATCAACAGTCTTGTTATCAAGTAATATATCTAAAATTAAGATAATGGATTTTAAAGGAATAGACTATAAAAATCGTCTACTATTCAACAGGCATATCAACCAAGCAATTTAATTCTGTTTATAACTACAGCCCTATACTCTTTTTAAAAGGGCAATGAAAGCAAAACTTGGTTTCTGAGCCCCTGTTGAATTAGCATTGATTTTGTTTTACTGCCAAGCTAAGGAAATATCAACATTAAGGAGTTCTTTAACCCTATTTAGAGTATGCACACTTACACTGAATTTAGTCCACAGGTTGTTTATCTTGCTATTTACAATGAACCAAAAAAATCAATCCCCGGCATAGAAGTTTTATGCATGGCTGTAGAAGAAAGCATGGCTACCTGAGAAATTGTTAGAAAGCAGCAATGCATTAGCAGCACTACGTTATTAAGTAGGACACAAAGGGTTTGTGCTATTCAGATATAAATCCACTGAAGTGTGATCCAATGTTAATTGCTAACAATTGTCTGCATTTGAGCCATTACAGAAAGGAAAGGCTCATTTAAAGAAACAGTGACATGTGCCAAAGCTATTTTCTCAATGGTTCTCATGTTTGTAAATATTTAAGGTTGTGTGGAGGTAAAAACATGCAAATATGAAAGATATGGACTATTCCATTATAATAAATGTTCAACAGTAAAATACAGGTTTCTGTCTTTTTTTAAGTCAGTTCAAAGGAGAGATAAAAGCAATCAACTTTGAAACATAAAAATTCCAAAAGCTATGACAAAATATAGCACACCGTTGACGGAGGTGTTGAAATCAGTCCTGGAAGTCAGCAAATGGAGCTAAGTCTAACTGATATCTGCAAATATGTCTTGCATCAGGTTTATTACAAATGTGATAACACTGTTGAACTTTCCTACTTTGCAAGAATCTGATCTTTTTCAGATCAGATTATGTGAATCTAAAATTGATTGAAAGGACAGCTATTAGACTTGTGTGAAAAGGCCTTTTTTATAATAGAAATGTACTAGCCATTTTGAAATTTAATCATAATTCTTCAGATCTTTCTGCCCCTAGAAATAATTTCTTTTAAATTGTAACTTTAAATGAATTCTTCATATTCTTTTTTTAACATACTTAGGATACATTGGACATCTCAGGAGACTTTTTCATAAATAAGAACAAGAGAATTAGAGAGTGGAAACAATTATATGATCAAAATAAATCAAAGCACTCTCAGCACTTAAAGGGTTTATTTCCAGAGCCTGTCTAGGTATCCCAAGAATACTGGTGCATGAAAAAACCACTAACCTATCCACCGACTTCTCACTCGAATATTGAAACTTGTTCTTGTAGTTATATTGTTCTTGTTCTATATCAGAAGGGGCAGGGGAGCTAGAATGTATTGTACTTTTACCATGTGGCTAGCATTGTGCTAAGCACTTTCCATACATTAATGTATTTAATGTTCACAATGGTCTTATGCATACTTCCATTCCATAGAAGAAATGGAGACTTACATGTAGAGAAACAGCTTTAGAGTAACTTCAGTTGGACCAAAAAGCTATAGATTTGCCTGTCAGATAGCAAAATCAATACAGACCCAGAAACATCAGATGTTAGAAAATCTTTCCTCACCAGCTGCAATAATTCATTATTGCAATGAATGATTTCCAAGTTTCTTTAATTACATACCACTCTCAGAAAAATAGAAAAACTCTGGTGCACGCACCCACAATATGTACATATTCATTTATTATAAATTATATACTGTTTAGAATATATTGCAGTCAATAGTTCGTATCTCAAAATACAATATCAACTTAGGGCAAGGTTCATCTTAGTGGCATTGAAATATTAGGTATAAATCCAAACGACAAATAACCTTCCTGATAATTTTGAATATTTTTGGCTGAACTTCTTTTCAGAGAAGGATGAACTCAACATTGATTTTACCATGTGAAGTAGCTGCAGAAGAGTCCATCTGGCAAGAAGAAGGGTATCAGCTCTGCCGTTTTCTTGTGAGTTGCTTTGTTCTGCATTGTTAATACTATCTTCAAACCAAACCCATTACAGGAATCCTACCTATCTGTTGATTTCATGAGGGTTTTTCAAAGCTATTATTTAAAACAAGATAACATTCATAAATACATTTGACACCTAAAAAGCAGTACATCTAGAGACCAATGTGGGTCCCGGAACCATTCTCCATCCTCCCCTCAACATGGCACTGCCCTCTTCCCGTCCATCTCTGGAGTTCCGTGAGGGCAACGCTGCCAATCCGTATCTTAGAAGTTGGTGAAGTTTCATTTCATTCTGACTTTTAAAATAAACATCCCAGCACCTCAACTGGCTCACCTCCTGCAGTGTTGGGCCCTACTTTGGATTCCACTGCTCTAGCAAAGAGGGTTAGAAGTCAGCATAAATGCATAAACACTGCCTTCAATACAAGGCCTTCTTGATCATTTTTAACTAACTTCCCAAGCCACGTTTGCCTAATTTCTCAGGAGGGAATAAGGAGATAGAGACAATATTTGAAAATAGTTGGAGGCCCCAGCTCTGTCATGTACGAGTCACAGGTTACTTCATCTTTCTGAGTCTGGATACTTTAGCTGCAATTGTGAGGATTAGTTAAGCTCAGGAGCCAGAGAGTGAGCATAATGAATTCAATCTGAATTATTACAAAATATTTGATATTTAAAAATGTTTCAGTGGGCAATCTCACACAGAAAATTTCCTTTTCATGAATCAGAAAAGACGTGATATTTCTATGAAGACTGAGTCTCTCACCATATCATTATACCAATTCAAGCCCTAAACATGAGTTCCAACCCTTGACAGGGGTTCATAAGGGACAGATACAAGCAATAATGGTTTGAGTTTTTAAAAATATATATGTTGACCAAAAAACATACTTCCTCCCCATCACTCTTCCTTTTTTGGTTAGAATAAATCAGTGGTTCACAGACCAGTAGTAGCTCAGCATTACCAAGGAGCTTGTTAAAAATGAAAATTATCAGCCCCACCCTGGATCTCCTGAATCAGAAACTCCAGAGATGGGTCCTATGTATTAGCAACATCTCCAGGTGATCTGATGCATGCTAAAGTTTGAGAACTCCCAGTATAGACTGTACCTGTTTTCTAAAGCAAAGGGGCAGGTGTTTGATTTTCAGTCTCAATTAATAGGTGCATGAACTTCATCTATGTAACTTCCCAATAATGAAGTGAACTGTCTTTCCCTTGTGGACATACAATGTTAGAACATTGATAGGGATAATCATACTTGTTAAATTTGATTTGATTGGCAAAACTGCTCAAAGCTGAATACAGACATTTGGCTATAATTCAGGAATGCTACAAACTCAAGATTGTTGCTGTTCATGAGACATTTTTAAACAAAATTGTAACCATGGGTTATAATTTTCAATCCCATTTGATACAATAAATAAATAAAGTTCAATATCTGGTCACTGTTGCATTTTCTTGGTAATACATGTCTGGCTACCTCACAACTGTTTTTTGAATGAGGAAATAAAAGTCTCCACTTAATTTTTTCAATGTTGTATGTGGTATTATCAGCCAAAAAAATTTAAGCCTTGTTATCACTTTATCTTTTTTCAGTCATTTTAACTCACTACATGTCATTGGTTTGTGTGTGTGTGTGTGTGTGTGTGTGTGTTTATTTGACTAACCTAGTTAGTCCAGATAGCTGTTTCTTTGCCTTTTTTGGATTCTGTCCACTCTATAAAAATATCTAAAGCTCCATAAAGACAAATCTATACTTGATCTTAAGCCATTTGAAATAATAGTTAAAAAACAACATCACAATTGTCCCCTAGTTTGGAAAGGAGGCCTAAGCATTTTTCAATTACAGAAATAGACTTTTAGCTAGATAATTCAAAATAATGCTTAATTTACTGATTAAAATTTAGCATACACATTAACAGGTGCCTCCAAAAGTCAAAAACACACAGAGCTGAGTCTCCTACATGAAGTACTTTCCTTTAGTACACATGACCCTTCCTTTGGATCAACCAGTATTTATTAATGGGCTGCTCTCTCACTTACACATGGTTTGGAGCCTGTTGGCAAAGGCTTTTGCCCGCTCACATGACATTACTTATTTGACAGAATATGGATAATTTCAAGGCTTTGATGGCCTTTCAGTGTTAAGACTGGCAGATGAATATTGTAATGCACTTGAAAAATTTGGTGTAAGAAGAAAAGTATATTCTTAGATAATAAAGAATGGCCCAACTTCAGACAGCCAGCTGTGGACTTGATTCTTTAAAAATGATTTACATGGTCCAGTTGCACTGTCTCTATAATTTTCTTGTTACACATCAGTCTGGATCTAGATTACATATATAAGATTTATTTGGTGATTTTTGTTCATTTTGATTTATTATTTCACTATTTAGACGCAACTTTCTCTGAAATGTCTTCTATAAAAAATGATGTAACATTTATTGCATTTATTATACTTAATGATAAACCTTTCAGTAACTTTATCAATGTAAAAAATGATCAAAATCACACATGTTTAATTCAGTGCAACACATGATTTTACTTTAAGAGATTTTATACACATAAACATCCCCAAGATTTTGGCCTTTATCTAGGGCAACTTGCTTTCAGCAGAAGACTAATTTGAATCAATTCTTTTCCCTTTTAGATTATATTAGGGTCAGAATCCTTATGTGACCCTCATGGTTATTTGTGGGACATGACAAAGAAGGATAAAATCTAACTACTCATTTCTAGCCAAAAGGTTAGATACTGCTTCTTATTTGATTATACCTCTTTGGTGTAAGATGTGTTTTATTTCTGCTACAAAAAAAAAGTTTATAAAAACCTAATTCTAAATCACCTTTTTGGAGCTCAGATATATACTCCTGAAGGGAATGGTATACCTTCGTCAGTTTAACTTGCTTTCCAAATCCCCCATCATGCTGTAAAACATGCAGTCCTCAGTTGGGGATGGATTATAAGGGTTAACATATCTTTTCAAGTTAATCAAGACTGAATTTGAACTGACTCAATTCTTTCCCCACAATTTAATGCTCCCATTTTTTTACCAGTGACCTGAAAAGATTTGATTTCATAGATGCCAACGTAGACAAAAAAAAAAAAAAAAAAAAATCCAAAACACCAAAAAGCAGATTTTAATTGCAATTGTAACTTGTTCATCTTGTTTAAGCTGGTTGGTAAAGTTCATATTTCCATGTCTAACACTCCAAATTTTATACTAATTCAATTTAGGCATCTTATTTATGTTGCCACAGAATGCTTAAGTTTATTTTCTTGACATATGATTAAAATTTCCATTATTTCTCCTATAATTTATTTTGAAACCTAAAAGCCTCACATTTTCATAAATCTTTTAAGGGTTTTGAAATGTACTACCATGAAATTATCTAATTATGTATTTTATGGTCCAACCCACAAAGCAAATACAATCCATACCATTAAAAACAAATGAATCTGGGCTGGGTGTGGTGGCTCACGCCTGTAATCCCAGCACTTTGGGAGGCTGAGGCGGGCAGATCACGAGGTCAGGAAATCAAGACCATCCTGGCTAACACGGTGAAACCCCGTCTCTACTAAAAATAGAAAAAATTAGCCGGGCATAGTGGCGGGCGCCTGTAGTCCCAGCGACTCGGGAGACTGAGGCAGGAGAATGGCGTGAACCTGGAGGCGGAGCTTGCAGTGAGCCGAGATCGCGCCACTGCACTCCAGCCTGGGCGACAGAGCCTCACTCCGTCTCAAAACAAACAAACAAACAAAAAAACAAACAAACAAAAAACAAATGAATCTGAAGATGCTAAATTCAGTTGAGGAGGCTTCCTAATTCAAAGTCAATACTAAATAAATGATATACTTTGTATCTGGTTGAAAATGTAACATTATCCAGAAAAAAAAAAATTGTATTTTAAAAGGAAATAAATTTTCCTATATTTTTGTAACAGAAAACATCACTTAAATCCAATCCACCCCCAGCATCCCAGCATGTTGCCTTCATTTTGACCTTCACTGAGGAAAGTCAAGCCAACTGAGAAATAAATGTTCAGTGGAGGGAGCTTGTCGGGGGGACCCCTGGGAGAGCCAAGGAACAGTGTTTATTGGATAAAACACTAAGTTTGTACAAATAAATCACAGATCCAAAATGGTTGAGGTAAGAATGGAGGATATTTCACATCAAATCATCACATCTTAGAATGGAGTTTTGGTTTCGTTTCTCTTTTCTTTCTCTTCCCCTTTGAAAGATGAGACTCCAGATTTGTAACTTTTAAATGGTAAGTCAGGGTTAAATTCCCAGTTTATTTTAACTTGGAAAATATCAGTGATTTGTTATCTGAATCACCCAGTTGGCTTTGTTTTTCTGTATGAACATCATTATTTTCTTGTCTTTCCCCTTTAAAGTCCATTTTCCATAATTTCAATATTATCGTTATAATATCATGGAAATTCACTAAACAATTGCAGAATTTCAAACCCTACTCTGCTGGCAACTGGCCCAGTCTTAATCACCAACTGTTAAACCTGCATTTGGTCACTAATGCACTAAAACATTGCTAATGACATGGAGGTATGACAAGATAAGGCCAGTCTCATAATGAATGACTCCACAAAAGCAAAGTGGCAAAAGCAATTATAGAATCACATGGGCCACTGGCCTTGAATTGTCATGGACATCCTATTTCATGTTGTTCAGCTAAAACAGCTCAGAGATAACCTTATGTTCAGTAGAAGCAGAGGTTGTATCACATATGTACTTCAACTGGCACATGCTTCTGTTTCAAGAACTAATTGTCCTATAGGAAAAGATCTTCAGTTCCTTTATTACCAAGATGAATTAAACAGTTTTCCACATTCAGACTGTATTCTTAGTATACAACAAACCCTGAAGAAAAGAAGTAAATACTTTTAAAATGTTTAATAATTTTGTATTGCATTTTATTAAATACCACTTGGCATTTCCAACTTCACATGCATTCTCCTAATATTTCCCAAGAAGTTTTAACTTATTTATGATACATTACATAAACATAGTATAATTACAAAAGAAGTTGAGTGCATTTCAATATGTCAAATGTATTTTTTCTGCTATAATTACAACCAAGGAAAATATAATCAACAAACTGAATAAAGATGCTAATAAAAGTTGTGTATAAATATTTAAAATTATTTAATATTACTTTAAAAATATATTTCAATGCAAATAAAAATCATGTGAGGAGAATTATAAAATTAACCCGAAATTCCATCAGATGTGACATAGAAAATTTAAAATTTATCTTTTAACTGAGCAAGAAAATGATTGCTTCACTGAGGCAACAGCCTAATTGCTCCACCATAAAACTGAGCCATAAGCTGAGCATGGTGGTGTGTAACTGTAGTCCCAGCTACTCGGGAGTCTAAGGCAGGAGGATCACTTGAGGCCAGGGGTTCCATTTCAGCCTGGACAACATAATGAGACCCCATCGCTACAAAAAAAAAAAAAAAAAAAAAAAAAAGCCATAGACTCCAACCCTTGATATTGTCACTTTTACCCAGATGGATATTTTTCTACACAGCCTGTTAACAGACAATGTTGACATGATGATAAACCTGAGAATCTAGGCACATATATCAATACATTCCATGACCAGAGGATAAAAAACTGAAAAAAAAAACACAAATTCTAAGTAGACTTACTGCTACGATAATCTCTACAGTAAATGCAACACTTCAAGGTATTTCTAAACAGTAACCATTTGCTTGAGTTCTGGGTCTAAAATAGCATCATCCTAATCTTATCAATTTGAGATTGAGAGAAAAACATAAAGTTGGGGGACATGTTTGCTCTTGTAGCACATGCAATTCCAATTACTGGTTTATGGCTGAAAAACACTAAATATTCAGTTTTTGATAAGCTGGAATTAAAAGTAAGTGACAAATAAGACATAGTATAGTCAGGATAAGAAATTTACAATGGGGAAAAGAATGTTGCCAGGGAAGGGGGAAGAGGAGGAAGGGAGGTTCCTGAGATTCTAGAAAATCTTGACATTAGAAACTGGATTTTGTGGAGCATGTTTATTGCATACTAAAGAATATTTTACACAGACTTCCACTTTAAGCTTTAGCTAGTAAGAAAGAAGCATGCTATTTCTCATTTTGCCTCAAGTACCAAGAAAACCAGAGCTAAATTTGGAACTTACAGTTGCAGATTGGCCAGATTTTGTGATATATTTATATTTTTTAAAATTTACCTTACTTTGGCTTTATTTTTTTCTTATTACATTTATTTATTTTATCTTTTTTATATACTTTGGTTATATACTTCGGTAAAGTGCTTCAAATTCTTTTTGGAAATAAGTGGGAATAAATGCCATGTTTCATTGAATCTAAGTTACCTTTTCTTGTAAGATGCACCATTATTTTATATACCACTAAGAGGCAGGGAAACCCAAAAAGGAACCCACTGCTAATTAAACTTTGACACCTCATTGATTATAGATGCATCCTGACTTCAGAGATGATAAATGTGAAACAAAAATCCATCTTCAAATCAGTAAAATACAGCAACATTATTCTCTTTGGTATTTTTATAAGTATTTATTGACAGTTTAATTTTATGATCGGATTTGAAAGGCAAGGCCAAGAATTTAAATTGCGGATACAGGCCAGACTCTCATTAGTCATCATCTTGTTTTACACAAGAAGAAATGCAGAAGGCATAGTCTGAATCCTCAAGAAGCTTATCATCTCACTTCAACTTCAGTGATCACATGACAACGTAATGTGCATTAACTGCACATCAAATATACCCCAAGAATGGGGTCTATTGATCAGAAATGTATCTATTGAGACTAAAATGAAGCCTACATTTATTAGGTTTTGCTTTTCTCTATTAAAAAAGACATACAAATACCAAGTGAGTATTCTCTTACATCCCATTTTTTCCTGCAAAAATCTAAACCATTTTTATTTTTGGCAGTTCAATTGTTGTTGAAGAGTTTCTACTATAAATAAACTATGTTGCTTTAGTGAGATATTCAACCAGAAAGTGAGAAAAGCCATCTCATGTAGAGGTATCACATGATGAGGAGAGAACATGGCTGTCTGGATGAATAGAATAAATTTTATATGGATTTTGTGAAACTCTAGTACAAGTCAAGAACAAAAGTTCTCTTGAGGTTATAGTGTTGTGTGTGGATATAGGGAAAATGAATCATTTGAGTCAGAGTTTCTGATTTTTGTTAAATGGTGAATATAAACAGATTTTTATTTTATCGTCACTGAAGGCCTAGGATACATTATCTTTATCCTTCTAACATTTCTAATTGAATGGTAAATTTATAAACATATCTCCAACCTCAAGCGACACTCCAGTTACAGTGGAGATAAGCCAACATCTAAAATCTAAATGTATACAGATATATATATACGTGTGTATGTATATATATATGTATTTCAAATACTGTGTGTGCATGTATTTGAAATAACTTTGTAGTGAAATTTTTTAAAACCCGATTGTAAGATAATTGGCAATATGAATAGTTGGAAGTTAACAGTGACTTTGCCTGAACACACATTTAAACATTAATGATGGTAGAAAGCTAATTAGTAAAATTTAATTGGATGTATGCAAAATGGTATAATGAGAAGATTTCAAGCATATTTAATTTTTAATCCAAATCCAAACTCTGAAGTAGAAAAACAGCTAAAGCCAATCATTGTGAAAGGTGGACTGACACATTTTCAAGACTACCCTATTAGCACCACAGAGCAAATTGATGTCTGAAATTAAATACGGTAATATATTGTCTCATGCCTTTAAAAAACATATAGAATGCAATTGCTTAAATAGCTTAAAGATTAAAATTAGAAATGGAGAGACAGACAAATGTATGTGACAAAGAGCCCATGGAATATAGTTTTAAAAATTAATTACGTTTTATTATATGCAGTTACATATCTAGAGCAAGCCATTCAGCCGGCCAGAGTTACCTAGAAAGCAACAAAGGTAAAAGGAGACATGTCAGGGATAGTACCCAGTTTCACTCAATCTGATATCAGGGCAATATGATATGGGAGTCAAAAAGGTCAGTGCTATTTCAGGGAATACATGTTATGGAGAAGAAGTCAATAGTTCTTCTCCATACACATGATATTGAAACCACACCCAGAACTTAGAGAGACGACAAAGGTTCTGTTTAGAGTGGATGGCAATCCTAGCTGCATGGGATGATCATCTGGGGAACTTTTTAAAATATAATAGTGATGCCTAGGCCCAGACCCCAGGGATACTGATTTAATTGATCTGGCTTACAGCCTGGAAATGAGGGTATTTTAAAGTTGTCCCAGGTGATTCTAATGTGCATCCAGGGTTGAAGAACCTGGTTTGGAAAGATCTTGTTGCACTTTTTTCCTTGCCCTTAACTGGTTCTGGCTGTTGCTGATTGGCAGGTGTGTATCTTTTCCTTGGAAGTGAGCATAACTTTGTTCTTGCCTAATAGTCTTTAAAGTAGCAATATGATGTTGGCATACACCACAAGTAAGAAATAATGTCAAAATTAAATTAGAAATAATGTCAAAATTAAATGTTATCTTAAGCTGCAATCAAGTTTGAAGTGTTTTTCAAAGTCTTCTCTGCACTATGGACAATTATGTTAAGTATTGAGCACTGAAAAAGCATGGCTTTATGGCTTTTCAACAGTGTCCTCTTCACAGGTCACAGCAATACAAGAAATGCAAACGCACTGGGAATGTAAAATGGGACTTAACTGAGTATGAGTTGTATCTGTCAGCATTCTTAGTAGCAACAGAAAAACTAATTTAGGCAGAAAAAGAATTCCTAAAAAGCGACTCTCTAGAAAGCCAAGAATTGGCTTGAGGCTACAAACTAGGAACATTGCCCCAAACCGTACCTCAGAACAGTCCCATGAGAACCCCACTGCTCTTGAGCACAGACTTGGCCATGCACCAGCCACCTACACTGTAGTTGCAGGACCCCATAGCTAGACACACCCACCACTGCTGGCATCCACACCAGAATGGAGTCCTTGTAGGTTCTTCTTTTATGTCACTTTCTACCAAATCAAAATCAACAAAGCCAGGTCACATGCCTGCCCTGGGCTCTCAGAGAGGCTGGCAGAGACTGCATCTGGTATTTCCCCCTTCCACAATGGGACACGTTCTCTGTTTTCCACTAAAACTCATAAGGTGGGGAATTATCCAAACAGAAAAGAATTTTGTTCACTGAAGAGCCAAACCAGAATTATAAATAACAAAAACGAGAATCTGACCCTCTTTCTGGAGTTAAGCAAAGCTATAGGAATTATTTGTCCTGTATTTTACTTCTGTCACAGTTTGCTATAACTGAGATTGGGACTAACTTCAAGCCCCAAAGTTAATTTCAAGCTGTCTTGGATTCATCAGTCTCTTAGACACACAAAAATTTTATGAAGCACAAAAGCAAAGTTGCTCAGTTCATACCAGGCATATTGAGTTCTTATGCTGGTTTCCCATAGTGTGCTATGGTATGTTCCTCTAGCTAAAATTTGCCAAGTTTCAGTAAGTATCACATGTTTCAAAATATTAATGCATTCTTAATTACATTTGGAATAGGAAATAACCCATGCCCATTACCACACTCTGGGCATTTAGCCTAAATTTTCCATTCAACATCATAAGTAGATCTTATTTTCAGAGGGCACATATGCTAAGAATATGCCAGGAAATTAGGAGGTTTAACATGTTTCTGTGGCCCTGAGATGTTAACTTGCCCATAAAATTTGTGCAGGCTCAAAGACATCTCTAAAATTTTTCTCCCCGCCTGTGATGCTTTGATTACTTCTAAAACACTTTCTGGTCCTGTAAATTACAGCTCCTCCTGCCACTTGTTGGCAGACACTTTGAAAGGAGTGGTTAATATATACTTTTTTAGGAACAGCTGAATCGTATGATTTCACACCTACACAGTCACTGTCTAGTAGCCTACCCTTATTCTGACAGGTGAACCCAAATCTTCTCTTGGAATATATTAGGTTATTATCTCAAATACGAAAATCAAGTGAATCTCCAACCAAAGCTTTCTCAGTTATTTCTTTCAATGAGTAACTTTCTTGGCTTATGAGAAGGAAGGAAATCATGTTGATCCAAGAGCAAGCATCTAATCCAAACCAGAAAAAAAAATACAAAGTAGTCAATCCCAATTAGTATTTAACAGAAATCCAACTGGGAATGCACCCAGGATTCCCATAACCTGCCTTCCTAATGCAAAACTCTAAAGTTTCCTTCAGAAAAGTAAAACAAGAGCCAGGTTCTTTTTGAAATGCAAAGATTATTTCTAAATGCAAAAAGTTCTGGCTGTAAGCAAAGAGTAATCACAAACAGGACTTTTATGAGTTATCAGATGTTATGAATTCTATGCATTTTTCTATGGAGTAGGTGGATAGCTTTCAACAAAATCATAAAGGTATACATCTCCAAAAAGTAAGTTAAGAAACAACACTCCAGAGAATGAAATGAAGAGCTTCCTCCCTGTTCCAAGGGTGGGTTCTTTATCCATCACCACTCAGCCATCTAATTCAAATAATGAAAGGTAAAGTCAATTTTCCAAGCTCAAAATTTCTCTGCAGTCTCATTTTCTATATTTCTTAGATATGATGACACAAATTGCCAACAACCTTATCTTAAAGGAATTTCTTGTGAGGGACTGAATTATTCTTCCATTCCTTCCAGAGCAATGTATCTAGAGCAGGGACTCTGCTGGGTGTTTATACTTGTGAACACCCTCACCACTATTCACAAGTTGTACCCCCCACATGGTGGCAGATGGAAGAACTGCTCAAGGAACACAGATGTCCCTCTATAGGAGGCAACATCATATATAGAGGGAGAGAGTGACCATGGCATTCAAGTCATAAAAATGACATTTTTTTAAAACTCCAAAATGCCACTGGGTAGTTTAAAAGTCTAAACACAGAGTAGCCCCTTCTGATACTTTCCATTGTGTTTTTGCAAAATTCAAATGATGTAGCTGACATCAGATAAAGCAAAATGGTTCTTTTCAAAATATTAAACATATTTTTATTCTATAATCCAGATAACCCAGTCCTCATTAGTCTGTGATTATAAAATAAGCCACGACTATTTTAATCACTAGCCCGTTTCCCAGAAATTCATCCCCTTCAAAATGTCCTCCGTTATTTTAGGAGTCTTCTACAATCCCAGTGTATTTTATTCGTGATGGCATTACACCAACATTTTCCAAAGTGTATTCCATGAAACACTACACCCAGGAGATGCCCCACGAAAAAAGAAACTCAAAATCTGGGAAGTATAACACCTAGATCCTCCTTTTAGGGAGAGTCAATGCACATTTATACAGTATAGATGCTGAGAAGTCCCAATTCGAAAGTCCTAGTGAGTTTTTAAATCCAAAGTCACTTAACCCCTGACCCAGAAAGTGAACAGTTTATGTTTGAAAGATAGGTTTGCTTCCCGCTGTAACATTCTTTGACTTTTATGACTCCAAACTTGTGAAGTGAATAGTGTAAATATTCACTGCTCCATTTGGGAGATGAGAAAATTGAGGCATGAAGAAGTTACTTGTTCAATGTCCCCTAGAATGTATGTGACAAAGCTGGGACTCAAGTTCAATGCTCTTTCTATTACCCCCTGCTTTGGGACTCCCAGATAGCCATGAGGGACTGGGAAAGTCACATATTGCCTTCCATCCAAACACAGAAACACAACCGGCTTGTAAGAAGAGCAACTGCAGACAAAGTTTCCTAGGTCACAGGATTTCCCCCAAATTCCTGATCTTGTTATCCTACACTAAAACTTCAGCAAGGCCAGTAAACTCTTACTGCCTCCTATGACCAACTCACACCCAAAATGTGTGTCAACCTTTCTCAATTCACCCTAGGTAGTGATGACAAATCGGCATTTGAAAATTTTAAGAAATGGTGAAATTTAATGAATTGGAGCAATAAAATCTTTGCACACTTATATATGTAAGGTTTGCAACATTTTTTAAACCTTTACAAATGTAAAATTACTCATTTGCTTATGGAACAGGAAATATATCAATTGTAATTTGATTTGCTCACAAAATCATTATGTTTCATTATAGTTCAAATAAGCCATTCTGTGTATTAATTGAATTTACATGTAAATGTATAATATTTTCATATAAGTGGAATATTATACTGCCAAACTTTAAACAGTTTAGCTGGTTTTAATATTTTTGAATTTTGGGGAAGCAGGCAAACTCTTTGGAATAAATGAAACATTGTATGCTAGTAAAACAGAAGGCTATTATATTTTCAAAGCAGAGTCCTTCAGTATAAAACGAGAGAGATTATAGTTTTCACAAAAGAAGCTCCGAAAAAAAAAAAATAAATAAAAAGTGAGAACAGCATTTTAAAAAATTAAACAAACAAAAACAATCTTGTATAATGAAGCTGTTTCTGTATGCAAGTACACTCAGTCAGCATCTGTTGCCCAGAAATTTGTACAGGCAGTTTCTGCCTGTTAGGAGTTTCCTTTGCATCATTTTGCTGACCTCCAAAAATTAGAGTTTTGTCCCAATTGAGACAAGTTTCTTTTTGCCAATTTTCCAACATAGCTCACTTTCTCTCATTAGAGAGAATTGTGTGGATGTGTCTGACTCAACTACAGAGAAGCGCCCTCCCCATCTCTGCTCCGTGTAAATTCCGTACTGTTGGTGCCTCCCTGGAGCCTAAAAAACATTAGCCAGTTTCCTCAGTCTCCTTCACCCCACTCCCTCGGCAGCCTGCTGCTGGTTTCTTCTCCAGAAACCACTCAGCAGCATCACTGCTTTGGTTCTCTATCTCCTTTTACCTCATCTCCTGTTGCCTCTTGTTTTCCAACATAGGTGGTCTTAAAAACAAAGTCGATAAAGCAATTAATTACATATAAGTTTGCATAGCGCCCTTTCCCTGCCAATTGATTTATCCATACAACAGACTTTTATTAAGAGGGTACAGAAAGTGTTAAAACATGACTCCTGGCCTAGAAGAGCTCCATCTAGCAAAAAAGACTGTCCAAAATAAATTACAACACCACACAGTACACACAGCACCAGGGACTGAAGAAACACAGAGAAGGAAACAACTGACTCTACTGGGAGCTTTAGAAAAGTTTTCCAAAGGAGGTGGCTTTACAACCAGGTCCTGAAAGGTAGATAGAAGTTTATCAGTCTAAGAATTGAAGCACAGTTACATCTGAGGCAACCGCATATTTTAATTGGAATAAATGGGATGGCTATTTTTACATACATGCCAGTAAAGCTTTAGAGGTGCAAATGCAGTCAACCTCAAAATCTCTGTGAGAGAAATTTACACTTCCTGACTCAAAGAAGGACATCAGTCAGCTTTTGGCAGCCCCTCCAGCTTACCTCACTGTCCTGTCAGGAACCTCTCCACACCTTCACCAACAATGATTTAAATAGGTTATCCCTTCTTCCAAGTTTTCAGACCTACCTGTTAACATCCCTCCTTCACACCTGATAAATGAACCAGCAATTCATTCTCATGGAAATACAGCTGTAAAGGTTCATAAATAACAAATTAAAGCTTGCAGTTGCCATCTAGGTTAAAGTAATCCTTAGACTGACTATTGGCAGAGCACTCAGTCATAGCTTAAAATGGAACGCAGTCCCACCACATTCAGTTCTAATTTTTGCCTAAGGAGTATTTTCCAGGTAAACATGGATAGCACAATGCCAAAAATGTCTGAATGTGATACAGACCTATTAGCTAACTATAGTTTGGGGAGATCATCCATGAACCCTGGTTTTTCTGGTTTTCCTCAAAAAAAAAAAAAAAAAGGTTAAAACATGAAAAAAACCTCTGTTTCTCTTCTTCTCTATCTCTTCTTTATTTTCCCACCAAACTTTGGGAGCAAGTGCTCTCTCCATCTCCATCGGATTACTGCCATTCCTTTCTCCAGCTACTACCCTTGCCTCTCCCACAGTGAGGTTTCCCTTGGGCCACTCCAATTCTATTCTACTGATTCTGCGCCTTGAAGATCTCTAATGACTCTAATCCTAAAACAAATGTTCCCATCAAAGCTTAATTTTTTATACTGCACTATGTATTGATTCTGTCCACAAGCCATCCTTCTCAAAGCTGCTTCTCTCTTGATTCTGGATGTAGTAATCTGTCAAACATATCTCAAAACTCCCACTCTGCAGCCAGGTCTATGCTAGGTACTAGGGGTAGCACCATCCCTGCTCTCAAGGAATTTACAATCCTGTAGGAAAGTCAGAAAACAGCCCAATAGATACAAATAGGCATTATATTTTATCAGAAGATGAAGTGAGTGTGCAAGGCACAAGGCTGGGATCCTCCCACCCAGTGAACCGGCCAGAGAAAATGTCCTGGACAATATGTCGCTGAACCAGACTCAGAAGGTCTAGGTTGAGTTCACAAGGAAAGGAGAATATCTGTGCTTCTCCAGTCCTGTTGCCCTGCCTATAGCTCCATCTACTTCTTTTCTGTTTTGATTTTGGGTATAACTGAGGTTCAGGCTTCATTTCTCAGTACTTTCTTCACCAACTTCCACTCATTATCAGAGCCTACCTCATAGTTTAACTACCCGCAATAAAGAAGGTTGTCAAATCAGAGCTTCCTGCCCCAAATCCCCAACTTTCTGCCATACAGCCCCGCATGAAGATCTCCTGACTGTTGATGTTCTCAGAATCTGGCTCACTCTCTACCCCCGAAAAATGGCCCCTTCACAGCTTCAGGATTTCCAGCAGTAAGTAGCACTACCCTTCTTCCAGGCACTGGAGTTCAAAACCTTAAGAGTAATCTTTTCCTTTTGTCTTTATTCCATACTTGGTTTTTCATGCATTTATGAATGAATGAATGAAACTACTACTCATCATGCCTTTCCCCTCTTCTAAAACATTTAACAAACTCTCCTTTACCCTCAAAGTAAGGCAAAATTTTAACCTAGACTTAAGATTCTCCAAAATCTCTCCCCTTATTCAATCCCAGCTACCTATACTATCCACTCTCACCACATGTATATAGCATGCGATGGTTTTCAAAGTGTCTACCCAAAGAATTTTTGTGAACATTATCTCTTTTTATCTACCACAAGACTGATAAGATAGTCAGGGAAGACATTATTATTCTTCTTTTTTGGAAGATAAAACCAAGACTCTGAGAAGCAGATTCTATCAGGTCTTCTGATTCTTAAGCCACGGTTCCTTCCCACGATGCCACATCATGTGTTATGTTTTGATTTGTTATATAAGTGCAAAATCAATTGTTTTACTTTGGGAGTCTCATATTCTTGCCAAAGTGTGAGCTTCTAAAAAACAAGAAGAGTCCAGGATTTTTTTCTGTAACTCATCAGAACATAGCACTTAGTACTATACCATCTATATAAAAGATGGTGAATAAATGTTTCTTGAAAGAAATGTTCTAAAACATGTGGTTCTGCATAGGCAAGTCACAATCCTACTTCCTTGCTTAGAACTCATCACACTCACCTCATCTGATTAGATTATCTTAATCTATACTTGTGACCATGGCTGACAAGGCCTTTGTGATTGTGCCCTTGCCGACCCCTCTGATTTCATCCTCTTCTTCTCCCTTCTATCCTCAAAATTCCAGCCATCCTGGCCTTCTTTCTGTTCCTCAAGTTTGCCGAGCTCATTCCTATGTTGGAGCTTTGTGTCTGTTGCTTCCTCAGTTGGAACACTCTGCCCTGGGCCTTCACATGACTCATTCTCACCATTCAGGTTTCAGCACAAAAGCCACCACCTCAGAGAAGCCTTCCCTGGCCACCCCACCTAGAGTTATCCCCTGGTTTTTCTCTCTTTTGTCATTCTGATGTGTTTTCTTCCCAGAATGTATTATAATCTGAACTGAGTTGTTAGTTATTTATGTGTTTATTGCCTATCTCCCCCACCAGAATGTAAACTCTGTGGATCAGAGACATTATCTCTCTCATTTCCCAGTACCCAGATTAGGACGATATCTATTTGTCAAATGAATAAATAGTTGAATGAGTGAATGAATGAATGAATGAAAGAATATCAGTTTCCTCTATAAAATCAAGGGGTTGGAGTAGATAACCGCTAAGGTCTTTCCCAGCCTAATGTTCTTCAATCAAAACTCTTGTATTTCATGAAGTCAGCTGAGGTCCCTTTTTGGGTTTACATCAGGTCATATTTTCTTTTTTTCTTGGCTTTGGTTCCCTCACCAAAGATTCCCATGAGTAGAGAAACAATACTGAGAAGAGAAGAGAACAAGGTCAAATAATATAGTTTAGGTAAAGAACACCTTGCTTCATATTGTGATGCAGCGTCCTCTCCTGTCAGAGCTTTGTAACAGACTGCAGTTTACACAATCACATTTGCTATCTGCTTTTTGTTTTTTTAATATGTTTGCATTATTCTCCCAATGTACTCCTTTGTTTTCTTTTACCTTGATAAAAATATTCCTAAGGCAGTTATTATTTCTGAGTTTTTTCCAAGGTACAAAGTATATTGACTAAGAAATTGGTGCTTTTCAAATGGGCAGTGTTGACACACATGTGACGGGACAAATCAGTACTTCAACTGCTAGTGACAAGTAAAATGTTAATTGTATATGTTTAATAACAATTAAATAATCGTTAATAACATTAGAAGTTTTATGTGTTTGTGTCTCATTCTTGTATATTAGGTATCCAATTACTGCTTATTTACAATTTTTATTGGAAAATATTATTTTTTAGCTACTTTGAAGACAGCAGACACATAAGACACTGTGATAAAGACTGAAAACAGTAATTGGAATGTTCTCCAATCATCATGAAGAATTGCCCACTACCAATGGTGGCTCCAAATCACTGATGATTGCTGACCTTTACCTGTGATTGTCTTGGAAACATGAAACCTACCACTAGATATTTTCTTTGTCAAGACTGTCCAGCAAATGCATTTTCCAATTTATCCAGAACATTGTCAAACTGAATGTTTACCCGTCATTTTAGTAACATTAGACTTTCGGTGTTTTCTGACTCCAATTGCATTATACATGCACGAAGAGAAGTTGAACAGCCCTTTCTAAAATTTGACAAGTTCAGATGTCCTTATTTTTCACAATATAAAAAGGCCAGAGAAAAGAATAAAGCCTCCTTAGAGGTTTCCTGTCTTTCAATTCAAATTGTACTTTCAGTAGACGGTGGGTATTGCATTCTTTACTTAGGTTTAGTTGTGTTATCAACTTCTGGTTTGTGTTTTTGGCTATGAAGATGCCAACTGAATCAGAATATAAATAATTTTCTGTCTTTGCCCATACATGGCTACGCTGACATCTTAGATGTTATTGTTAATGAGCACTTCGAAGGACAAAGAAAAAATTGAAACTAAGCTTAGATCAAAATCTAAGAGTTTTGGTGGCCACTTCTGGCGTGGGGTGCTAGCACAACTTGCATCAGAGCAACTAGGGAGGAAAGGAAGAAACATAAAAACAATGACGAAGAACAAGGGGTTCTCTTCCTGGGCTAAACCTCCTCTCCTGGATACTCTGCTTAGCATCTGCTTAAACTCCAGTTATTTAATTAGAGATAAGATAAACGGATCCCCAAGGCCTACATCAATTAAATTAAAACCTAGAATTTCAAGGACAAAAATCCCCAAGTCAAAAGATTCAGAATACGGAATATTTACAGAAAAACTAGAAAATCTGTCTTCCAAAGATGAATTTCATAAAATAAAGCCACCTCACATGTGCCAGATTTAATTGATGATCATAAATAAAGCTATAAAGTATGTTATTATTAAATCTCTTCTCCCTTTAAAGAGGCTGGACAGAAACAATAAAAAAATAATAACTAACAAGTCATTTTCAAAGCTAAGATGTAAATATCATAATTAGTTTTGCTCTGGGCCATTTTATTTTCCATGAAATCTTTTCTAGTGATAGAGAAATAATTTATGAAAACAAAAGGAATATTTATTGCACTCTGCCTCATGATCATTATTGATCATTTAATTTATAGCCTGAATAGTTTATTTCCACCTTTAAGGGCATTTTAAGATCTGTTTTTAAATCTCATTACTACATCTTAGTTCATATTATCTAAATATATAATCCAAAAAAAGGCTTAACTTATTCTCATCACTTTAGGGGGAAAAAGTAATATGTTTCTTGATCAGACCTTAATGCTAGAGATTAACATATTTTTCCTCCGATTATTGTTTCACTGATTTAAAAATAAATGTGTGGCCAGGTGCCATGGCTAGCACCTGTAATCCCAGCACTTTAGGACGCTGAGACAGGTGGATCACTTGAGGTCAGCCTGGCCAACGTAGTGAAGCCCCATCTCTAATAAAAATACAAAAATTAGCCGGGGTGGTGGCACGTGCCTGTAGTCCCAGCTACTCAGGAGGCTGAGGCAGGAGAATCACTTGAACCCAGGAGACAGAGGTTATAGTGAGTCGAGATCATGCCACTGCACTCCAGCCTGGGCAACAGAGCAAGACTTTGTCTTAAAATAGATAAATAAATATAAATGAATAAATAAATAAATAAATAAATAAATAAATAAATAAATAAATAAAATATGTGTTTCCAAGTACTGCAACAAAGAATAAGGTATGTATCTCCTCCTTTCCCATTACTGCTATCTCAACTCAAGAAAACCTCTGTTTACACAATATAGGAAATTATTTCAGCTCTTTTAATGATTAAAAATAACAATCAAATAATAAAAACTAAACATGCAAAATGTGCTATTTTGTAATTATAGATAGTTAATGCTTAAAAATATGTAACAGAACATAAAACCAAATTTACATTTATAAAGAAAAAATTCTTTTAAAGTTTCAAAAACAGTATTTCTGTCTTTTATTTGTATGCTATAAACCCACAAAAGACAATAGCTAACCATGTCTTTTACCCCATTTTCCCTCCCAACACTGTTGTCTAGTACAATTTTTAGAAGATAAAATTTTCAAAGCCAATATTCACTGTTATTTTATAATGAAAAACTGCAAACTGGAAGGGAAATGAATTGCCCGGGTTAATTCTGTTGTAGTGGTCAATCCTCAGCTAGAGTTCAAGACTCTACCAGGACTGCTATACAGGTTGCGGATGGTACAACTCCAGGGTATACCATTTGTGTGGAATACAATGCTAAATGGCAGTCCTTGGCATTGGGCAGTGCACCACATAACCAACTGTATGTGGTGGCCCTGTTTTAGTGCTGTATTTTAAATCTTTTCAAGTCTATTCTGCCCAAGGGGTTCACAGTTAGCAAATAAATGGCCTCAGTGTTTGCTTTTCCCTTATGCTACATAAATAAGCTCTTTTTCTGGATGAGCAGTAATTTCCCTGGGTGGAATAACATATTCAACCTTACTTCTGAGGCATGCAAAATCTCTGCCTCACCTACAGGAAGAGAGTTGTGAATGATGAAGAAGGTGAGGGATCAGGCAGTTTCATACACATGTGTTTTTCCTATAAAGCAGCATATGTTTTTCAGATTGATGTTGGCCAGATTAAATTGATCAGGTCTTTGCTGACTTGGAGTAAAAGAAATTTCTGGACTATCTCAAGTGGAGTGGCAATCAGACAGGCAATAGCCCTGCACTGGAAGAATACCAACCGTGTTGATATTTCTAGATGGATGAGGGGGTGTGGGTTATTTTTTCTCCTAGGAATATGACAAAGAAGATTGCTGGATATGCATGATCATTTTGTATCCAGAAATGAGATACTAGCACTATTCAAATAGGGATGGGAAATCTATCACCTCTGAGACAACCCCTTGAATGATTGCAGCCCTTTATTCTGAAATGAAGTATCAGGTACAATCATCCAGGCCTCCTCTCTCTGATTCCTGATGATCAGAAAGAAAGTTAACTCTGGAGCTAAAGGCCATGCAGGTGAGGTCAAATTTGGTGCTTCAATGCAGTTGCCTCAACTAAACATTGTGCGCTTTTCCTATGGGAGGCCTCACCTCAAACAAACTGAGCCACTCCCCTCAAACACTGATTACATTTCCTCACCTGCTTACCATCTCCCCATCTCTGCCTCAGTACCCTGGTAAAACCCTACCACCTCTCAAGGCTCAGCTTAAATGCTACTGTCTCCATGAAATCTCCATGCCTCCCTTGCCAAAAGCAGTGTTTTCTTACCCTGAACTTCCAGAGTACATTGTTTCTCAATACTACACTAGGCAGAATATGCTTCCACACATTCTGGTTTCTAGATATATTTTATCCCTTCCCTAACCTGAAAGGACTTGAGGTTAGGCACTGTCTTACTTATCCCTTGTCTTTACTTATCCCATGTAAGAGTGAATGAAATGTTTTCTCTTAATTTTCTCTCTCAAATGATCAAAACTACGATCAATTCAAACCATATAGGATTTGGGGATGGCTACATTGTGCAACCCCAGGGGACCTCATTCTCATTGCTAACTGTGAATGGTGCCCTGAAGTCATGTAATGCAGTTGCCTCAGAGCATTAGTCCTTCCACATGCACAATGCTTCAAAAATTTAGAATTCAGGTTGGGCACAATGGCTCAATCCTGCAATCCCAGAACTTTAGGAAGCTAAGACTGAGAATCTCTTGAGCCCAGGAGTTTGAGACCAGCCTGGGCAACATAAAGAGACCTTGTCTCT
The DNA here is from genome assembly GCF_000001405.40 of Homo sapiens. Lineage (NCBI taxonomy): Eukaryota > Metazoa > Chordata > Mammalia > Primates > Hominidae > Homo > Homo sapiens. The sequence goes on from NC_000003.12 coordinate 157,827,551, forward strand.
AAAAAATAAACGGTTGCTAGGCACTTTCTGACTCTTCATTTGCAAGTAGAAGCATTGATATTGCTTTATATTTTTTCATGTTGCTATTAAATGTGCTAGTATTAAGGTTGTTTTGGGGGAGTGATACTTAGGAGCTAACAGATGATAGAACAAAACAAGGCAAGAAACAAACAAAAAGGGCACATTTTTGGCAGGCCCATCAGAGAGTTGTACCAGAAGGTGTCAACCTCCTTTTCTGTGGAGCGCAGGCCTTTAGGCTACACTGAGGGGAGCGGCTTTCACTCTGAAAAAGAATCTTTATTGGCCGTAGTTGTACCTCATCCATAATATATGAGCCTGAAGAGGAAGCAATCACCTCCCAGCTCCAACACTTGGGGATTACAATTCGAAATGAGATTTGGGTGAGGACACAGATCCAAACCATATCATTCTGTCCATGGACCCTCCAAAATTTCATGTCCTTCTCACATTGCAAAATATAATTATGCCTTCTCAACAGTTCCCCAAAGTTTTAACTCATTCCAGCATTAACTCAAAAGTCCAAAGTCTCATCTGAGACAAGCCTAGTCTCTTGCATCTATGAGCCTGTAAAATCAAAAACAAGCTAGTTATTTCCAAGATACAATGAAGGTACAAGCATTGGGTAAATATATCCATTCCAAAATGGAGAAATTAGCCAAAAGAAAGGGGCTACAGGCCCCATGAAATTCTGAAACCCAGCAGGGCAGTCATTATATCTTGAAGCTCCAAAATAATATATTTTGATCCCATGTCTCGCATTCAGGGCACATTTTTGCAAGAGTTGGTCTCCCAAGGCCTTGGGGACCTCTACCCTTGAGGCTTTGCAGGGTACAGCCCTCACAGCTGCTTTTATAGGCTGGCATTTAGTGCCTGTGGCTTTTCCAAGTGCATGGTGCAAGCTGTCAGTGAATCTACCATTCTGGGGTCTGGAGCATGGTGCCCCTCTTCTCACAGCTCCACTGGGCAGTGCCCCAGTGGGGACTCTGTATGGGGGCTCTAACCCCACATTTCCCCTCTGAACTGCCCTAGTAGAGGTTCCAGATAAGGGCTCTGCCACTATAGCAGGCTTCTGCCTGGACATCTAGGTGTTTCCATACTTCCTCTGAATTCTAGGTAGAGGCTTCTAAGCCTCAACCCTTGCACTCTGTGCACCTGCAGGCTTAACACCACATGGAAGCCACCAAGGGTTACAGTTTGCATCTTCTAAAGCAGCCACCTGAGCTGTACTTTGGCCCATTTTAGCCCCAGCTGGAGCTGGAGTGGCCAGGATTCAGGGAACAGTGTCTTGGAGTTGTGAAGGACAGTGGATCCCTGGGCTTGGCCCACAAAACCATTCAGTCCTCCTAGAACTTCAGGCCTGTGACAGGATCTTTGAGATCTTTTCCCCCATTGTCTTGATTATCAGCATTTGGCTCCTCTTTACTTATGCCAATTTCTGTAGTCAGCTTGAATTCCTCCCCTGAAAACGGCCTTTTCTTTTCTACCACATGGCCAGGCAAATTTTCTAAACTTTTACATTCTGCTTCCTTTTTAAATATAAGTTCCACTTTTAGGTCATTTCTTTGCTCACACATATGAGCATATGCTGTTAGAAGCAGCCAGGCCAAATTCTTGAATGCTTTGCTGCTAAGAAATTTCTCCCACCAGATAACCTGAATCATCACTCTCAAGCTCAAAGTTCCACAAACCCCTAGAGCAGGGGCACAATGCCACCAGTCTCTTTGCTAAAGTATAGCAAAAGTGACCTTTATTCCAGTTCCCAATAAGTTCCTCATTTCCATCTGAGACCTCTTCAGCCTGGACTTCACTGTTTATATCACTATCAACATTTTGGTCACAACTATTTAACAAGTCTCTAGGAAGTTCCAAACTTTCCCTCATCTTCCTGTCTTCTTCTGGGCCCCCCAAAACTATTCCAACCTCTTCTCATTACCCATTTCCAAAGTCACTTCCACATTTTCAGGTAACTTTATAGCAGTACCACATTTTTGGTGCCAATTTTCTGTATTAGTCCATTCTCACACTGCTATAAAGAAATACCTGAGACTAGGTAATTTATAAAGAAAAGAGGTTTAATTGGCATGCAGGTCTACAGGCTTTACAAGAAGCATGGCTGAGGAGGCCTCAAAAAATCTACAATCATGGCAGAAGTCTAAGGGAAAGCAGGCATATCTTACATGGCCAGAGCAGAAGAAAGACAGCAGGGAAGGTGCTACACACTTTTAAACAACCAGATCTCATGAGAACTCTATCACAAGAACAGCACCAAAGCAGGAAATCTGCCCCCATGGTCCAATCACCTTTGAATTATAATTGGAGATTATAATTCAACATGAGATTTGGGTGGAGACACAGATTCGAACCATATCAACCACTTTGTTAATCACTGTCCCTTCACCCCGAGGGCCCAGCACAGTAACTGACACTGCTTAGTCACTGTCTGTTGAATAAATGAATTAATATAAAAGACTCCATAGAGGAGGTAGCATTTGAACTAAGACCCTGAAGGATGGGTTTGAACTTGTCAAGAAAAGAAGAGTGTGGGAGTGAGAAACAGGACCTATGTCCAAGGAATGCAAAGCTCTTGCATGCTACTAACAGCATAAGAAGTTTGTGTACATATACACCCAGGATGGGCTAAGGAAAGGTGAAAGGCGATCACACAGAGATGTAGGTTGGAATAAGCATGTAAAAAAATCTTGCATGCCAGAACTTTACCCTAGAGGCAACAGAGAATCACTGATTTCTGTAAATAAGACATAACAAAGTTAGCCGGTTTCATTTTTTTCCAAATGGTAACCAACAGCAGGGTGGAAAGTGAATTGAAGGCTTCCTGGGCCTGGGCCAAGCACTCCCAAGGCCTTCTCCCCCGGCCTTCTCCCCCTGCTTTAAATCCAACCCTTTCTCTCTCTTTAATGCCCCTCAGGGACCATCTTACATTTTCTGGCAAATTTGCTATTATTTTAGTTACTATGAAATGAGTTTTCATGTCATGATCTCCCTCTGACATCTGAGGGTGTATTACTCTGCTTCCTATATTCTTTCTATCTCCCATAATGAATATTCTAAGCAAGGAATGTGACTTGGGCACAGCCTCTTGGTTGGCAGGGGTTTTATCATCCTTCACACAGCAAGACCTTGTGAAGATGCCGTCATATCAATTAGCACAGCAGAATCGAGGCAGGCACGTTTCTACTGGCATGAGCACAACTACCTGGACAAACACCAACACTCCATGCACACCACAATGCCAGGCCTGCGCATTTCCCACAGAACTGCAGACAGCCCCTTCCACAGAAGTCATTCCAGCTCCAACAGTATCTCCATGGGTGAGCTGGTCTCCTGCCATCCTTCAGGGCTCCTCAGTGTTTGGGAGGTCGTTGTTATTGGGGCCCCTGCTCCAGCATATTTGGTATAAACAGCCAATCCATTTACATCGACACCTTCTTCAAATCCTTCCTGCAAGGAGCCTGCAGCCTCTGCCTGCTGTTCTGTTTGAATGCATGCTTTGGAGAAGAATAGTGACAACATCCCCCTGAAAGAGAAACCAGAAAGAGAGTCCAGAACAGCAAGCAAAAAGAGAAAGGTGAGCTGGCCAAGATTTTAAAGGAGTCGCAGCTCTGAGAATAACCCTATAGGCTTCAAGATAAAAACCATTTTTGTCTAATAAAGGGATTATTATGTAGTATTTATGTGTGGATTTATGGTTAAAAGGCAGGAAACCTCCTTTCACTCAGTAGGAACTAAAAATACAGTCGTCTTTGCAAACAAACAGGAGCAACGCTGATTCTAAAGAAGTCAGAGTGGAATTCAGGGCTCTGCATCCAAATATAAGCCCTCAGCCGTGGAGTTGGCACTGTGCAACCCAGATCCTGGACCCCAGCACAAACCCCCACCATTCCTCTGCTCCTTTCCAGCCCACCTTCCTCTTGTCCTGAATGCTGCCCTTAACCTCCTTGAGCTTTACCTGCTTTTACACTTGGCAAATGCCCTCTGTGCCCCAGGCATCCCACCTGTCCTCTCATTTTTTAAAAAATTGTCTTTCTCCTTTTTGCTTTGTTGAGAAAACTCTTAGCCTTAGTACCTCAAAAATAAGAGAACAGGAGTCCAGAAATAATTTACAGGCCACTGGAACTAAAAGGATTTTGTGGCAGCCTTAATCCAAATCAAACCAGTGGCAGGCAACGTAAATATCTTTTCAGTTCTTTGCAAATAAAAAAATCAGCAACACTTCACATACTCACAGGGTACACAATAAAGAGAACTCATTTTTTTCTACAGCTTTATTTGGCTTTTTTTGTACTAATGAAAATCAGACATTGGAAGTAATGCTGCTTTATGTTTATAATAAAACCTCATTAACTCAGATGCAACTAATTTATAACTTGTGATAATTTTACCACGACAGGGCTGAATTTGCCTATGTGCAATATATGATTTTTACTAAGCAAATTAATAGTCTAAATCAAATTTTAAAAAGATTATTTAACTTATCCAAACAAAGTACCTTTTAGGACATTATTAGTAGGTATTTGCATGCAGAAAAAATAAAATTAAGACTCATTTCTGGCTACAGCTCCACAGTCCCTTTCCTAAAACCCTTGAATACAAATGGGTTTTAGAATTCAGAATTTTTCAAGGTTTAGGAAGTTAATAAATTTCACATATGCATTATATTATATTGTGAGTTGTGTCTGAGGCAGTACCCAGCATTCACACTGTGCGAATATTTACACTAAATGAGATAAAAGCTATACATAGTCTTATATCACTTTAGGTCAGATTGTTCTATTAAATAAGTTTAGGTAGGGTCATGTTTTGCCAACAAGTAAATCATGGAAATAACTTCTACTTTCCAGAGCTCTGGGGTGTCAGATGTGGATATGGGTTGAGGACCTGTGCTGAATTATCCCTTCATGAAATAAGAAGTCCTTCAGTTAATGAATATGGGGTAGTTGTTCAAAGGACAAGTTTGATATTGATAAAATTGTATGATTCCAGTAACTGAAATTTTCTTTCTCTCAAACCAGTCTTCCATCAGATGTACATCCTCAGTGGTCATTTACACTGCACGTAACAACTTGGATCAAAAGAAACATCCTTTGTGATCTTTCAAAGTAGATGAGGAATTAAGAATTGCGTTCAGACATTTAATTGCTTCCAGAGATGACCAAAACTATGCTGAAAAAGCAAGGTCCCAGTGCCCAAAATAGGTCTTACATTCCACAAACATTTGTCACAAGTGGATAACCCCAAGCCATCTTCATTCGTCTAACCATGGGCTACATGTGCCTGAAGAACTGCTGCAGATTTCAGTCTCTCCACATGCCTGACCAAATCTCACATCATTAATTGTAATGAATATTCAAACAAAAATCAAATTAAATCATCCCACACCTCCCCTAAAATGCCTATTTTAATAATGATAGCCATCAGAATTAAGTCAGGAGAGAAGCTACTCTTGGTCCAACCAGAAAATTTTGCTGGGAATTCACACTGCTCACTGTGGAGAATGAACCGAGGGCCTCCTAAAATTTTGGTGTCTTTTCATTTACACTATATTTCCTATTGATCAATCTATTCAGTGAACTTCCCAGAGCAGAAAATAATTAAGCTAAATATAAAGTTATGACAAATAGCTAATATTTCTCCTGAACAGTTTCCTACTGATTCTCTGAAAAAGAGGCATGTAGAAATTAGTGTATATTATCTTTTTATCCATTCCTTTATGTTTACCCAGAACATAAAATTAGGTTTCCAGTAAGACAACCCAAGTTATGTCATTTCATGTCAGTTTTTGATCTGGTTTTTCTTTAAAACATTGTGCAGAGATTTTTCAATAACCTGTTCTTGCTAAGTGAGTTTCCCCCTTTCAAGTATGTCCTCGTCAAAGACCATTCTTTTAAAAACCTTTGGAAAATATTTACTATTTTACTTTTTTCTTACTTACAATACAGTTGTAACCTTAAAATAGTTTGTTTGATGTCAGTTTTTAAAGGATCACAGATTATACTAGAGATTTTCATAAATGCAGGAATTTGGAGAGTATTTCTCCATTATTGTCCATGTGTATATATCAACCCTAATTCACCAGTGGAACTGGAGGTCATTATTTCTGAATTTGCACATTAAAAATAACATCCACCCATAAGGGAATATCTTTAAACCACAAATGCCAGAAATAACAATTGTATTAAACTGCATTTCATGAATACATAATAAAGTTCAATTTACCACTATTTATCATGTTACTTAAATTAAATCTATAATGGAAAAGAGATTTAGTTATGTTTTTAAAACAACAAAGTCCTTTATGCCAATTGCACAGGATCTATACTAGCTCCAATGCATCCATGTCAATTTATTTATTTTTTGCTTAATTACTATCGCTTTCTATTGTTGAGATCCTAGGAGACAATTAACATCCTTTCATGTATTTTTGAAAGCTTAAAGAGACATATACACATATAATTATATTTAAAATTACTATAATTTTAGTTATATTGATTTATAAAATCTGAGACTTTTAAAAAGTGGTATTTTAACTCATACATATATTCTCACCCCCTCATAAATCCTCCAATTTATATTTGTATACTTCACTGGAGTTTTGACAGTTACCTGAAGTTGCTAGAAAAAGTCACTGTGGAGGCAGACAGAGGTATTTTCAGAAGTAATATTTGTGTTGTACCCACACACATTCATACGTAGAGAATTAAGGAAATCAGCCAAAAATCCCAGATTAACAGATACCCATTTTCAACAACCTGCACATCTTGGCAGAAGGAGAAGGCAAAAGAATGCTGGACGGCCTTGAATAATCAAGATATTAGATATTGCTGAAGAAAAAAAGAATTCACTGCTAATCCTACATTGAATTCATTAATACCCTTTATGTGGGTTTGTCCAATAGTTTTAACATGGGCAAACCTGTCTCATTATGTCTCCAACTTAGTAAATGGCTCCATTATCTAACCACCAGGACCAGAAATCTGGGAATGTTCTAGATGACTTCCAGTTTCTCTCCTCCTACAATCAGTCACCAGGACAAGACCCCTGCATTCTATTCCACAGCATTTCTTCAATCCATCCTCTCCCTGGCTAAGCTCACTCTGCAACTGCCTAAATTCCAGCTCTCTTGGTATCTCTCCTGGGCTACCTCATTGGTTTCCTAGCTTATTTTCCAAGTGCCAAGCTGGCTCCTTTCTAACTCTTTCTCCATTTTGCTGCCTGAATGCTCATTCTTAAATATATCTGATATTGCTACTCTCTAGCTTAAAACTCATCACTGACTAGAAAAAGGACAAACATTTTATTATAGCTTACAAGGTCCTCTATGATCTTGCTCTTGCCTTGTCACCAGCTTTATCTCCAACCAAATTTTCCTCCAAACAACCCCAGGCCTTGACAAAGATTGGTCACATCTACCAAACTCTAGACGGCCTCTTCTGAATCCTCTTCCCAACCAGGCCCTGACTTTTGGGCTCTGTGTTTTTCTCTGCCTTGTCCAATTATAGCAAGAACCCTGCTAAGTCAGTAAGCAGAGGCCCCCATCCTCAATAGCTGATCACCCCATCCCCCAGGTGATGTCTGATTACCATGGCCATCTTCAGCAAGAATCTTGTTAGGTTGATTTAGCCAGAATCCTTCTTACCCCTGATGTTTCTTGTTAGTCATTTTCCATCCACTGATCTCTCTCCCCTGCTCCTTTGCTATAAATTCCCACTCTTCCTTGTTGTATTCAGAGTTGAGCCCAATATCTCTCCCCTGCTGCCATATCACACTACAGTGGTCCCTACACCTATCACAACTGTCCTAAATAAAATCTGCCTTACCATCTTTAACAAGTGTCATGAATTTTTTCATTAACAGCCTCACCAACCTATGAGCCACTGGCCCTAGTGCAGTCCTTCCCAAATGTTCTCCCTCTATGTGCCCACACTTTGCATTTATGAGGACTCAGCTTAAGTCTGACACCGCCCAAAATCTTTCCTAGTTCCCCTCTTGCCCAAAGTAAAACAGAACCCTCTTCATTCCACTGACTTTCCATGCATATTTCTAACCTAATATCTGGTAAAATATAATGTGCTCATTTGCTTTACATGTCTTTTCCTTCTTGTGTGGAATTCTTTGCGGATTGGGGTTGTATTTTATTTATCATTCTATCCTCTACACCTGGCATATTTCATGGCATACAGTAAAGGTTTAATCAACAATTGTTTTACAAATTCAAGGGAACCTAGGATATATGTTTATTCATGACTTCAAGGACCCCTCATGCTAAGGCAGAAATCTTTTCTGGTAGTAACAGGCTAACTTTTGTGGAATACCCTCCAGCACCCCTAAAGTACATTTTCTAATGAAGATCATATCTAAAACCCCAACGCAAATGCATTTCCTTTGGTGGCATTTAATGACCACCTTTTTGCTGTTGCATATCTTGAAAATGTACAGTTACTACTCAGTACTTATCAGGTGGTAGGTTTATCACCAGAGCTGTGCTCAAAAAATTCTTGAAGAAATAGCTTCCCAGCAGCTAACTTCTCCAAAGTCTCCTTTAAATATCAAATGAAGCTGGCTGACGGCGGCACTTCCACTGACACTCGCTGCTTCAAATGGACGCTGCAGCTGACAGTCATCGCTACTGACAGGAGTCTGGAACTGTCCATAGAAGACACCGATGGTTTACATAAGGCCAGAGAGAACTTTCCCTTTCACAACAGCTGTGTGACACATCAGAAGTCCCCTTAACAGATTAGAAAGCTTAGGCACAGTGCACAGAGAAAACTCACTCACCGAAGCTCTGCCATGATCAGATTAAGACAGGGAAGGCAAGCTTAGAATACAGCACCCATAGTTTTTAAATCCACAAACAAAATATCTGTTATATGAATAGAAGTGTACATTGGAAGATAATCAAGCCAAATATTTCAATCTGGAAATATGAACATCATAACCATGGTGGTACAAAGCTTAGAAATAAATAAAATTAAAATTGCCCTTGGAAAGAATGGTTCTCATCACATGCCCAAGAGAAAGAAGAATAAGCAAAGATAATAGTAGAGAAACTATATTTGGATTACACTGTACTCCGAGCCAAACAGAGAAGGAAAATCCTAAACTAAGTATTTCTCATCTCAGAGTCCACATTTTACCAAAATATAAAGCAAGAAATTACTACATAATGTATGCTTGGTCAGACTAGTTTTTAAATCAGCATAACTTAGACTTTTCTTCTAAATGGAACAAGCAGAAAGCCAGACTTTCTTGAGAACAGGAAAATGTATTCAAATCTAAAAAATATAATCTAAAAGAGAAAACACTGAGATAAACTATCCTCTTACAGTTCAGAATATGCACATGAATTTGGTATAGAGTTGAACACATTAGCTGTAAACGCTACCCAGTTTATATTAAGCAGTGTATCTTCTTCCTCAAAATAAGTACTCAGCAGGCTACTTTCTCACCTCAAAGGTGAAACTCAATGGCAGGCTTCCAGATAGCTTTGACATGAACGTGTATATCAGAAAAGTAGAGAAATACCACTATAATCATGTTTAATCTTTTAAAGCTGTGATTGAGAAGTGGCATTTGGGCAGGATTTAAACTTGGCTTTGTCTGTGGCAAATATTAAGCCCACTCCAGTTCTCTCCTAGCCTTATTTTTTTCTCATTAGTTAGATGTCACATAGGAAATGAAATTATTATAAACATATTTAACTTGTTTAAATAACTTTAAAAACATAACTTATAATCGGTGGGTTTCAAAATTCAATAAATCCTCTCACTTATTAGTTACAGAATATAGTTGCATTTAACCTAATAAACTTAAAGACATGGCTTTAAGGAATATTCTTTCTTGGCAAGAATTAAATTGGCTTGGCTAATTTACATTGTTTTAAATTTAGAGAGAATTGTGTACTGACTCATGATTACAATACATAAAACATTTCCATGAAATGGTCTGAATTAACCTCCTCGCTATTTATATAAACAGCACATAACATTGCATGCACTGCAGTCTACTAGATGGGAATTTTTTAAATCAGTAAATTATACTTGTAATATAATCTCTAGCAAAATATGAGAATAAGAAAAGCTTAGTATTGCATTATGTTTTAAGTGATAGAAACTCATTGTCTCTGTGTGTTTAAATATACCAAAAGTAGTTGTGTCTAAAGTTAATGCAAAATGATATGGTATTTGAGTGTATATTTATAAAGCTTATATAATAAAATCAAAGGCTGCCAAAGTATAGATAAAGTGATGACTGCCAAATCAGTTCATAGATAATTAATGTATGAGTTGGGCCCCAAATCTTCCTGAGCTTATTGCTTAAAAGGGTATCTAATGATAACATTCATGCTAAAGACCATTATGAAGACTTAGGACAAGTATATAATTTTCACCTGTCAATTAGGAACTACATTCTAACACTGTTGCTAGTCATTTTCTATGTAATCATGAAGAAACTACATCAACTCAAAATAAGACAAAAACATTGAAGATTAAATTTGTCAAAATCACAACAAAAAAGTTTTGAAGAAAACAGGTATATAAAAGTGGCCAAGGAAAAACACTAAAAGGATCAATTACTATGATTCTTTAAGCAAACTATTGGTAGTAAAATGACAATTTGACTTTAAAATCTATTTATAGCCACAGGAAAAGCATCAAAGGGAGCTTTTAAGCTAACTATGTGTTTTGTTTTACAAATCTATATTGTATCTTAAAGTGGAATTTTTAATACCTAGGTTATTTGATGATTTATGTACTCTACACCCCAAATCCCCTTTTCTACTGCAGATAGCTTCAACAAAAACATTATTTTCAGTCACTGAAATGTTTGGCTCATAGCGTTCCAAAAATAACTGGATCAAAACAAAGCATTTAGTTTTACTTTCAAATTTATTTCTCCTTAATCTTCCCCCATCTAAGGAAATGGTATCACCACCCACCCATCTTATAAGCCAAACATTTAGGAATCACACTTGGGTCAGTTTTCCCTCACTTCCCAAATTCCAATCCATTGCCAAGCCCCACCTCCAAGATGTACCCTGGATATCACTGCGCGGGCCTCTAGCCCCAGCCCCCATCGCCGCTGCCTGGAGCACTGCAGTGGTGTCCTCTTTGTTCTCCTTTCTTGCTCCATTGCCCCATTGCTGTCCATTCTCCAAACGGCAAAGTGAACTTGGCTAAAAGTACGTTGAACATGGTTCCTCTGCTTAAAATCTTCCAGTGACAGCCAGGCACAGTGGCTCACGCCTGTAATCCCAGCACTTTGGGAGGCCAGGCAGGCAGATCACGAGGTCAAGAAGTAGAGATGATCCTAGCCAACATGATGAAACCCTGTCTCTACTAAAAATACAAAAATTAGGCTGGGCGCGGTGGCTCTCGCCTGTAATCCCAGCACTTTGGGAGGCCAAGGCGGGTGGATCAAGAGGTGAGGAGATCGAGACTATCCTGGCTAACATGGTGAAACCCTGTCTCTACTAAAAACATACAAAAAAAAAAATTAGCCAGACCTGGTGGTGGGCGCCTGTAGTCCCAGCTACTTGGGAGGCTGAGGCAGGAGAATGGCGTGAACCCGGGAGGCGGAGCTTGCAGTGAGCCGAGATCACGCCACTGCACTCCAGCCTGGGCGACAGAGCGAGACTCTGTCTCAAAAAAAAAAGAAAAAAAAAAATTCAAAAATTATCTGGGAGTGGTGGCAGGCGCCTGTAGTCCCAGCTACTCTGGAGGCAGAGGCAGGAGAATCACTTGAACCTGGGAGGTGGAGGTTGCAGTTGCCAAGATCGCGCCACTGCACTCCAACCTTGGTGACAGAGCGAGACTCCATCACAAAAAAAAAAAAAAAAAAAAAAATTGATGAGTTCATGTCCTTTGTAGGGACATGGATGAAATTGGAAATCATCATTCTCAGTAAACTATCGCAAGAACAAAAAACCAAACACCGCATATTCTCGCTCATAGGTGGGAATTGAACAATGAGAACACATGGACACAGGAAGGGGAACATCACACACCGGGGACTGTTGTGGGGCGGGGGCAGGGGGGAGGGATAGCTTTAGGAGATATACCTAATGCTAAATGACGAGTTAATGGGTGCAGCACACCAGCATGGCACATGTATACATGTGTAACTAACCTGCACATTGTGCACATGTACCCTAAAACTTAAAGTATAATAATAATAAAAAAAAGAGAAAAAAAATCACAAATAATTGGGAAAAAAATCCTCCAGTGACTTTATATTTCACTAAAAATCTAAACTCTTACCGTGGTCCACCTATCCTGACATTCCAGCCACACTGGCTTCTTTCATTTCCTCCAATAGTCCATGTTCATTCCCACTTCATGGCACGTTCTTGAATGTGATCTGTTCTCAGCTTGTCCCCTCAGCCCCAGGTCTTCAATGGCTGGCTCCTTTCTAACATCTCCTCTACTGCCCTACCCTAAGGAATGCCCAACCACCTGCCCCATCACTCGCCATCACATCACCATCTTTGACATTCTTCCTTGCACATTTCCCCCCTTTAGAATGCCAGAGACAAGGCTGGGTGCAGTGGCTCACGCCTATAATCCCAGCACTTTGGGAGGCCGAGGCCGACAGATCACAAGGTCAGGAGTTTGAGACCAGCCTGGCCAACATGGTGAAACCCCATCTTTACTAAAAATACAAAAATTAGCCAGGCATGGTGGCGCACGACTGTAATCCCAGCTACTTGGGAGGCTGAGGCAGAAGAATTGCTTGAGCCCAGGAGGTGGAGGTTGCAGTGAGCTGAGATCACACACTGCACTCCAGCCTGGGCAACAGAACAAGACTCTGTTTAAAAAAAAAAAAAAACAGAATGTCAAAGGCAAGAGGGGACTGTCCTTGCTTGCCCTGTTCATGTCTGAACCCCCAGAGCTAGACAGTGCCTAGGACAGGGTAGGTACTTAAAAAAATACTTGTCAAATGAACAATTGCTATGGAGTTTTATAATTCACCATTTTAGGTGATATTAGTCCGGACCAGATCCAGTTACTTTAGAAGCAGAAATATCAGTAGAACAAGAACAAGATGCCTGATACCATTAAACACATCTCAAGTTTTGCCTAATTATGGACATCCACAGGGTCGAATTTGCTGTAGGTTTAAGTGATGTGTCAGCTTTTTCTGGTTTGTTCTCCTATTTTCTAATTCTTTTCTCACTAAAACAAAAACAATACTTCTTTGGCAGTATTCTTCCATAGGAAGTAAAAAAAATGTAAAATAACAATATGTTCCAGATATCTCCATGGTTTCACTTTTCATTGCAAACAAAAATAAAAATAATTGTACCATAACTACTTAGAAGATAAAATAATCTAAAATTTCTTTAATTAAGTAATTAAAAAGAAACCTAAACAAACTAACTTTAACAATGATATTTTAATGTGCTCACACTTCCAAAGAATATTGACTGAAAATAGTAATAACTGTAATAGCTAACATTTATTAAGCTTTTCTCTGTGCCAGGTACTATCGTAAGCATATTTCTTGTTTTAAATCATTTAGTTATCACAAAAACTCTCTATGATTAATACTATTTTCATTTTATATATAAGAAAACTGAAGCACATAGAGTTTTAAGTAACTTGCTCAAAGCCACACGGTTAATAAATGTGACAAGAATCCAAATCCAGGGATCCAGATGCCAGAGTTTACGCTCTTACACTGCACACTATACAGCTTCATTAGGTTAGAGATACCACATTATATTAGAGATAACATGTATAAAATTTCTATTACAAAGTCTAGAACCTAACAGATACTTGATGCCTGGTAGATGGTATTCTTAGCAATAATTTCCATAGCATCTGAGATGAAATTCAGGGGACACTAGCTCCTATCAGGGTACAGCCTCAGGTCTTTGATGCTAAGCTTGTTAAGAAAAACTTATCAGAGCTGAAGTCAGGCTGTTGGCCTGGGCTCAAGAACTCAGAGGTCAAGATTTAGGAAGAAATCGAGGCAGCAAACAAGAATGTAAATGAGAAAGGTAATTGATGAGAATCACATTGTCAAATCAACATCAGGTACACTATGGAATGAGGCTTGATAGAAAAAGTCAAGCTCAGGCACAATATAAATCAGAGTGTAGGTGACAAAGAAAACAGCAGGCTGAAACCAATGATATCAGAGATGCAGAATAAGACCAGAGAAAGTAGAACCATGGGCCGTTATGCCTATTGGCCACTGAGGGAATCCTTCCACACCTCACTCTGGTTCACACACTAACCTCATCTTCTCAGAACTCTCTACCTCCCGCCAGGTTCTGACAACTCTATTTTATAAGTAGAAGAAACTCATTTATGTACGTAGATAATGTCCTAACTTTCCAGAGGCCTCACTTATAATCAGTGATAGAAATCGAATGTATTCTTTGCTGCTTTTCTAAAATCAAAGATGAAACTATCCCAATACTAAGAGAAATCATATCTTCTGTTCTTGCTTCCTTATCTTCCTTTCTTATTGGAAGATAAGCTTTAGGAAAAGAATGGAAGGGGAAAAGCCAGGAACAGGATGGATATTTTTCAGTGTTGTCTCAATCTTGATGATTGGTTGCTGAGGGGACTTTTTCCTCTCATCAGCCATGTCTCCACTATGTCTGGATAGTCCCAAGCAGAGAAAGTGACTTTTACTAATGCTTTGGAAGAGCCAGGAACATTCCATGAGCTTCCAGGTATATTTTTAGTCAGGAGTCAGAAGTACGACCCAGAAAATAAGTCTTTACTAAGTACAATCTGACTTTATGTCAAAAGCATAAAATATATATGTAATTTTAGTATAAAAAATGAAAAACAGTTTTCACCTAAATAGTGCCATTTTAAACATTGTCCAAAAGCCATTCCCTGGGTGAAGAATTGTAAAAAGATTTACTGGAAGCAACAAATGTCTTCTAGCCTTTAAAAAAAAATTTATTGCTATATCATGGTTTTACATATTTTGGGAGTATGTGTGATATTTTAATACATATATACAATGCATAATGATCAAATCAGAGTAATTGGGATATCCACTACCTCAAATATTTATGTTTTCTTTGTGTTGGGAACATTACAATTCTCTCTTGATTTACTTCTTATATTCCATTATTTACAAAGTCTCTGTGAAACTAAGAACATGAAATCATTTCTAGGTTAGATCTGAAGAGAAGAAGACATAGAAAGCTCTTCCTTTTAAACTGGGGTGGGGGCAAGAAGGGAGTCAAAGATGTTACTGAAGTAATAATGCATCTGAGCAATATAGGGATTTTCTGAGTGATGAGTCTAATGTTGTATTTTTTCTTAACTTCTTCTGGAATAAGTTTCCAATTTATTAGAGTCCCATCTGTAAAGTAATAGAAATTATCTACTTATAGGCACCAAGAGAAGGAACTTTCCTGGTATGGCAATCTGGTACCTCATTATTTGGTGAAAAATGTCTACACATTCAGAATTATGAATGTCACCAATACGTCTAGAATAAGCATTTGTCACTCATTAATATTCATATTGCTGAAACAAAACAGTTCATACCGTAGCTGCTCATAAATCTGGCAGAAATAGGGGAAAAGAAAAGGGAATGGGAAGAGATAAAGAAAGAAAGAGCTCAGGGATAGATTGAACACAAGAGGGGACTCCATTCATTCAGTCTAACATCTGCTCAGCCTGAAGTGGAACCACCTGTTAGTTTATTAAATTGTAGGATTAATTTATGTGGAAATAAGAGAGGAGGGAGAAAGGAGTCTTTAATTCATACTCCCTCCAAAAAAAATCTTCTATTTATTCCCATCTTTTAAAAGAGCCTTTTATGAACAGTAATTGGTGCCATGAATACCTAGCCCCATTATATAATTAATTTAAGAAATGAAATGTGTTTCATAACTGTTATGTAGGCACATTGCCTATAATGTTTTTGTTGGCCATTTCTTCTGTCATCCTTAAAGAAAAGACCACTGGTACCTCCCTTAGCAATTCCACAACAATAGTAGCAGCAGCAGCAAAATGAGCAAGGCTAAAAATCTATACGGATGTGAGCAACACCAAGGAAGATCTTACCTTCCATGTATTCCCGTTTGTGGGGGATATTTTAATGTCTCCTCAGCAGAACAGATGAGAATAATACAGCTGTAGCTACAGGGTCATAAGAAACCCAGCTCTGAGTAATGCAGAAGTCCCCATTAACCTCTCTGCCTCCTTTAATGAAAGACATGCTGCATTGCTTCCTCCAATATTCTCAAATCTCAGGATCTCAAATTTGCTGAATTAAAGTGGTGGATATTATATCTACGGTTGATTTCCCCCTAAGTTTGCCAAGAATGTCAGATGATCATCAAGAAGCATAAATATGAAAGGAGATTAGAAAAACTATACAAACTTTTATATGAATGTAGATAGATATTTCCTGGTATCTCTCATATGTCAACGTGTCATCTTTTTATAACTTGTGGACTGGTTGTCTAAGTTGATCACAATTACCTAGGGCACTGTATATGACAGCCTCTCCCAAGATTTGATTACCAGCCACAATCATCTAAAATTTTCTCTTAAGAGGTGGGGGCAGGAAGGATTTCTTAAGGAGCTGTATTTTACTGTTTATTCAAACAACTAATGCTGTCCTTTTCTAAAGATTATTTCTTTCATGTAGCCTAGACCTTATGAGATAACTTCTTTAAGCAGTTCTTTTTGTATGATTAAGGTTCATAAACTTCCTTGGGTAAAAATGAGAAGAGATTATTTTAAGTCTCATCCTTTTTGTCTCTTGAAAAAGTCACCTAAAAAATTGAGGCCAACTTTCCATAAAGCTGTTATAAAAGGCAGTGGAGAAGCCAGCTTTCTCTAGGGACTTATCCAATTACACGAACTGCGTGGTCTTACCCTAAGAGACAGGAGAATTCAAAATTGTGTTTCTCTGATTGTGGCAGAGAGTGTAAAGGGAGAAATCTAAGAAATTCAATTATCTCCCTAGGTGTCACTCAGCTTTGGGACTAATATAATTGGCTATAAATAATATGAGCACATATCAGGCAGAACCTCTGCGGGTTTCATTACAAATACCCTTGTCACTGAGTTGCTAACAACTGGGCTTGCCATGTGGGTGAGTGGGGGTTGCAACTGCAAAGAGATTACTTTGCCAACCACTGGTTTTCCTCATTTTCATGGTCTTCTTTACATATTTTAATTAATGTCCCAAATGTAACATTTTAAGTATGTATTGCCTTTTCAGCACACACCAAAATGACCTTTTAAAGTAACTGTTTAAAATCCAAGGCAATGTTTGATTACCAACTCAGTACTCCATAGCATAACGTTTCTCTTTTTCATGCTCCTGAAATTTAATGGAGTTGTGCAATAGCAGGGGATATGAGTATGAATGGTTAATGTAACAGAATTCTCATTTTCAAAGCATTGTGCTAGAGGCCCATTCTGACTGTCTGTGTGGGGATTTCCCTTGACCACATTCCAGTAAAGACTTCCTAGCTGTGAAAAGGGGAAAACTTTGGCTCTCTACTTTATTGATAGCACACAGTAGGCAATTAATACAATTTGCTATTTTTATCCTAATTAAGCCTGTGAAAACCAAAACATGTTGATAGAATGTTTGAACAGTGCCACGAAGGATGAGGGTTTTGTAACCATGCCCACATGGATGGGCAAGCCCATATGTATTTTGAAGTCACCAGTGTTCCAAAGGGTTTTTCAAATGTTTTGAGTTTAACCAAACCCTAAACACATTGTGCCAAGTACTATTTTCCTTTAAATTTCAAACCCATGTGAATTTTAAGGGAAATTAAATCCACATGTTTCTGATTCGTTTTTACTTAAATCATTAAAATGCTGTTTTGGACGAGCCATTTGATTTCCAAGAAGCTTTCCTTCACAAACTCCTTTATGCCTTTTTGGTGTGGGGTCAAAAACAGGAAGTCATACTTTGACAATGATAAATTAATTGTGACATCAAACAGTGCAAATCCAAACCCTAGCACTCTAACAATATTCAGCAGTTGACAGATTCATTTTCCTAATTTTATGTCAGGAAATGCTTGCATTTTTCCTTATTTTCCCAGCATAATTTAAGAAGCAAACTATCTCACCTACAACCACTAGGCTACAGAGAATCCATATCTGGAGTTTTACTGATTTTGCAAAATGAGGCAGCAGCATTATTTTGCAGCTCCATTCAATGTAGACAGTCTTATCCAAGGAAAAGTTAGAAAATACACACAAATTCATCTTCCTTCATCCAGGTTTAACTATCCTGAGTAAGCTGTCTTATAAACGTCATGCAAAACCTTAGAGGAAGTTACCTAGGATATGGCAAGGAAAATAGTCATCATATCGTGAGTCTCATCTCAATCTGACTCTTGATTTCATATTTCCCATTAAGCCCCCTCTCCCCGAGTATTCCCTCTTAAATACCTTTTATTCCTTCCCATCACCTCTAACTATTTATTTATTTATTTATTTATTTATTTATTTATTTTGAGATGGAGTTTCGCTCTTGTTGTCCAGGCTGGAGTGCAATAGCGTGATCTCGGCTCACTGCAAACTCTGCCTCCCAGGTTCAAGTGATTCTCCTGCCTCACCCTCCCAAGTAGCTAGGATTACAGGTGCCCGCCACAACCAGCTAATTTTTTTGTATTTAGTAGAGATGAGGTTTCACCATGTTGGTCAGGCTAGTCTCGAACTCCTGACCTCAGATGATCCACCCGCCTCAGCCTCCCAAAGTGCTGGGATTACAAGCATGAGCCACTGCGTCCGGCACCCTCACCTCTAACTTTAAACTTCACATGCCTTCCCCATCCTTTGGAAAAAAAGAAAAAGAAGAGAAACACTTGGCCTAGTAGCCTCCTCTAGCCATCTTCATGCATCATTCTTTTCTTCTACTCCCAAACTTATAAAACTTAATCTCACTGATCAGCTCTCCTTTCCACCACTGTCTTCTTAACATCTTACTGATAATGTCCAAATCTATGTTTTTAGTGTCAATCTTGAATAGTTACCAAACAATCCCACTTGAATATTTTGCCAAACTTTACTTGATGAAAATTTATACAAAACTTATCCCCTACTGATGAATTCCCCATTTCTATGAGTGTTACTGAGCTTGAAGCTACTTTGTCACATGTCTAGCCAGTAACCATTTGTTGGTAATTTGGTGCAATAATGCAACTTCATTCTCCCCATCCTTTTCATCTCCACCACTCAGCCCTTCACCACCTCTTAATTGTGCCTACTGAATGATCTGTTTGTCTCTAGTTTCCCTTCTGATTCCAGGCTATACTGGCCAACAGATTAATCTTTCTGAAATGCTTGTTGCTGATTTAACTCCCCTATTTGAGAAGGTCATGGTTCCCTGCTGCCAACAGAACAAAGTTTAAATGTCTTAACCTTGCATACTTAAAGTGGTTAAACACTCTGTATAATCTGATTATAACCTAAAGGTTTATGAATTCTCTCTTTAGGGTTAACTGATCAACTAATTGTTCCCTGAACATAATTTGTCCTGTCTGCCACCTTCTGCCTTCCCTCCATTCTGCCCCTAAATCTTACCTATTCAATAAGATCCATTCATCCTCATCCATGAGGCTTTCCCAGATTAGGCTTTCCCAGGAAAAATATTCTCCCCTCCTTTATATTCATAGTCCTATTTTCTCTATTATAATAATTTACCTGCCCATACTTTTCATAGTATTCTGAATTTGTTGTTCTTTTCACACAGTTATGTCTTATGTTCATAACTACACTTTAAATTTCTTGAAGACAGGGTCCATGTATTCCTGAGATGTTTCAATAACTGCTTTATTGAGTAGTCAGACTATTGACAGCAAAAAAATAGGCATCATCTTTAAAATTAAATAGTTACTTAGTTTCCAGTCTTTTAAGTATGCTAAGATGCTTTAGTGTTTGCCTTATATATACCTAAGTACCATAAACCTTTAACATCATATTTTAATACCATGATGTAATAAACTGATGAGAAAGAAAACTACTTCAATCACACCATAATGTGAAATGTTAATTACTAACAGGTGATTTCACTACATCTGAGAAGCACAGGCACACAGAAACATCTAAAGATGGAGGGAATTTATGTGATAAAACGGGACTATACAGGTCAGTGGCAGTCGTCCATATCTAACAATTTAATAGTTATCAATAACAGGGAATGGGAATGTATTCCAGGTTCTGTGCTAAGCTTTTTATATGTATTATCTGATTTGATCTTCACAATAACCCTGTAATGTAGGTATTATCCCATTTTACCAGTGAAGAATGTCAAAGTCTCATAGAAGGTATAGAACTTGCTCAAATACACAGAATCTGTGGAATAGTTAGGCTGAAAGCCCAGCATTAGTGAGATCCAAAGCCAATGATTGTAACTCTCACATGATCCATATCACTCAACTGCATTTGTTTGGAGTATACACTATGCATGGCTAGCCACCAAAAGTTAAGCTTTTCACTTTAAATTTTATTTCATAATACCCTCCTGCCTCGGAAAAATAGATCTGTATATAAAATAACATAAATTTTTATACTTTGGGAGGCCAAAGTGGGAGGATTGCCTGAGACCAGAAGTTCAAGACCAGCCTGGGCAATACAGCGAGACACCCCTCACATCTCTACAAAAAAATGAAAACATTAGCCAGTTGTGGTGGTACATACCTGTAGTTCCAGCTACTCTGGAGGCTGAAGTGGGAGGATCCAAGGGTGCAGTGAGCTATGATCATGTCAATGTGCTCCAGTCTAGGTAACAGAGCAAAACTTGCCTCTATAAAAAATAAAAATATTGGGAGGCCGAGGCAGGTGGATCACTTGAGGTCAGGAGTTCAAGACCAGCCTGGGCAACATGGTGAAACCCCCTCTCTACTAAAAATACAAAAACTAGCTGGGATTACAGGGGGCGATTGTAATCCAAGCTACTCGGGAGGCTGAGGCAGGAGAATCGCTTAAACCCAGGAGGCAGCCTGGGTGAGAGAGTGAGACTCCATCTAAAATAAATAGGCCGGGTGCAGTGTCTTACGCCTGTAATCCCAGCACTTTGGGAAGCTGAGGTGGGTGGATGACCTGAGGTGAGTAGTTTGAGACCCGCCTGGCCAACACGGTGAAACCCCGTCTCTACTAAAAATACAAAAATTATCTGGGCATGGTGGGATAATTATCTGGGCATGGGATTATAGGCCTCTGTAATCCCAGCTACTTGGGAGGCTGAGGCAGGAGAATTGCTTGAAGCCAGGAGGCGGAGGTTGCAGTGAGCCAAGATGGCGCCACTGCACTCCAGCCTGGGGGACAAGAATGAACCTTCGTCTTAAAAATAAATAAATAAATAAATAATAATAATAATACATTTTTATACAATGACTTAAAATTAAGCTTAATTTTAGAAATCCTGAAAATCCAACAACATTTTATAATATCCTAAAACTGAGGTCAAAAGAATTACTGATCTGAATAAAATATAGCACTGCTTTGAATATCATTTGAGGGAGAGTAAATTATATGTGGTCTCATGAAAAATGTCCTAGATGAAGGGTATGGAGAGATTTAATTTCACATCATGGCATTTACACAGATTACTCACTTGGCCAAAGCAGATGGCCTCTGTGGGCCTCTCTTTCCTCATCTTTAGAATAAACTAGGTGATCCTTTTCAGATTTAAAATTCTGTGATCCAACCAACATTCACAAGTCTGAAGTGATGAAGGATATTAAACATTTTCTGGATCTATTCCAAACCCTCAATATAGCATTATATCTAAAATTCAAGCCCTGAGTTGAATTCCCATTTCCAGTGTAATCATGTATTATTAGTCTGTTCTCACGTTGCTGTAAAGAACTACCTGAGACTGGGTAATTTAGAAGAAAAGAGGTTTAATCGACTCACAGTTCTGCATGGCTGGGGAGGCCTCAGGAAATTTACTATCATGGTGGAAGTCAAAGGGGAAGCAAGGCAGGCCTTCTCATGGCCAGAAAATTGGGAAAAGAGGGAGAGCAAAGTGGGAAGTGCTACACACTTTTAAACAACCAGATCTCATGAGAAGTCACTCACTATCATGATAACAGCAAGGAGGAAATCCACCCCCATGATCCAAAGACCTCCCAGCAGGTCCTCCCCCCAACATTAGGAATTACAATTTGACATAAGATTGGGTGGGGACACAGAGCCAAACCATATCATCATGCTTTTAATCATGGTTCACACACAGGAAATCTAGGCCGTAATCATCCATGTATTTGTGGAACTTCCTAATAAACCATAAGCTTTTTGAAGAAAGGGACTGAGTGTTGTTTCACTACAGATCCTCTGTGCCTGATGTACAACACAAGCCTCATACATAACTGGCTGAATGAATAAGTAGGATTTGGGAATCTATAGGTAATTCAGGTAACTACAATAACCTGTGCTAATTCAGGAAAGGAAGAGCTTCAATAAATAATGCCAAAAGGAAATATTTTACCAGAGCAAATAGTAATTGCAAACTGACACAGATTATGCCTCTTCTTATTTAGTAATTCTCAAATGTAGGTTGCAGATGATTAGTAATATGTGGGGGTGCTCCACATCCAATCAAGAATTCCAGACACAGGCAGCATCTACTACAAATGTAGCACTCCTCTTTGACAAACCAGCAGTTAGGGGAGCAACTGTTGCTCTTAATTAAGATCTATTTTTCTTTAAAAAAAAATTTTTTTTTGAGACAGGGTTTCGCTCTGTCACCCAGGCTAGAGTGCAGTGGCGCGATCTCGGCTCACTGCAAGCTCCGCTTCCCGGGTTCACGCCATTCTCCTGCCTCAGCCTCCCAGTGGCTGGGACTACAGGCGCCCACCACCACGCACGGCTAATTTTTTATATTTTTTAGTAGAGACGGGGCTTCACCGTTTTAGCCAGGATGGTCTCTATCTCCTGACCTCGTGATCCACCCGCCTCGGCCTCGCAAAGTGCTGGGATTACAGGTGTGAGCCACCGCGCCTGGCCTTTCAAAATATTTTAATCAAATGTTCATGTATTAGACTTATCAAAAATATGGAATTGGTTGGTCCTACAAAAGATAACAGAAAGTATATATTTCAGAGAATCAACTATAAGTTATTATTATTAGCAAGAAAGGTAATTAAGGTGACCAGACACAAGATCAACATATAGAAATAATTACATGGCAGTTAAATATACTTAGAAAATTTAGTGAAGATAGGATACCTTTATCAATAGAGAGCAGTTGTATGCCATAAAGTACCCTGGCATAAAATGTCCATGCAATGAATAAGAACTATATGGAGAAAATTTTAAAACTTTATGAAGAAACATAAGAGAATATTTTATTAATTGAAGAAGTATACCTAGTTTCTAAATAAAATGACCCAGTATCTTAAAAGTATAAATCCCTTCCCCAAATAAATCTATACACTTAATGCAATCCCAATCAAAATCCTAACAGTAAAATTTTATGAAACTTGACAAGCTGATTCTAAATTTATGTAAAAGAGAAAATGCCAAGAATGTTTGAAAATGAACAATGTGATAGCACTTGCTTTACCAGATATCAAAATATATTTAGAGGTTATCATAACTAAAATAGTATTATATTGATGCAGAAATAGACAAATAGTTCAGTGGAATAGAATAAGGAGTTTTAAAACAGATCTATGTGTTCATAAGAATGTGTTTTATTATATAGAGAGTGTTACAAATGCAAAAGGGAGTGTGGAGACCAAGGTATATACTATGTAATAGTTACTACTTTCTATCGATAAGGGTATCCTATTTTCTACTTTCTATTAATAAAGGTATCCTATCTTCACTAAATTTTCTAAGTATATTTAAATTTTCTAAGTATATTTAAATTTTCTAAGTATATTTAACTGCCATGTAGTTATTTCTGTATGTTGATCTTGTGTCTGGTCACCTTAATTAACTTTCTTGCTAATAATAATAACTTATAGTTGATTCTCTGAAATACATATTTTTTGATATCTTTTGTAGCACCAACCAATTTCATATTTTTGATAAGTCTAATACAAGAATTAAAAGGCGAGGCATGGTGGCTCACGCCTGTAATCTCAGCACTTTGGGAGGCCGAGGTGGGTGGATCATGAGGTCAGGAGATCGAGACCATCCTGGCTAACACGGTGAAACCCCGTCTCTACTAAAAATACAAAAAATTAGCCGGGCCTGGTGGTGGGCGCCTGTAGTCCCAACTACTTGGGAGGCTGAGGCAGGAGCATGGGGGTTAACCCAGGAGGCGGAGCTTGCAGTGAGCCGAGATTGCACCACTGCACTCCAAGCCTGGGCGACAGAGCAAGACACTGTCTCAAAAAAAAAGAGAATTAAAAGTATGAAAAATGAGGTTTTAAATCTTGAGGCAGAAAAAGGCCATTCTAAGCAATATACAAAATTTACAAACCACAAAAAAAATCAGTTTTGAGTACCTCGAAAATTTAAATTTCTATACAAAGAAAGATGCCATAGACAGAATTAGAAGATAATCAACATTCATCAAAAGACACCATTAGGCAAGAGGCAAGCCACAAAGTAAAAGACTATGTAAATAATCCCTACAGATCAATTTTTAAAGCAGATAATCAAACAAAAAATGGTTAAGGTATTTAGATCATATGCCTCATGTGAGACATTTCACATGAGTAAATATTCAAATAATCAATAAACATATAAAAGTATTCAATCTCATTGGTCATCAGGGTAAGGTAACCTCAGTAAGAATACCCATCAGAATGTCTGAAATGAAAAAGACCAACAGTTTTATGTATTGGTAAAGAAGGGTATGGAGCAAGTGAAAGTCTTGAACACTCCTGGTGAAAATGTAAATTAGTACAATCTCTTTGACAAACTGTTATCTACTAAAATCAAACATACATACTGTCCCTGGTGTATTCCCAACAAAAATGCAATTCACCAGAAACTACGCATAAGCAAAGCATTTATCATATTATCTCAAAACTGGAAATAATCCAAAAGTCCATCAACAGTAGAATGAATAAATTGTTTCATATTCACACAATGGAATATTATACAGCAATAAGAATTTTTAATTAATTCATTTATTTTTGGTATATAAGTTCCTCTACTCACTTGTTCACTTTTAAAATCAGCCCCAAGCCATACTCTGGCATCTAACCCGTTATCTAATTATGTGACTAGAGACAATGTATGGAGAAGGGAATGATGAGTACCTGCATTCTTTTACAAGGTACTTCTCTCAGGTGGAAATGTGATAATAGCCTCATCTGACATGGAGGAGAAGCTGCTCAATCTGGAGAACAAGGGAACTTTACATGGAATTCGGGCTCAGCATAATCCAGTCATCTGAAATCTCTTGTATATCTCTATTCCAGTTCTCTTTCATTCTTTTACTGAATAATTACTTTCACGTAAAGGATCCAACTAAGCTATGAATTCAACTGATGGCACACGTTTGGCATCTCAAAGGATTAAATCTTTATTTGATATTGAGTAACATTAGTCCTTGGGTTTCAAGAAATAAAAGACACTTTTAGCTTCATCTAAAAGTCTTCTAGTCTTGGAAAGTCTTCATGAAATTATTGGAAGTCGTCATGAAAATCTTCTAGTTTCACCCCAATGCCTTGAGTCAAAACTTAAGAGACTTGACTTATTTATTTTATTTAAGATGCCCAGGGCCCTGGAGCACCTATCCTACTCATAGTCTTGAATTTCTCATGTCTCCTCATACTACCTTGTGACAATAACAAAATTTTTATCCACAGTCTTATCCTCAATAGACACTTCATTCTAGATCACCACAAGCAATAATTCAAATAATTTTACATCATAATAGTTGTTTCACCACCCCTTGCCACGGTCTGCCAAATTCAAATCTTTGAATACCAGTAGGATTCCCATTGCCTTCATCCCCCTTCAGGCTATGTAACCAATTCCAGCTCTTCCTCAGTTCCTTGAGGGTCTTTTGACTATGATCTACTCTCTTGTTAATTACTATAACTTTTGGAGTTTTTATTGCAATCAATAGAAATGATCTCTGGCTAACATAAGCAAAAAGAATTTTTAGAAGGCCATCAGGTAGCTCACCACATCAATGGAAAGCTTGGAACTTGAGCAAGAACAAAGGGAGATTAGACAGCCAGAAACAGTCTAGTAAAGACACAGCCTATGGCACTATCAGAGCCACTACAGAATATTAATCAACTATCCCTGTGGCTTTGCATCATTTCCTCAAGCTTCAGTGACTTAGGCAAGAGTAGCAAATTAACCAGGCCAGGATGCTAGGATGTTTCAATAAAAAACAAAACAAAAAAGACAAATGTCTATTAAGTAACTCAATGGAAAAATAAGCAAGTATTTTAATGGTTGCTATGTAAGAAGATAGATTAATAAATGACCAATAAACATATAAAAATATTTTACCTCACTATAAAAATGCAACTTGTAAGAAAAGTTATAATTTCTCATCCAAAAAACTGACTGAAAAATTAGAAGACTAATAATATCCTATGTTTGTGAATATGGAAGAAAAAATGCATATTTTACAATATACACATTCTATGGTAACATAGATTGGTACCGTCTTTTGGAGAGGCAAATTTTTATTATCTATCAAAATCTACATGTACATCTTTTGCCCCAGAAATTTGACTTCTAGTAATACAACCTAGAGAAATATTCACATGTTCATAAAGATAGATCTACACAGATGTTCACTGTAGCATTGACTGTTACTGTACAATTGGAAACAACCTAAATGCCCCAAAATAAGAGTCAGTTTAAATAAATTATTACACATTCCTACACTGGAAGTCTATAAATAAACAGACAGATCTCTATATACTGCTTGGAAATCTCTCTTAGGTATACTCTTAAGGAAATGAGACAAGTTGCAGAATAAAACTTATAATCCCATTATATGTAAAATAAAAAATAATGTGTTTGCATCTATGTAAACAAAAAGAAGGCTGTAAAAAAGGCACACCAGACTCTTAACAGTTGCTACATCTAAAGACCTAAAGGCCTTCCACATTCTATTCTATGAACTTAGGTATTTTGTGAATGTTTTTATTTTTTATTTTATTTATTTTTTAAATTATTTTATTTTATTTTATTTTTGAGACAGAGTCTGCTCTGTCACCCAGGCTGGAGTGCGGTGGCATGATCTTGGCTCATTGCAACCTCTGCCTCCTGGGTTCAAGTGATTCTCGTGCCTCAGCCTCCCAAGTAGGTGGGATTGCAGGTGAGCACCACCATGCCCAGCTAATTCTTGTATTTTTAGTAGAGACGGGGTTTTGCCATGTTGGCCAGGCTGGTCTCGAAATCCTGACCTCAAGTGATCCACCCGCCTCAGCCTCCCAAAGTGCTAGGAATACAGGTGTGAGCCACTGCACCAGGCAGAATTTTTACAAGAAGAATGTACTCATCTTTCATTTCTATAGTAAGAAATGTAGAATGCATGAGGCTAGTAGATAAAGCTGAAAAAGGGGACTAGGTTCAAGCAGCAGAGATGCAGGCCTGGAATTATAGTCTTTCCTGGAACTATATGGATCAAAAAGAAGCAGAGTTCATAGTTAGCTGTGGCACATGTTTGAATCTTTACTCCACAACTTCTCAGTTGTGTGTTAGCAGGAAAATTACTTAACCTCTCTGAGCTTCAGCTTCTCCCATCTGTTTATAAAATAAGAATAATCATAGTATCTATCACAGAGTGGTTGTGAGGACTAAATGAAATAATTAAAATGCTCAGTACTGTGCCTAACCCATTGTAAGAAAGTCATGAATGGTGGCATGCTCTCACTCACTCTCTCCCTTGCCTCCCTTTAACAAAGTAAGGGGAGTATAAAGCATTACCCTTTATTTTGACAACATCTTCTATTCAAGTACTCCCACTATATAAGAAATCATTTCTATAGAAGATTTTTGTTGTTGTTATTGTTATCTCCTCAGTTTTCAACTCATTTTGACTTAGGCAGGATCATATTAATGATCCCCACTTTCTCAGATGAAGGAACTAAGTTCCCGAAAGGCCCGATGCCTGGCATAGGTCATAGGCTTCACCACTGAAGAGTAGACTCACCACTCCTGCAGAAGCTCCCAGGCACCCAAGGCCACCCTTTTTCTAATCAAACCTTAATAGGTGCTGCTTCAGGGCATGTAGCAGAAGACCTTTAGTGGAAGAAAAACATAAGCAATTTGTTAAAAATATTTTTGCACAGCAAACCATGCATAGCTTTGGGTTTTACCCTTAAAAGCCTCTTGTTTTAAAAAAGAAAAAAATAATCCAAAATCTGATCAATAGCAGAGAAGCTGTAATACTGATCTCTTTCACCAGAGATATTTACAACCGAATAGGGCTTTGGAGCCAAGATTCTAACAGCAATGAAAATGATGTGGCCAGAGAAAGGGGTAAAGAAAGATGTCGGCGATAACATCCTTGGGATAACTCTAAGCTCCATTACACTATCCAAAAGAAATATAATAGGATTTGAGGCCCAATTATTACTTCCTCCATCTAACCCCCTTCATTTAACATATCATTAGTATTTTTAGACGAGTCCCTCAGGGCTCTCACACTTTCGTAGGTGAGTCAGACAGCAAGAGCAGTGGCAGCTATCCAAGGAAACTGATCCTTCCTTTAATGCTCCCTTCTGGTTACCTGCTATAATGCAATTATCATGTACTGAAGCAATTTTCGGGAAAATGACTTGACAAGAAGAACTCTGTCATTTTATAAACAAGAACAAACGTTGTAATTGGATCTTAATTACACAATGTTCTGAGAGGTTATTTTTATTTCTTTGTTTGTAATGCAATTATTTAGCTTCCCTATTTTAGCCTTGACCTTGCAGGGAGAGGGTATTTTCCAGTCAGCATAATGCTTTATCTTTGAAAGCTGCAATCAATAAGGATAATTAATGATGCCGGCTGCAATGATAGCCTCAGCAATCATTATCCCACATTAATCCCTGCAGTCAGGCTGGGGTCAAGGCCATCTAAATCATTCACCCAGGGGTGGAGAAATTCAAATAATTTACCAATTTAAATCCTTGCAAACAAATCCCACTTTATTTTCAAAGCAGTTTGAATGCTGGCTGGGTTTGTTTTGTGTATTTTCACTGGGTGCTTTTTTTTTTAAATGACAGAGTATATACTTTATATTAGCATTGCGGTTTTGCTATGTTTGTGTTTTGATAAATTAATGTAAAAACATGCAGCACATGAATGCTACTGAGCCTGGAGGTACATGGCACATCTAGCATTTCAAACATTGTCCCTAGCTTTAAAAGAAGAAGGGGGAGAAAGAGAAATGTGAGAAATAGGGGAGGGGAAAGAAAGGAAAGGGAATGGAGGGCAGAATGAGATCCAGTGGCTCAGGCTAGCAGAGACCCTGGGAAGAAGGTTGAAAAATTACAAGTTGGAAAATCTTTGAGGTGAAACTGCAGGCTTATTCAGTATTGTGGAGAAAGAGGACTGTTGGATGTGAAACTTCATGGTGGATCTTGCAGAACAACCTCTGTTAAGGTCTATTTCTTCCTAATTTTTGCCTTTTGTACCCTGCCTTTCCCAAACAGGCAAATTGGATGACTTGATGTATGCTTCTAATTGTCTGCAATAGATCACACCCTGTTATGAAGAATTCCACTGTGCTCCCTGATATTTTTCAATGATTTAATTTTAATTAATGTTTTGCTATAAATCATACGCCTAGTCGGAATACACTGAAGATGATACCAAATTGATGCCTCATCTATGTGTGTGCCTGTGTGTGTGTGTGTGTGTGTGTGTGTGTGTGTTTCCAGAACTGAAGTAGCAAGTGAAGAGTTATTTTATTCCATTGGGTCTCAATAAATATTTGATGATATGATTTGGCCTAGTTTACCTCAGTCCCCTTTTATAAAGTCATGTAACATATAGGAAGAAATCGTAGCAGCTGAAGTGAACTTTCCTGGCACAGTAATTAGGGACTGGATGTTTGTGGGGGTTGGAGATGGAGGACAGCCGAGAGATAACTGCTGCAAGCAGAGTAAAAGATCTGGAAAGCACTCAGCCAGAGTCCCTCTCTCCCCTCACCCGTGGGAAGTTCTCTGCAAAGACTGTGTTGAAAGCTGCTGAGAATTTATCACCCGTTGCTTTTTCATTATGAACAATGCCTGCTAAAGAGAAAGCACTTAACATGTCTGAGCACCATTATTATATTCACGATAAGGAATTCTTTCTAATGAGATTTTATCACTTTATTGCCCATCTTCCAAATGCAGATCCTTGTTTCATCCTGGCAAAGGAAAAAACAGAAGATATTTTAGGGGTCTTGGGATAATGTGAGTGGAAGGAAGAAGTGAGTAAAACTGAACTAAGAAGAGGAAAGTGAATATGTATTTGAACATGGAAAAGCACATGTCATTCTAGATTGGACTATAAAATAGCATGTTCCCTTCCAGCTCTCCAGCAGTCTACTCACTTGCCATCTGCCTTTCTAGGCTTGTGATTTTTGAAAAAGAACCCAATCCTCTTCTATCTTCACTCTACCTTCTCTGGCCTCTTCACCTTGCATTTCTTCAATAAGCATTTGTTGTTGTTGTTGTTGAGCACCTACAAGCAGAGCTGGCTATGTAATTTGCAGACCCACTGCAAAATGAAAATTAGAGGCCTCACCCAGGACAGTGAAGTCAATCTCCATTGCCCATGAGCCAGCCACCCCAATCCATAACAGACAGGCATCCCCATCAAGGGACTGCAACCTTTGCACTAGAGGCACTGGCACCTGAATCTAGTAGTGGAAGAGAGGCCCCTACAGAGTCATACACCAAATTCACCATGGAGCTTCCAGCCTGGGAAAGGTACAGCCACTGCCTTGCCCTATCTAAGACACCATGAGGCACACATTCAACTGTAAACCTTCTCTACCCATGCCCAGGCCCTGCTGAGGGCTCAGAGTAACAGTAGAATGTGAGTGTCTTCCTACCTCAGCAGTGTGACCTGGTTAGTACCTCAAGCAGAAGGCAGCAGCAGTATTAGGACAAGTAGGGAAGTGGAGGATAGGCAGGGCCAGAGCACCAAGAGGCATGAAGCAGGCAGTCTAGAGCCCATCCTGGAGAAGTGGCAAGGCAGTGTGAGCCCAGGCATTGAGCCCCCTGACACACACCTCACTGTCCCATTGGACTTCACTTACACTAACCCAGACAAATACAAATGTAAAGATAAAATTATTAAGAACTTCAAGACAGCAACTGTAGTGCAGTTAACCCCAAACACAGGACCTTTCTGAGAACAGAGCCCTTGTCAATTGCACTGACCACTCACCCATGTGGCTGTTCTTCCTACTATGTACCAGGGGGAAGACCCATAGAAGGAAAAGACTCAAATGCCTGATCTCTAGAAGCTTATAATCTAGTAGGAGACACAGGCATTTAAAAAAAAAAAAAAGCTACATCACAATGAGGGTGTAAGTCATTGACCACCAACTGTGTCCCCAGGCACTGTACCGAGCACCTTACATGGATCATCAACATAATTCTCACAATGACCTCATGAGGCAGCATTATTATTATTACCCCTATTTTCTAAATTAAAAAAAAAACAAGGTTTAAGAAGTTAAGTAACTTCCTCAAGGTCATATAACTGGAAAGAGGCAGCCCCAGGATTTGAATGCAAAATAGATGCTCCTAAGCCTACTACCCTGCTGCTTCCCTTATCAGAGAGATTTGTGCAAAGTACTCTACAGAGAACCCAGATGTCACTAGCACTGCCCTGCAGGAGTTGAGAGAGGCACTAGAAAAGTGACACATTTGAGCTAGATTCTGAAAAATGAGCTGGAATTTACCCATCAGAGAAGAAGGAATGATGGGCATATAGACATAGGAGGGCATAGAAAAATCAGGAAATTCTTATGGATGAAGCAAGGGATACATGGCAGAAAGCATAGGGGAATAAACCTGGGGAGCAGAGTGAGCCCATACAAGAAGCACGTCCTGTTAAGGCCTTGGGCAGTGGGGAACAGTGACAGTAAGATGGGTGGTAGGTAACATGATCAGATTGCTAATCTCTCAAGCAGCCCGGCCAAATTTATATGGAACACAAAGAAGAAAACACAAAAATGATTATCTTTTTTTTTTGGAAATCATTCTCAACTTATGCCAAGGATTTTGCAGAGGCCCTGCAAGAGCAAAGTCATTCTTCCAGAACAGCTGCCAACTCAGAGAAGAAAAGGCTGAAGAATGAGTGAAGACATACAAGTCATTGGGAAAAACCCCTAAAGAGAAGGAAAACCTAGGGTGGTCAGAAATGTGAGCTCATTCCCATGACAGCAGAAGAGAGGGGCCGTGGAATAAGGCCTCTTCTGGTAGCTATTGTACTGAGATATTGTTACTGGCCAGACCAGTGTTTGAAATGAACTAATATAATGGAGCCAACTATGGCATCCCAAAGAGTTACTTACAGCCAATCAGTGACCCCAAACTGGATTGGAGTCAAATAATGTCAAGTTTAATGCTGGCTTTGCCTCTAATAAGCTCTGCAATCTTGGGCCTGGACAGCTACTTATCCCAAAACATTTTCCCAGGAGACAGGTGGCTGAGACAAGGTGAAGATACACATTAGAATCAGACAGATCTGATTTCAAATCCCAGCTCTGTCACTGGCCAGTTGCATGACTTTGGGCAAGTTATTTACCCTCTAGAAGACCTGGTCTCCTGATCTGTAATGAGGATAAAAATTTTAACCATAAAAACATATTAGAAGTATGAAATTATATAACAAAGTAATGCGTGCCTGGAATACTACACAGCATGGTGCCAAAAACTCTCAGTTGCCCTTATCTTTTCTAGTCTTCGTTGTTCTCATCTGTGGTGAGAGGGAGCACTAGACAAACTCCAAGTAGCCCCCTAGCTCTACCATTCCTTGACTCTAAAACCTTCCTCCGTTTCCATCTTTGAGCACACTTTTCACACCACGCTGTGTCCTAGAGACAGAATGACTAGTACTGTCTCTGCCCCTGTGGAGTTTAATATTCTGGCAAAGAAGCATTTTTTAAACCAATTATTTGTGAGTGATAGCAAGGAGAATGAGTTGCCCAACAGTAGTTTTTATAAGCTGGGCGGGGGGGGGGGGGGCGGGGCTCCCTCTCTCAAAATGTCTTTCCTCATACCTGAAAAGTTTCCTTTTGAGAGTCAATCCTTGGAAGTTTGAATTATTGAATGGGAGATAAAACACCTTAAGCTATTCTTGGCTAATGGTTTAGAGTGATTGGTTAACAGTGAGGTAAGAGCTGGAAGGGAATAGGGATAGCAGGATAGAGGCCTAGAGCAAGGGCAGGGGTAGGAAGGCATCAGAGAGAAGATGAGTGCCCCACGCAGAAGACTGAGCATCTGTGGCGTTTGTGCTAAGTGGCTGAACTCCCCTCTCCCCGGCTCACCTAAGGACCAACCTCTGTGGCCAAGTTTGAGAATCCAGCTATGAATTCCAATTTTTTTACTGAACAAGCTCCACAACCTAAGCATTTTAGTTCCCAGCTTTATCTGGGCTTATATTAACTCCATTCAATACAAAATAAAACCGAGAGGCTGAGCACGTACTTAATTTTCTTCACTCTTTTATGTTTTAAGATCTTAATTTGTCTAAAGGCTTTAGATTTTTTTCCTTAAAATTTTACCCTCTCTTCATACTTAGATTCATTAGTTTGGAATGTGATAATAGTTGTGGTGAAAGCTGGAAACTGTTGGGATTTTCTTGTCTTTAAAAGTTCAAAGGAGATGCTCAGAAATGAGTCTCCTGTATCAAAAAGTGAACAGTGATAACCAAATTAAATTAGTCCAGGAGCTACATCTAAATCCACATGTCCATTCCTTTGCAATGTTTGCTACTTGAGGAATACAATGTCTTCACATTTCTCTGTGAGAAATAAAAAGACCCCCCTCACACTGTTCAGTCCTAAACATAAGATCTGGGATTTTGCCAGCCTCTCAATCACTTCCTGATGGCTCTCAATGCTGAATTGGCATTTCTTTGGCCTTGGGAAGAAATCAGAGGGTGTACTGGCTGCTTTCCAAACGAGACATAGAAGCAGAAGAAGGGTGGAAGGGGAAATGCTTCCCATAGCATTGAATTTTTAAAACAGTGAATCTTGCCGCTAAAACATTTTAGGCTCCTCCTCCTAATTCTTTCAGAAGCATGGTCTGGTCAATAAATGGTAGCTGTGCCCCTAATATTACACACATGGTCACTTAACTTGAGCAAATTCAGCCACACACCAGAGACAGAAAAGAACATTCTGTTGTGAAGGCCACACCAATTGCCATTCCACTCAATGCACATGGGCCCAAAGGACGACATATGAGGGTTGCATCTGCTGCCATTCCCTTCGCTGGTCTCAGGTCTTATAACCTTTCTCATTATGTGTCTTCTCCTGCTGAATGGATCTCTGGTGCTTTAAGTTTTATTTTGTTTGTTTTTTATGTCTCCTAAATGTGAGCCAATCTCAGTTCTTCACCTGATGTACAAGCAAAGGAAAAGTCTACGTAAGACACTTTTGCAGGGCAATTTTGACCATACTCAATCCTCGCCTTATCTATTGCCTTTGAAACAAAAATCCTCCATGAGTGGTGCCTCTATTTTCCTTCCCAACTCAGGTTCTGGGCATCCACAGTGCACCAAGGAACAGAATGTAGCACCAATTCTTAAAATATCCTAGTCGGAAAGAAATTTAGAAGGCATGAAGTCTAAAAGACGCCAGCATCATGGAAGTGTCTTGCACAAGGTCCCACCTGCAGAGAACAGAGATAGAATTCTGGCCTCTGGTGCTTATGCTGCATTTGAGAGAAGCACTTTGTGTTTTATTTATACAAGGCTGTTATTCAACTCAGCCTGTGGTGTCTGTAGTAGATTACAAACAATTATCAAATTTGGAGTGATCATCATCAATTGCAAACAACAAATAGAAAATCAATCAAGCTTCTATTAGAGGTGCCATGTGATGCATTCTTTTCCTGCTAATGATAAGTCTCTGAAAATGCAGTGCTATACTCTAGAGAGTACACTCAAAATCAATCAATCAATCAATCAATATGTAATGCAGATCTTTTATATCTTTTACTATACACAAAACATGACGCTGACTGATGTGGTAAAAACATAACAATATAAAACAAAGTTTCTGTTTTTGTAGGGCAAAAACTGGGTAAAATACATATACATCTATGTATGTGTATATACTTATATATGAAGTAGCAATGAATTATAAAAAGCTGCCTGTAATAAGTGCCACAGGAGATTGAGGGACAAAGATGTCATTGTAAGTTGTGACAGGCTTTTCTGGAGGAAGGAGAATTTTGGATCTGTGGATAGAATGGGATGGGATGGGATAGGATAGAATAGGATAGGATAGGATCAGGTGGTAAGAGATGAGAGAGTGGCATGAGCAAAGGTGAAGAAATGTGAATGTATATGACAGGTTCAAGAATAGTGTACTATGTGGCTGAAGTGGAGGGTCTTGTGAGAATTCGAAATACTTGCTGAAGGAATTGAGACATACCCTATAAATAATGGTGATTCATCTAGGGTTTATCTAACCAGGTGAATGAATTTTTGCAACTGTGTTTTAAGAAGATACACATGGCTTTGGAATATGCAGTGGGCTGCAGGTAGACGAGAAAAGAGAAAGAATTATTAGGAAGCTATTGCGATAGTGTAGCATGAAAGGATGGGGGGCTGAAGGAGGGTGTAGAGTGTTGAATAAAAAGAATAGGATGGATATGAGTGCCATCAAATGTGAAAAACTGAAAAATCTAGGTTCTGGTTGGTATATGAGTGACAAGGGAAAGCCAAAAATGTAACCTCCCTGATGATAGAAATGGAGCCATCCAGTGAGG
Organism: Homo sapiens; assembly: GCF_000001405.40. Lineage (NCBI taxonomy): Eukaryota > Metazoa > Chordata > Mammalia > Primates > Hominidae > Homo > Homo sapiens. The sequence continues at coordinate 157,863,420 of NC_000003.12, forward strand.
GAGCTGGTTTGGGAGAAAGAGAGAAAAGTCTGTTTTAAGTATATTAAAGCATTTAATTTAGGTGATGCTGGGACATTCTAATGAAAATGGTCTACAGAAAGTGAGATAGCTGAGATTGGAGTTCAGACATTGGGTTAGGACTAAAAGATACTGATGTTGTGGGTTACCTACAGAGAGTGGGTCTAAAGTGGGATGGTTTGCTAAGGGTAAGAATGAACAGAGAGAGAGGAGCAGATGTGACTCTCACCCTAATAGAGGTGTCTGCTGTAGTTGTTCCCTACTTATGACCATCCTCCATAGGAGTCTTAGCCCTGACCACTTAATTTCTGCCCCTAAACTAAGTATGATAATAACATTAGAATCATCTGGGGACTTTATGAAAATACAAGTATATAGCTTCCCACTCCCAGATATTCTGACTTAATTGGTCTGGGGTCCAGGCATTTGAGATACTTCTAAAGCTCCCTGTGTGGTGATAGTATGATGGTTTTGTTTAAAAATGAAGTCATCATTTTTAGAGATACAAAATGAAATATTTGGAGATGAAATGATATTATGTCTGGGATATACTTCAAAATAATGAGGCAGGTGTGGGAAATGGATAAAGTATAGAAAAAAGATTGGCCATGAGTTGACAACAGTTGAAGCTGAGTGATGAATATGTAAGGATTCATTATATTTTCTTGCTACTTTCACATACATTTGAAATTTTGCCTGACAAAAAGTTTAAAAATAAATCAATAAAAGCTTCCCAAGCAACTCCAAGGTGGACCCAGTGTTGAGGACCCCCCCGGGATATAAGTGGAGTTTTTTTCCTGGATCCTTTAACTCCATCAGCTATCACTGTCAAACTTCCATGAAAATCCCCTACCAGACTGAGAGCAAAGCTTTCTTGCTTCTTCTATTTTTTTTCTTATCTAGAGCTGAGGACAATATAGCAATCTGAACTCCCATTTCAAATTCCCTACAACAAAACTGACAGTACTGGGAGAATTGCTTGTGGAGATGGAAGAATTACCCCCAGCTGCATTTTAAAATCCCTGATTACAGATAGCAGAGACAACATACCTGATACATTTGTTCTAAATCCTGTGATTGAAAAATAAGCACTTCTTAAAATTGTTCTACTGTACACACATGCTTCCAAAAGAGATGAATTATAATTCTCCTTCCCAATTCATCCATACATACTAGGTAAAGAAAAGGAGACAACTCACAAACAACTAAAATTCAGATAAAACCCTGCTTACTGTTATAAATAAGGCCCCACTCAGTTTAGTTCCACTTTTCCCGTGTATATTTCCTTAGAACAGCATTTTAAAACAGCAAATTGAGCTCCTTCAATCAATTGGGACCAGTTGGTGAATCAGGAGCACTGACTTTTTAAAAAACACGAAATAAAAGAGAATAGAAAAACATCACATGTGCTAGCGTATAAGTAATTATATGTATATGTGTGTGTGTGTGTGTGTGTGTGTGTGTGTGTTCACTTGGCCTTAATGTAAAATAGTCAAAATAGTTTTAAATCCACTGCTTTGAATTTCATTTCTTATGTTCAATTTCACAGTAAACCCTCTTTCTTTTCATTTGAGGAGGAAGCAGGGAGGTCTGGAGTTGGGACAGACCAGGGTAATGGAAGACATCAAGAATCTGAAAGATGAATGAGATCAAGACTTAGAAACAGGCAGTCAAGGGAGGAAAAACAAGTAGCAAAGCTGGATCTGGCAAGTACAGTAGGTCAAATACGACACTGAAGATGCCAGGCAAGTCCAGTTGAAGGACTAGGTTCCATGTCTCTGGAATTTCTATATTAGAGGGAGCTCAGAAGTGGCAATCTCATTGGAAGGGGTGTTGGTGGCTTAAAGCTGTATGTGCATAGTAAACTTGGATTGTATCTTCTCAGGGTGGGTCTATTAAGTTGTGATGAAAATTATGAGGAAACTAAAGCACCCCCAACCCACGCCACCAAGTCATCCCCTTGGTACCACCTCTAGACCAAAGGAAACAGATGTCAAAGTCTAAATGAATTCTGAGGCCCAGGCCCCAGATGAAATTCTTACCCTGGCCCTGCTGCTTCTCCAGCTGCCTTCAGGAATGCCCTCCCCCACCAGCAGGGGGCGTGGCAGCCTCGGAGGAGGCCCACTCACTGGCCACCCCACAGGGAGTTCTGCGTGAGACCTAACAACTACCTGAAATAGGCCACTAACAAAGCCGACAGGGAGTAGAAATTGATGTAAGAGATATTACCGAGGTGGAACTGACAGCTCTTAAATTTGCTGGAAGTAGGGGGTTGGGTAGTAAGATAGACAGAGCACTCTGAGATGGCTAAGCAATGTGGAGTCTGAGTTACTGGGTGGTCTTCCCTTTGGACAGGCTGCGTCCCAAGGTCACAGGGCTACAGTGAGTTACTCACCGGGGACAGCCTGAGTGAGTCTATTAGAAACAACTCAGGAAGACATAATGGGATTGAAGATCTCCACTGTGAGGGTCAAAGAACTGGAGCAGAAAATTTGCTTTACAATAATCAAAGACTATTAGGACCGTCATGCTGCATCATAATAATATATCCAAATCCTGCATGTGGCCACATGAGACAAGGTCTGTAAATCCACTCAGCCCAGTACACGGCTCCTAATAGAGGGTCAGTCTATGCTAGTTTCATTCCAGTGTATCATGTCCAGTCACCAAAACATGGACATCATACCATTTGAGTCTCAAAACAACCATGTAAGAGAAATAAAAGAATAACGTTAACTCCATTTTAGAGTATAAAACTAAGGCCTCCCTCATTTAAGTGATGTTTCACAAACCCAATAAGGAGGGTTTTGACTTTTAACTTAAGTTTTCTACTGCCTCACTTTGTGGAAAACCAGCATAGGGAGTTTACTCCAACATTCAGGACCAAGGAAACATGGATCAGTTCCTGAGAAATAAGAAATCATTGGTATCAGACAAATTCAAGTAAGCAGCTCCATGTATGTGGCTAAGTAAGTAGTGGATTATTTAAACTCTTGCAGAGATATTGCTTATCAGCTGACAACAAACCTGAGGGTGCAAAACAAAGCCTCAGAAGCAAACAATCGAAGAGGAAAACAATCTGGCAAATATCATTAAACTATTTTTAAAATAGTGTATCTTTTAAACTAAGGGATGTTGTACAAATACTTTTATATTTTATTCACATATTTGTTATTGCATTTTTCCTATTCTATATTTGATTTGTTCATTATAAATTGAAGTTAAATATGCAAATACAGAAGCCCCTGCCTCCTGGTACCTGAAAAGGTTTTAAGTCCCCTTAAAATATCGACGTATCGACATTATAAGTAGTGAAGGATAAAAGTTTCTTTTTTTTTTTTTTTTTGGAGATGGAGTCTCACTCTATTCCACCACGCCCAGCTAATTTTTGTATTTTTAGTAGAGACAAGGTTTCACCATGTTGGCCAGGCTGGTCTGGAACTCCTGACCTCAGGTGATCTGCCCACCTCGGCCCTCCAAATTACTGGGATTACAGGCGTGAGCCACTGCTCTTGGCCTGATAAAAGTTTCTATTATCACTTCAACACCAAAAAGAAATGAAACTAAAATGAGAAAAAGAAAACAAGTCTGATCCTATATATAACAAAGTATAGATGACAATTGCAACTAGTTGCCAATTCTTGGAAGGAACAAAAAAATGTATCAGGTGTTGATTGGTTTCTCTGGATTTAATACAGCTTTCATTCAAACCAATAGCAAAATAACAGCATTCTTCACTTTATCCATGCCCAGAAGATCCCAGGAAAGGTCAGAAATTTTCACAAATATACCCAAGAACTTCAGCAATTTTTCCAGGAAAATAAAATGAGGCTTCAATGATTTTCTTTTGAATGTCCATGGTGAAGTCATCCCTGTTGACTTTCTCATTGCTAACCCTGACAGATCCTCATTTGTCAATGATTTTACATGTGATTCAAATAGTCTTCAAACATCACTTTTCTCAACTTCATGAAATCTTGCACATTTTGCAAAATTTCCCATTTCCCTCTGCCGTCAATTTCCCTTGTGTTTTCACATTATTGTCAAGGGTTTGTCACATCAGGAAACCAGCAGGAGCCAACAGACAAGGATGCTGATGCCATGAGCAGAGATAGACACTAATGTTGAATGGGAGCTAATAGGAGGTCATTTATTAATGTTTTATGTTACAATAACTTTTACTCAAGACTAAAGAAGCTTAGATATTGGATACTCAGATGATGTTCTCTCGTAATTACTTTGTCTTGCATCCATGTGGTAAGTGTGGAATGAGATAGCCCATGCCTGCAGAATCTGAGGAACTCATGTCCAAAGCCTGTCCCTTTCCACCGCCACACACCGTCTCCATCACAAGTCATACTCATCACCTGGCACCACAGAGAAAGGTGTGAGGGTATATTCAATAGCCCCAGTAGGAAATCATTGTACTCACACCCCAAATCATATGAGAAACATCTAGTCATAACGCTGACCTGACCTGCTCACAAGGGCTCCATCCTATGGACACCAGCACTGTTGCCCAGGCCTGCTCTGGGTCCCAGTCTTCCTAGTGCTGTCCTTTGGAGACACATAACTTGGCTTCTCTCTTACCAGCTGGGCAAAGAGTGAAGATGGTAGCTCATAGGAATTAGTAGATGTGAGGAAAAGGAATCACTAGTCCTATCTGCTATGATCCATGAATAGGGACAGTTTTACATGTGTGTCTAAGGAAGGCAGTTTAGAAGAAAGGAAGATAAGGCCAATCACATGAGCATTTCAGCTCATATTCTTGAGAACCAGAGACATCAATAGAATTAGAACTCTAGGCCTGGGAGTCAGGAAGCAATTACTTGAATAACAGTCTTTCTTTTGGCTACCACATCAGCAACAGTCTCTCTTGTGACTTTTTAACTTAAGAACAGATTCTGGTTGAATGAGTCATCTTCTTTTTAGGCCAAGAAATAGAATTGCTGAAATCCTTAGGGTAACACTTTGGAGAAGTGGTCCAAAACTAAAAACTTGTAATTCTAGCCAATCACATTCTCTGCAAAGCTCACTGAGACAAAGTTTCCCAGTTGACAAATATGGTGAGGGCTTAAAATAGACAGTGCTCTGGAGGTAATGAAATCTCTCACTTTCGTATTTAGCATTTCTAGTTGATTCCAAGGATGGCAAAGCCATAAAACAAAGAAGCCTGTTTCAAGGATGGGTAGATTTGGGGAGAAGCGTGTCCAGTGTTGAATATATGTTAACTAAATTTTGGTCCCTAAGTGCTTGATAACATTATCACAAGAAAAACAACATAGCATCTATTGGTAGTGAATAGGAGTGATATAAGTTCCAAGCAGGACATTTATTGGAAGGCAGAGACAGAAAATGTAGTCTGAAATAAATGTACTGCAAATAAATGAAAATTATGTGAAAAGACTGAAGATGGCTACCTGCATAATGGGCCACTTCCACTAATTAATCACATACCTGCCTAGTCTAATTGCAGTGAGACTGGGAAATTTGAGTGAGTACATGGAATATTTGATCATCATTTACTATATCTGCCATGGCCCACCCTTTTCATCACCAAATATTTCTTTGTTTCTTTCTTCCAACACAGAATAGCCCTAATTCCTCCACAGGGGAGACCGGCCAAAGTTCCATCCATCCACCATTGCATCCAGTTCAAAGTTTAATCCTTCTGGATGATGTCCAATTTGTTTCTCCATCAGAGCCAGATGATGTAACTTTTCTTGGTTCTGAGGTCCTGATCCAAAAAAGACAAGTTATCTACTTCCTGTCCACATATATGCATGTGCATACATAACCACCCAGTAAGGTATATGTAAACATTTCCATTTGAAAAGAAACTAATGGAAGACACACAGCAGCCTCTGACCCGCAGCAATTCAGGAATCCAGCTGGGCAGACCTCCTACCCTCAGGATGGAGGCCCCTTGGTTAAGCCACGATTCTGCTCTCTGAGGAGACTTTCCTTTTTCATCGTTTTCCTTGGCTCTTTGACTCATCCTGGAGGAGATTCTTCTTTTTCTTTATTCTGTTTAGCCACATTTAAAGTGAGCTTTAGGGAATTTGAACTCCTTAGGGGCATCCCAGGTTTCTCAAATTGCTTCCGATTAGGGACCCCAGGGTTGTTTTAAGTTCTGAATATTCAGATACCTTTACATGGTTGCTTTAGTTATGTAGTTCCCTAAAAACTCTCTTTGCTTTTCACTTCACTGGACAATAAGCACATCCATGGCTGGGTGCGGTGGCTGATGCCTGTAATCCCAGCACATTGGGAGGCCGAGGCAGGTGGATTGCCTGAGGTCAGGAGTTTGAGACCAGCCTGGTCAACATGGTGAAACCCCATCTCTACTAAAAATAGAAAAAAAAATTAGCTGGGCATGGTGGCTGGCACCTGTAATCCCAGCTACTCTGGAGGCTGAGGCAGGAGAACTTCTTGAACCTAGGAAGCAGAGGTTGCAGTGAGCCGATGAGGTCGTGCCATTGCACTCCAGCCTGGGCAACAAAAGTGAAACTCTGTCTCAAAAAATAAATAAATAAATAAATAATAAGCACACCCAAAGAACTTTACAGCTTGTAGGTTCTTAGATCTGTTTTATTTCTTTGCTTCTTCACCTTCATGCCTCTTTTTCTGAACTCCATTGTGAATACCGATATTAGGCTATTAGGTTTGAATGAGAGGGTCACAGCTTGAGCAATATTTGCCTTGAGGCTTATTAACTAAGTGAGAAACCTTTTCCCCTTCAAAGTCTTTTTAAATACGACCTCTTATTGTTTGGGTTCTAGAAGCAGTCAACTCTTCCAAATTTTAAGGCCCTGAATTTCAAACTCTCTCTGTACCTTTTCTTTTCTGCTTTATAAACTGACCACTTCTCTTCTGAGCTCATCTTTCTTGTAATATCTTGTCAAGCATAGCCAATAATATCACACACTACTAAAGTCCTGTTTTTCATTATCTTCTCATAGCACTGCAAATTAATTAGGTAAGTAGTTGTCCTGCCTAGTTATTAGAAGCAATAGTTTACCTGAACATTTTGCCACAAAACCATAGGGATCATCATCTTTTCGCTTCCAATATTAGTTTCCTCACAACCCACCCCGATGGCTAGGGCAATGTTATGTATTTTAGGTTCTTCTAATGATAGTACCTCACCTCAAGACAAATTTTATATTGACACAAGTTGTCACAACAAACCAGCTCTGAAATCTTAGTGGCTAAGCTCAACAAGAACCCATCACTCACTCACACAAAGTCTCATACACATCAGCAGGAGCTTCCTTGCTTTTGCTGACTAAGGAGCCCATTTTCATCTGTGACCTAGAGCCTGATCAACAATGGATCAGCTTCTAAAATCTCAGTAATGCACTTGCAAAGCTGAGGGCCAGCCCCCAGCACATGCTGACAATCAAGGGGCAGAGGCCCACCCTCGATGGACATCAGTACCTTCTGCCTCTTCATGCCACCTTTATGATGGCAGCATGTGCTTTTGTGCACACATCTTTTAAAAATGCTGGTTTGTAAGCTTTTATGGGTCATACTTAGAATGATCAACTATCCTGGTTCACTCAAGTCTGAGAGGGTTTCCAGGATGCAGGACTTTCAGTGCTAAAACTAGGAGAGTCCCAGACAAACTGGGACAAGTTGGTCACCCTAGTCATTGTCCTCATAGGAAAAACAGATAAAAACAAAAAGATGCCCACCTTTTTGGAAGTCATACAGAGCATCATCTTCATCTTCCTTCCACTGTGAACTGACATGGCCTACTTTCCAAAAGAAGATACAAGCTTCTGGATGAACAGCCTGGCCTACATTTGTGTGTGACTCTGATTAAGTAAGAAAGCTTTGTCGCGCTCCTTTAAAATTTAAAATATGTGTAGACCCCGTCCCCCAATACAAAGCATGTAGATGAAGTAATAACCGGATTCAAAGGGGGAAATATGAAATAGGACATACATTGTCAAGAATTCTCTCCCCCTGCAAGAGAGCAGGGTCATGATCTCTGCATTGCGCAAGAGTTTATTGTGAGCCTAAAGAAAGACCTCCTTAGGGCCCTGGAGTTATGATGGAGGAGGTCAATTTTCAAAATAAACGTTCATTATATTTTTTGCTTTGAAGAAGAATGCTGCTTGGCCTGAAACAAATTAAGAGTGCTCAGGCTTTTTATTTGGGGCATTTTTTAGTTGAATATTATTAAAAATAATTACCGGCTGTGGATTTAATCTAAAACACAATCAGCACCCCCAAAGTCCCCTACAGTGAGTTAAAGCATCCTCCTTCTCAAAATTCAAAATTAAGTGGAAATTCAGATTAGTTTTGATTTATAACCACATTATGAACTATTTAATATTTTCAAGAAGTCATTCCCTGTGCCCATATTAAATTAATTTACAACAGAATATTATATAATTTATATATGCACACATATAATAAATTATAGCCCAACTATATAATTCTACATGTATAATTAATTACATTAACCATCTACATTTTAAGCCTACAATTAGATAACCCTAAAAGACAACCCCTTTAGCATTTTTTAATAAATACTTGTGTTTGGAGCTGTTTAACAGAGCACCTGATAGCTGATAGAGCAGTGTTAACATCTGTTCCATTATTTCCAGAGGACGTTGGTTGAACGCAATACTATTCACATAAAATATGCATTTGTTCTTGACTGTCAAGTACCTCTATTATTTTATTAAAAAGTCAAAAAAGAATATAATCAGACTTCATAATTTATGGGTGACATTTTCATTACAGAAAACTTTATGCAAAATTGAATTCTAAAATTTAATTTCCTGTGATGTTTAAATTACTTACTATCTGGCTCCTCTCCAAACATCGTGATCATTGAGGGCCCCATATGAATTCTATTAAGGATACATTTTGCTGCTGCCAGAATATACAGGGTATTTTTCTAAGTAACTCTAAGAATATGCTTCTTAAATATATTTTGTGCCAGTTTAAATAGTTTTTCTCACACAGGAAAGAAAAGCAGGAACTTTTCTTTCTTCCCTTTTTTTAAAAAACCACAGACAGATTTTCTCTGCTTCTCTCCTTGCCACCTTGCCTGTGACCTCTTATTCCTGACACTTTAACCCAAAAGAAGCCAGGCAGGTCCAGCCTTGTCAGTTAGAGCTCACAACATCACAGGACGATAACCAGGTTCCTTTTGGCTTTCTTTTTCTTCCAGGAAGAGCCAAAAAAGAAGCTGTAGCCAGGGTAGAGCCCATACACATGGGGAAGTGTGACCCTCTCTCTCTCTGCCACCCACTTCATGCAATGTCAGTAGACTCCTTCCACTATTCCCTGTGGCCGCCGCGTCAAGGGGAGAAACCTGACTTAGCCTGATCATTCCCAGGGTGCTTTGAGAAACCTGGAAATGTCATCTCACCTCACAGCTGCCAGGGAAAATAGGGCTGCTAATAATGAGCAATAATTTAAATAACGAGCCTTTGAGGGAACGAGGGTACCACAAGCAGAGTCACCTTAATGCATTCTCTGGGGCAGAACCATTTCCCAAAATGCCATTTTAAATGGGGAAAGCATGGAACCATCAGCTGTGAGGGGGAAGGAAAAGTACAAGCAGTTGTCAGTCAGCCAAGATGTGGCAGGATTCCCTGCCCAAGGCTGCCCCACACAGCCAGCCAGCAATGCTGGGATTCATCCAGCAGTCCACACCACCAAAGGGAGCTTCCATGGCCACGTGCCATAGGATGGGCTTGGATTACAAAGAGGAACAACATAAGATTCCTGCCTTAAAGTGTTTGTAGTCCAGTAGAAGGGTGACTCCTGGCATTCATGTAAAACTCCACATTTTATGAAGTTATTTGACATGTTTCATTTCATGGTCATTTCCCTGTAAGGCAAGTGATCCAGCATATCTCCAGCTAACAAATAAACGAGAAAACTAAGCCCCACTCAAGTGATTTTCCAGAGATCACACCACGAGTAATTGGCCAGGCCTCCTAGAGCCCAGGCAATTGTCTTACTCAGATTCTAAGCTGGACTCCAACGGAGAAAGCCAGGAAGCCATGATCTGCTTACATCCTGAGGATGTAAGCACAGAGGAGGCCCAACTCACATTATCACTCCAGCACTTTTCCACGGCCTTCTGTGATGTGACAGCAATAACCCCAACCAAGATATTCATCCTTACAGCTTTCCTCATCCATCTGCTACTGCAAAGTGGATATTTATCTGGTCTGACTTGGGGATTCTTCAGGAGGTGACCCTGCCGATCGTATTCCATTGGGGTATTACCCCTCTGCCTGAAATCCCACCACTATGAGTTCTTCTTTTTTGTCTCCCTCCTGGAGGAGAGCTAAAACAGTTAAGCCATAACGAGTTAGTGAGGATCTACTGGGGATGGATTCATCAGATGCTTTTCTCTCAACCTACCCAACTCACCCTTGCAACCATAAGTTGGGAGATGCAAACACCAGGATTTGCACAGTGCTTCCAGGATAGTTGCTGCTTCCCCACAGGCTTCCTTTTCCCACTTGCAGTCCTGCTTCCTGCCTTGTAGACTTCACTTTCTCCCCAGTCTCTCCCAATCATTGCCTTCAACTTCCCAGCGTAAGTTCTGCTCAGACCTGCATTTGCCACAACCAATCCACCTGGTTGCAAGTATATCTGGTAAACCACTGCTCTTCAGGCCCCAACCTACCACCCAGCTCCTTGAGGCACCAAGGGAGGGAGACTTGGTGTCAGTCAGGTGAAAGAGAGACTTTGGGATTAAGTGATGTGGTGCCTAATGAAGACTGAACTTGGGGGACCTCTGCAAATGGTCCATGCTTCAAGTGGGAAAGGAAGAGTAGAAGGAGTAGAAGGAAGAGAGTAAAGGGATGTTTCCAGACTTAGCCTCCCTGCAAGGTCAACTCACCCATTCTCCTCTCTTAGCAACATAGGAATGAAGAAAGGCCCTTAAAAAAGGCAGTGAAGGAAAATGTGCCTGGAAGATAACTGATACTTATGGAAGCTCAATAAATATAATCTATAGTATAAATAGTATCAATAGTATAACTGGTAATAACATGTGAATATCTTCAGGTCAATTTCTAGAGAGTTTGACAAGAACTTCCATTTGTGTTCACCAGGTAAATGAATGAGGATGGGAAGGTAAGGAGGAGGTGAGTAGTCCAGAGAGAGAGCCCCACTGGGTAAAGACATGAGGCCTCACTTGGAATAGTGATGGTAGGCAGGGAACCACAAATAGCTCCCGTTTGCCATATCGCAAGTGTAAAGTAATAGTGTCAAGGGGAGAGTCTGGGGAGGCTTGCAGGGGCTGCTTTTTTGGTTGAGGGTAAACTTCAGCTTTTAGCAGCATGGAGAAAAAGGGAGATAACACTATGAACAATGAACAATGCTTTACCAACTGCTAGTGGCCAAAACCCCCCAAAAGGCAAAATTAAGTGGATGTGGTCACTCAACAGGACTTGTGCCCTTCTTAAACACTAGTCATTCCTCTTCGCTTAGCGTAGGCATCACCTCCTCTGGGATGCTTTCCCTGGCTCATTTGGATGGATTCAGTTAGTGGCCCCAACTGTGGCTGGCTGTGCTGGACTCTTTGTCCTGCTCTTTTCATAGCACATACTCTCTGACTCATCATTGCTGATGGTGTTTGGCCACTCTCCTACCCCACCCCACCAACTGTGGGTACCATGAGAGTAGAACTTGTGATTGGCCTGCAGTAGTTCCTCAACATTTGTTGGAAAAAACTTTTCTTTGGCCTCATAAACCTTTCACCTATTACCCAATGTGTCTCCTTTGTTTTACAGCAAAACTTCTTGAAGGAGTTGTCCATACTCACTGCCTCCACTTCTCATCCACTTTCCTCTCATTCTGTCTTGAAACCACTTCAGTAAGCTTCCTCCTCTCCTCTCCAGTGAAACTACATTTGTTAGGGTCATCTATGACCTCCACATTATCAGATTCAATGGGGATTTATCACTGTTCCTATTACCCCCCAGAAACACTTGGCACTTTGGACCACTTTCTCCTCCTTGAACACTCTTCTTTTAGCTTCTGGGATGCCTTTCCCTATTGGTTCTCCTACCATGCTCAGCAGCTCTTATCTGGTGCCTATACTGATTCCTTCTCATCTCCTCAACCTATAAATTTCAGAGGGCCCCACAGCAAAAGCCTTGGACTTCTTTATCCTCATTCCTGGGTGATCTTTTCTAGTCTTATGACTTTAAATATCCGCCTTTATGCTGATATGCCCCCAAATGGATAACTCTAGCCCCAAACTCACCCTTGAATTCAAGACTCCTTTTCCAACTTCTTTTTCAACATCTTTACTTGGAAGTCTGTTAGGCATCTCAAATTTAACATGTCTAAAACCAGACAACACACACACACAAATGTTTCTCTTCTTCATCTTCCCCATCTGAAAAAAATTGCACTTACATTTGGCCAGGTGCTCAGGCTAAATACATAGTAACATCCTTGCCTTTTTTCTTTCTCACACACCCATATCTAATCATCAAGAAACCCTGTCAGCTCTGCTTTTGAAATACATCCAGAATCCAACCGTTCATTACCACCTCTGCCAAATCACAGAATCCAAGCCATTATCATCTCTCACCTAGATTATTGCAATAGCCTCCTATTTAGTTCCACTTGCAATCCCACACAACAGCCAGACGGAAGTTTTAAAACATAAGATCATGTCACTCGCATGCTCAAAATCTCCCAAAGGTGCATTCTAACCATACCTTCTACTACTCTTCCTCCTCTGCCCACTCCAGTCCAGCTACTCTGGCCTCCTCGCTGTTCCTCAGTAGACCTCAGATCCTTTTACCTTACTATTTCTGCTGCCCAGAAAGCCTTTTCTTGAAACATCTACAGGATTCACTCCCTTACTTCCTTCAGGCCTCTGCTTAAGTGTACCTCTTCAGAGATGCCTTCCCTGTCCTTTAAAAAATAGCTTCCCCATTGTTTCTATCTCCCTTACTTTGCACTGTTCTTTATAATGCTTATAACAATGTATTTGTTTCTTTTTAAAAAATTGTCTTTCTCTCTCCGTGACAGCAACAATTTTGCTGTTTTGTTCACTACTGAATGCCCAGCATCTGAAAAAATAGGCACTCAATAAATGAATCAATGAAAGAATGAGTGTGGGAAAAAGTTGGTATCTTCAAACAAAGTAGAAAGACATTAACACAAGCGCTTCATCTCCTGAAATATGAAAGGCAGTCCCTTAATCAACCTGAGTGAGTTTTTGTTGTGGTGGTGGCAGTGGTTTCTTTTTGTTTTTAATCTGTGTATTAAATTCAGAACTACTCACTATTTAACCTTGCCAGCAAATGTGAGTTTTCCCCTGCTGGTGCTGTGATCATTGTGGTAGCATCAGCCAGGAAATGAAATCTTAATCATAGCATCTGCCATACACCCTTCACTTACAAGCCCACAAATGAAACTCCAGCAAGGCAATCTTATTTCACTAAAATGTGATTGGACCCAATAACTGGAGGCCGGTGCTCACAGCACATCTTTCTGCCCAATGCTGCTTAATCTTGACAAGCTTCGAGGTTTATAGCACCCTAACCTTTAACTTAAACAGAAAAGTATGTGCTGGGCTACTTACTTAACAAACCACAAGTAAGACTTGTGTTATATGTCTACCTGGGGGCTTTTCAGTGTTACTACCTCAGCTTCTTGCCAGGCTAAAGGAGAGAAAGTTTTAAAATCTTTTGGAACCTATGGTTACCACTGTCATTACCAGTTTACAACCTAATGGCACTTGATGTTGATAGAGTGGAGAAAAACCCAAACAAACATGTCATGTTGCATCCAGCTTGATCTACACAGGAACACGAGGACAGAGGTATCAGAGAAAAGCAGGGCAATCTTCTTCATTTCCCAGAGGACTAGGAAGGCGGGACCACAGAACCTTGGGGACTTGGAGGAAACAGGACTAAATCAGATTGCCATATGTCAACAATAGCCCAAAAGCATCTCAGAGCTCCTGGCTTGCTTCCTGTTCCAATCTGAGGGGGCTGCAGTGTGATTTCCAGGTATCTGACTGGGGCCAGGCGATCCAAATATTGAGCCCTGTGAAAAGAGATTAACATTCCAGGGCAAATGTGTTACCCACAAGACTGGCCACTTCCAGGAGCACCTGGCCTCTGAGCCAGGTGCAGGTTGGTCCCCGTGACCTCAGGGAGTCACTTGCAGATCAGATGTCATCAGGTGAGAGCAGCAGTCACTGGGGCAGACAATTTTATTGATGGAATTGGGTTTACAAATTACCCTCAAGACATGCTAAAGTGAAATATTGAATTCCCCATTCCCCAGCACCTGGATTTGAAGGAAGGAGAGGCAAAACACCATCTTTCCTAATAGCCTACTACAATATAACCCTACTACAGTTATGCCTATTCAGAAGTAGACCAAGGGTTCTCAGGATTGACTATTGTATAGATTTGCTGGATAGATGAAATCCAGGAATTACATGGTGCTGTAGTTTGATCAAATAAAACCAAGAACAGTGATGACTACAAGCAGGAAGACTCCACAAGGCATATATAGGCTGGTTCCTAGTGTGCTGGAAACTTCAAGACTCTCCAGAAGCCCTAGATCTCTGAATGCTGAGCTCTGAGCTATTGGTGAGAAACTGAGGGGCACTCCAATGGGATATCCAGGTTCCTGCATTTTCCTACTAGAGCAAGACTCAGAAGAGGGGAAGGGGGTGGTGCCCCTGCTTGCTACTTGTGCACAGATGTGCCCAGCTAGGAGAGGAGGGGACATCATGGGAAATGGTGGTCCGTGAGCTGAAGACTACATGAAAGAGATGAACTGTAGAAAGAATCAGAATGATCAAGGCAATTTAAAGTACTCTGATTAATCTTTTTATTCTTAAAATAATCTTTCAACATATATATGCTAAATCTACATATACTGTAAACTAAGTTATGGAAAAAATTCATATTATGAGTTTATTGGGTAAGAACCTGAGACCAAGACTCTGTCCTAAATATCCACTATTTCAGACTGACCATCTTCTGAAGCAGCTAAAAAGTGTTTTTGTTTTTTCCAGATCCATTTATTCTATTTTTGATGGGGGAAAAAAGTTACCAAGCATAATAATAACCAGGACATATTAAATCTATAGATTGCCCGTGAAGCTTAGAATATTGTCACAAAGCCCCTGAGAAGTCCATGAAAAGCTGACACTTTTAAAAGGAAGTCCAGATACTTCCCATCCACCATATGAAGGCAGACACAGATGCTGACCTGGCTCCTAAGAGTGATGAGAGGAGCATAATGTCAGTGCAGGGCAGACTCTGATGAGCTGAAAAAGCCCAGACAGTACAAAGCCATCCTACCAGCACTTCATGGGATTGCTCTGGGTAAGAGCTAGTATCATGCTAAGTTTGTTTTTTCCCTGAATGGTCCCATGTTATCTTTAGGGATATTAATATGTGAAACTCACAAAGAATGTAGCACCTGGAGGTTTGTTTTTTTTTAATTATGCCCACGTGGCCAGGTGCAGTGGCTCACGCCTGTAATCCCAACACTTTGGGAGGCCAAGGCAAGTGGATCACGAGGTCAGGAGATCTGGCTAACACAGTGAAACCCCATCTCTACTAAAAATACAAAAAATTAGCTGGGCGTGGTGGCACGTACCTGTAGTCCCAGCTACTCAGGAAGATGAGGCAGGAGAATCCCTTGAACCTGGGAGGCGGAGGTTGAGCTGAGATCACACCACTGCACTCCAGTCTGGGCGACAGAGTGAGACTCCATCTCAAAAAAAAAATTATGCCCATTTGCAAAATGCATGAAGTAATAATTGTGCTAAGACACTAGGAAGACTTCACTTCACTGTTGTAATTCTGTTCTTTCCTTAGCTTCCATCTTGCACATAGGTTGCGGTGTTCAAGAGGGGACAAGATGGAGCCAAGATGGCCAAATAGGAACAGCTCCGGTCTACAGCTCCCAGCCTGAGTGACGAAGAAGACGGGTGATTTCTGCATTTCCATCTGAGGTACCAGGTTCATCTCACTAGGGAGTGCCAGACAGTGGGCGCAGGACAGTGGGTGCAGTGCACTGTGCGCTAGCCAAAGCAGGGTGAGGCATTGCCTCACTCGGGAAGTGCAAGGGGTCAGGGAGTTCCCTTTCCTAGTCAAAGAAAGGGGTGACAGACGGTACCTGGAAAATCGGGTCACTCCCACCCTAATACTGTGCTTTTCCAATGGGCTTAAAAAACGGCACACCAGGAGATTATATCCCGCGCATGGCTCAGACGGTCCTGCACCCATGTAGTCTCACTGATTGCTAGCACAGCAGTCTGAGATCAAACTGCAAGGCGGCAGCAAGGCTAGGGGAGGGGCGCCTGCCATTGCCCAGGCTTGCTTAGGTAAACAAAGCAGCCGGGAAGCTCAAACTGGGTGGAGCCCACCACAGGCCATCAAGGAGGCCTGCCTGCCTCTGTAGGCTCCACCTCTGGGGGCAGGGCACAGACAAACAAAAAGGCAGCAGTAACCTCTGCAGACTTAAATGTCCCTGTCTGACAGCTTTGAAGAGAGTAGTGGTTCTCCCAGCATGCAGCTGGAGATCTGAGAACGGGCAGACTGCCTCCTCAAGTGGGTCCCTGACCCCCGAGCAGCCTAACTGGGAGGCATCCCCGAGTAGGGGCAGACTGACACCTCATACGGCCGCAGACTGACACCTCATACTGACACCTCATACTCCTCTGAGACAAAACTTCCAGAGGAACGATCACACAGCAGCACTTGTGGTTCATGAAAATCCGCTGTTCTACAGCCACTGCTGCTGATACCTAGGCAAACAGTGTCTGGAGTGGACCTCTAGCAAACTCTAACAGACCTGCAGCTGAGGGTCCTGTCTGTCAGAAGGAAAACTAACAAACAGAAAGGACATCCCCACCAAAACCCCATCTGTACGTCACCATCATCAAAGACCAAAAGTAGATAAAACCACAAAGATGGGGAAAAACAGAGCAGAAAAACCAGAAACTCTAAAGATCAGAGTGCCTCTCCTCCTCCAAAGGAACGCAGCTCCTCACCAGCAATGGAACAAAGCTGAACAGAGAATGACTTTGACGAGTTGAGAGAAGAAGGCTTCAGATGATCAAACTCCTCCGAGCTACAGGAGGAAATTCAAATCAATGGCAAAGAAGTTAAAAACTATGAAAAAAAATTAGACGAATGTATAACTAGAATAACCAATGCAGAGAAGTGCTTAAAGGAGCTGATGGAGCTGAAAGCCAAGGCTCGAGAACTACCTGAAGAATGCAGAAGCCTCAGGAGCTGATGCGATCAACTGGGAGAAAGGGTATCAGTGATGGAAGATGAAATGAATGAAATGAAGCAAGAAGGGAAGGTTAGAGAAAAAAGAATAAAAAGAAATGAACAAAGTTCCAAGAAATATGGGACTACGTGAAAAGACCAAATTTACATCTGATTGGTGTACCTGAAAGTGACAGGGAGAATGGAACCAAGCTGGAAAACACTCTGCAAGATATTATCCAGGAGAACTTCCCCAATCTAGCAAGGCAGGCCAACATTCAGATTCAGGAAATACAGAGAATGCCACAAAGATACTCCTTGAGAAGAGCAACTCCAAGAGGAATAATTGGCAGATTCACCAAAGTTGAAATGAAGGAAAAAATGTTAAGGGCAGCCAGAGAGAAAGGTCGGGTTACCCACAAAGGGAAGCCCATCAGACTAACAGCTGATCTCTTGGCAGAAACTCTACAAGCCAGAAGAGAGTGGGGGCCAATATTCAACATTCTTAAAGAACAGGATTTTCAACCCAGAATTTCATATCCAGCCAAACTAAGCTTCATCAGTGAAGGAGAAATAAAATCCTTTACAGACAAGCAAATGCTGAGAGATTTTGTCACCACCAGACCCGCCCTAAAAGAGCTCCTGAAGGAAGCACTAAACATGGAAAGGAACAGCCAGTACGAGCTACTACAAAAACATGACAAATTGTAAAGACCATGAAGGCTAGGAAGAAACTGCATCAACTAATGAGCAAAATAACCAGCTAACATCATAATGACAGGATCAAATTCACACATAACAATATTAACTTTAAATGTAAATGGGCTAAATGCTCCAATTAAAAGACACAGACTGGCAAATTGGATAAAGAGTCAAGACCCATCAGTGTGCTGTGTTCAGGAAACCCATCTCAAGTGCAGAGACACACATAGGCTCAAAATAAAGGGATGGAGGAAGATCTACCAAGCAAATGGAAAACAAAAAAAGGTAGGGGTTGCAATCCTAGTCTCTGATAAAACAGACTTTAAAACAACAAAGATCAAAAGAGACAAGGAAGGCCATTACATAATGGTAAAGGGATCAATTCAACAAGAAGAGCTAACTATCCTAAATATATATGCACCCAATACAGGAGCACCCAGATTCATAAAGCAAGTCCTGAGTGACCTACAAAGAGACTTAGACTCCCACACAATAATAGTGGGAGACTTTAACACCTCACTGTCAACATTAGACAGATCAACGAGACAGAAAGTTAACAAGGATACCCAGGAATTGAACTCAGCTGTGCACCAAGTGGACCTAATAGACATCTACAGAACTCTCCACCCCAAATCAACAGAATATACATTTCTTTCAGCACCACACCACACATATTCCAAAACTGACCACATAGTTGGAAGTAAAGCACTCCTCAGCAAATGTAAAGGAACAGAAATTATAACAAACTGTCTCTCAGACCACAATGCAATCAAACTAGAACTCAGGATTAAGAAACTCACTCAAAACCGCTCAAATACATGGAAACTGAACAACCTGCTCCTGAATGACTACTGGGTACATAACGAAATGAAGGCAGAAATAAAGATGTTCTTTGAAACCAACGAGAACAAAGACACAACATACCAGAATCTCTGGGATGCATTCAAAGCAGTGTGTAGAGGGAAATTCATAGCACTAAATGCCCACAAGAGAAATCAGGAAAGATCCAAAATTGACACCCTAACATCACAATTAAAAGAACTAGAAAAGCAAGAGCAAACACATTCAAAAGCTAGCAGAAGGCAAGAAATAACTAAAATCAGAGCAGAACTGAAGGAAATAGAGACACAAAAAACCCTTCAAAAAATTAATGAATCCAGGAGCTGTTTTTTTGAAAAGATCAACAAAATTGATAGACCACTAGCAAGACTAATAAAGAAGAAAAGAGAGAAGAATCAAATAGATGCAGTAAAAAATAATAAAGGGGTATCACCACTGATCCCACAGAAATACAAACTACCATCAGAGAACACTATAAACACCTCTATGCAAATAAACTAGAAAATCTAGAAGAAATGGATAAATTCCTCGACACATACACCCTCCCAAGACTAAACCAGGAAGAAGTTGAATCTGTGAATAGACCAATAACAGGCTCTGAAATTGAGGCAATAATCAATAGCTAGCCAAAAAAAGAGTCCAGGACCAGATGGATTCACAGCCGAATTCTACCAGAGGTACAAGGAGGAGCTGGTACCATTCCTTCTGAAACTATTCCAATCAATAGAAAAAGAAGGAATCCTCCCTAACTCATTTTATGAGGCCAGCATCATCCTGATACCAAAGCCTGGCAGAGACACAACAAAAAAAGAATTTTAGATGAATATCCTTGATGAACATTGATGCAAAAATCCTCAATAAAATACTGGCAAACCGAATCCAGCAACACATCAAAAAGCTTATCCACCATGATCAAGTGGGCTTCATCCCTGGGATGCAAGGCTGGTTCAATATACGCAAATCAATAAACGTAATTCAGCATATAAACAGAACCAAAGACAAAAAACACATGATTATCTCAATAGATGCAGAAAAGGCCTTTGACAAAATTCAACAACCCTTCACGCTAAAAACTCTCAATAAATTAGGTATTGATGGGATGTATCTCAAAATAATAAGAGCTATCTATGACAAACCCACAGCCAATATCATACTGAATGGGCAAAAACTGGAAGCATTCCCTTTGAAAACTGGCACAAGACAGGGATGCCCTCTCTCACCGCTCCTATTCAACATAGTGTTGGAAGTTCTGGCCAGGGCAATCAGGCAGGAGAAGGAAATAAAGGGTATTCAATTAGGAAAAGAGGAAGTCAAATTGTCCCTGTTTGCAGATGACATGATTGTTTATCTAGAAAACCCCATCGTCTCAGCCCAAAATCTCCTTAAGCTGATAAGCAACTTCAGCAAAGTCTCAGAATACAAAATCAATGTACAAAAATCACAAGCATTCTTATACACCAACAACAGACAAACAGAGAGCCAAATCATGAGTGAACTCCCATTCACAATTGCTTCAAAGAGAATAAAATACCTAGGAATCCAACTTACAAGGGACATGAAGGACCTCTTCAAGGAGAACTACAAACCACTGCTCAATGAAATAAAAGAGGATACAAACAAATGGAAGAACATTCCATGCTCATGGGTTGGAAGAATCAATATCATGAAAATGGCCATACTGCCCAAAGTAATTTACAGATTCAATGCCATCCCCAACAAGCTACCAATGACTTTCTTCACAGAATTGGAAAAAACTACTTTAAAGTTCATATGGAACCAAAAAAGAGCCCGCATCTCCAAGTCAATCCTAAGCCAAAAGAACAAAGCTGGAGGCATCAGGCTACCTGACTTCAAACTATACTACAAGGCTACAGTAACCAAAACAGCATGGTACTGGTACCAAAACAGAGATACAGATCAATGGAACAGAACAGAGCCCTCAGAAATAATGCCACATATCTACAACTATCTGATCTTTGACAAACCTGACAGAAACAAGCAATGGGGAAAGGATTCCCTATTTAATAAATGGTTCTGGGAAAACTGGCTAGCCATATGTAGAAAGCTGAAACTGGATCCCTTCCTTACACCTTATACAAAAATTAATTCAAGATGGATTAAAGACTTACATGTTAGACCTAAAGCCATAAAAACCCTAGAAGAAAACCTAGGCAATACCATTCAGGACATAGGCATGGGCAAGGACTTCATGTCTAAAACACCAAAAGCAATGGCAACAAAAGCCAAAATTGACAAATGGGATCTAATTAAACTGAAGAGCTTCTGCACAGCAAAAGAAACTACCATCAGAGTGAACAGGTAACCTACAAAATGGGAGAAAATTTTCACAACCTACTCATCTGACAAAGGGCTAATATCCAGAATCTACAATGAACTCCAACAAATTTACAAGAAAAAAAAACAACCCCATCAAAAAGTGGGCAAAGGACACGAACAGACACTTCTCAAAAGAAGACATTTATGCAGCCAAAAAACACATGAAAAAATGCTCATCATCACTGGCCATCAGAGAAATGCAAATCAATACCTCAATGAGATACCATCTCACACCAGTTAGAATGGCAATCATTAAAAAGTCAGGAAACAACAGGTGCTGGAGAGGATGTGGAGAAATAGGAACACTTTTACACTGTTGGTGGGACTGTAAACTAGTTCAACCATTGTGGAAGTCAGTGTGGCGATTCCTCAAGGATCTAGAACTGGAAATACCATTTGACCCAGCCATCCCATTACTGGGTATATACCCAAAGGACTATAAATCATGCTGCTATAAAGACACATGCACAGGTATGTTTATTGCGGCACTATTCACAATATCAAAGACTTGGAACCAACCCAAATGTCCAACAATGATAGACTGGATTAAGAAAATGTGGCACATATACACCATGGAATACTATGCAGCCATAAAAAATGATGAGTTCATGTCCTTTGTAGGGACATGGATGAAGCTGGAAATCATCATTCTCAGCAAACTATTGCAAGGACAAAAAACCAAACACCGCATGTTCTCACTCATAGGTGGGAATTAAACAATGAGAACACATGGACACAGGAAGGGGAACATCACACTCCGGGGACTGTTGTTGGGTGGGGGCAGGGGGGAGGGATAGCATTAGGTGATATACCTAAAGCTAAATGACAAGTTAATGGGTGCAGCACACCAACATGGGACATGTATATATATGTAACAAACCTGCACATTGTGCACATGTACCCTAAAACTTAAAGTATAATAATAATAAAATTTAAAAAAAAGAACAGAGAGCAATTGATAAGAAAAATTGATAAGAAAGTTTGGCAAATTCAGGTGATTGCAGCACATATGTGTTAAACATTCACTCTTAGCTCATTACTATAAGCAGCAGAAGCAGGAAGAAACAGCAAAGAAATGAAATTAAGAGAAGCATAGACTAAAAAACAAACAAAAAAAAGCTTTATATAAAAGATTGGGTGACCACCTACTTTGATTTAATAAATTCTGTACAAGTTCTCCCTTAACCAAAAATTCTCTTCACAGTAATGCCTTAATTATCAGTTTGCTTAGTACCTTGGATTAAAGCTGAAAAAAAACAAAAAACAAAAAAAAACCCTCTAGTTAAATATAAACGTCATCCTCACCTCGGCTTTTTCAGCCATCAAATAAGTTAAGCAGCTCAGATAAGTTTATCAGACTGACTTTTAACAGAATAAATTGTTTGTTCTTGGAATTAAAAAATAAAGAGGGGACAAAAGAGTAGGAGTAGAGCAAAGTAGCCTTCCATCACTGGGAAGGTAACAGGGCTCATGCCCAGCCAATGGCAATTCAGGCCACTGGTTTTGTAGCTGCAGTCTGGAATCTCTAATTCATGATCCAGATACTACCCTTGGTTTTATTTCATTTGGTTGTTAGGTAAAATAGCAACTTAAAATACATGGTCATATTATTTTCTTGCTCATTAATCCCATTGCCTAAGGGAGAGCTTCAGCTCTTCCGCCTGGAATGCAAGGCCCTGGCTTCATACCTCATGTTCTCTCTGCTTCAGTTAGCTTTCCCATCTTTTTTTCCCTTGGTGACCTCTTACTCTTCCTTCAAGATCCATTGAATGCCATTTTCAATGTGGCCCCTTCTTCCCACTTAAATGGGTTTCTTTCTATGGGACTCATGAGAGGCAACGTGACAGGGAAGATAGAGAAAAGAATCACAATGTTTAGAGACACAGATATTAGCTCTGCAATTTACCTTGAGCAGATTATTAACCTTTTTAAGAATTAGTTCACTGTAATTTAGTGATGTTAAAAAAAAAAGTATAATATAATCTATGAAAAGGTATAATGATTTTTACCTGGGAAGATCATTGTGATGGTTAAATGAGATGAACTAGCATAATCTCTGGTAGATATTAAGGTATTAATAAATGTTTAGTTTATTATGCCTGGCATAAAACAAATATTCAATAAGTTTTTAGAATGAAGACATTCCATTTGTGTCCAAACACAACTCTGAAGTTTTTAAGTCATATTTCAAATGGATGTGAAAGATCAATATACTCCTGATTATCTACCAGTCTCCCTCTTCCTCTACATTTCTATCTCTCTCTCTTTATCCTTATTCTCCCTCAGGACTATGTCATCACAGGAACTAAAGTAGAATATGAATGGCACATGTATTCTCTATCTGGCTTAGACCAGAAGGTGGTTCTCAATAGGTCAGAACACAGTAGGTCAGAATCTACTTTGCAAATTCATGCAGGTCTTAGTGAGCACTTCCTGTTCTCTAAGTGTTAGCAAACTATGCATTTAGTAATCTACCTTGACTAACATCAGATTTGATAGTCCAGAGATTATAGACTCCTCCCCTTCTCCTTGATTTCCCAAAATTTCAGGGCCACTTGAGACAAAGAATGCAACTTAAATCCTACCTTTAACCCATATGAATCAGATGGTTAGACTATAGAAAATCTTGTATATATGAAAGATCTTATAGAAGCCCAAACATATATCATATAAATCATTGGTTATGCATCCAAATCTATTTGCAGTTTAAAGCCCTAGAAAAACACATGTTGTCTAAGAAGATTAATGTACTTTTCTCTCTGAGACTCCACATATCCAAGGATGCCCAGAGAGGAGGCCTGCAGAATTCTGACAAACTTAATATTTGTACTGAAATATGAGTCTCACCTTTGAAACCAGGGTTTGCTTTATACTAATGAAGAAGAGTTATAGAGCAGTAAAAGCAGCACCGCATGGCTGCGTGGATCTTCTAATGTGGTGGAAATTTGACATGCATTTGCGTTGTCCAGCACCCTTTCCAGCTGGGGAATTTCCAACCTCGGGAGGCCCACCTTGCCAAGGCAGAAGACATAAACCTATTTTCTTGGCCCCCTTGGTGCTAGGTCTAGGCCCACAGCCTAGGCTTGGGCCATTAGATCCGTTTGTCCAATGACATATATTTCAAGTGAGAAGACAGAGATAAGCAGAAGGAAGTCGCCATGTGGAATCCATCCTGACAGGGGATGGAAGCATGGCAGAAAGTCTTCTAGCTCCCAGAGATAGCAATAGGACAGGCCCAGCACTAGCATCCTGTGTGCTGATCTGGAATGCCTGTGGCCAATGGCAGCAGCAGCTGGCTCTTCAGTAGAGCTCTCCACAACTGTTACTTGGGAATGGCTTCTGATTGTGCAGACTCCAACCCTGAGTCTCCAGTCCTTCTGGAGGTGCTCTCTGCTGCTTAATGCTATTTAGAAAATTCCTTTTCTACTTACACTACATAATGATGATTCTGCTATCTGCAGCTAGGTAATCTAACTGATTTACAGATATAACCAACTAGTGATTTGGCCTTGGTCAAGTCATCCACTTCCATGACCCTGAATTTCCTCAGCTGAAAATGAGGGCTTTCAGCTAAACCACCTCTGAAGTGCTTCCTTGTCCCAAAAAATATGTACTTACTTAATACTGCAAGCTAATTTTTCACAGTGACTTTCAGGGCAATTCACAGACTAGCCTGCAGAGGTCCTGCAATTTGGAAAAGAAAAAAAGCACACGCCATGTTTCCAAGTTCAATTTCACCTCCCAGAAATAATCATGTTTCTGTGACATCACCATTATCCCTCTTACTCAACAGGCAGCATGAACAATGCATTGGGCCAACATTGTCCCTATCAAGGAGGGGTACCATATCACTATGGCAGACAAATGAGGTGGGAGAAATTAATATATCTGAATGTCCCTTAAATAAGCATTGTGTTAGGCACTGCCATGTATATAAATTATCTCATTTTAATCTTCAGAATAACCCAGAGGTAAAAATTATTATTTTCATTGTACAGATGAGAAAACTGAGACGCAAAGCCATTCTGGTATCTGTTTAAGTTCATGCAGCAAGTGAATGATAGAGCAAAGATTCAATCTGGGTCTTCTCTCTGCAAGGTCAGGGTCCTGCCTAACACACAGGGTAAAATTTATCATACGAAGAGTCTGTCTCCACCCTCATTATCAAGTTTGCTCTGTCTAAGTGGGCTTGAGAGTTGGAATAATTGTCTGATTTAAAATTAAGCACAAATTGGCTTTGCCCAAATAACTTAGTAAATTCCTAATCAGGCCCATGATAAGTTTCCCAAGAGAATGTAATCTTAGGATTTCAAAGATGGGAAGAAAGACAATCAGATGCATATCAAGAATGAAAAGACTCAATGAGAAAAATATACATTCTTGTTTCCTTATACCCTTCCTCCTTTTTAATAATCTTTCCTATTAACCCAATTCACTTACTAAAAACAGCAAACAGAATGAAAGCTCAGTATACTGATGTGTGTGATGCTCTTGCAGGAAACTACTAAAGTTTATTAAGGCCATACCATACATGAAAGTGTAGAGGAAAAGCATGAAGCCTGTTTCACATATTGTTACAAATATGTAATGTTAGAATAAAGGGAAAACTGATTCCTACCAATTATGAAAATGTACAGGATTAAATCAATTGCTCTGCCAGATCTGACCCGCATCTGGTCTGCAGCAAGGGCCAAATAGATCTCATTTGGGATATTTATGAAAAGTAACTTCTAAAACATAAATCAGGACTATAAAATCATCATCTGATTATCAAAAACTTTTAAAGCAGAGAAGAAAGTGTATTCAAGTGTAAAATATAGTTTTGAAGAAGGGAGGTGGCAGGCGGCTTTAGCACAGAACAAGAAGCAAAAATCAAACGGCAAGAAGAGGGAGGGATGAACATCTAAGACAGAAAATGTAGGTGACATTTTCTTGGACACAGAGTGTGATAAGGAGTCAAAACAAGCAGCCATATCATTCCAGCCCTTCTTCAACCCAACACTTTCATTTCAACTGATGGTTTACGTCAGCCAAAAAGAGAGTTGGAGTCTTGCTTATCCAAATGATCATTTTCATTTGTTTTTGTTTTTGTTTTCTATCTAGATATGGCTTTAAACCCAAGAAAGGCTAAAGGAGGATTTATGAACCCAAGTATTAGAGGAGGAAAATGTTGGTATATTTAGAAGTAAATAAGAAAGACAGAAATAGGGTTTGATTTACACATAGCTGTAATTTGTAACACAAAGATCAACTAAAAGCTCTGGACTACTGAAACCATCCTGGGGACCCACATCAGAGTGGTAACATAAGTTCATTGAGCCTTCATGCTCCTCATCCTCTGTCCCATAATAGACAAGTGCAAGTTGTAACAAGATTCCATTTTCTCAGTCTCAAGGAATGCTTTTTTTTTTTTTTTTCCGGAGTCTCACTCTGTTACCCAGGCTAGAGTGCAATGGCGTGGTCTTGGCTCACTGCAACCTCCGCCTCCTGGGTTCAAGTGATTCTCCCACCTAGCCTCCCGAGTAGCTGGGACTACAGGAGCATGGCACCACACCCGGCTAATTTTTGTATTTTTAGTAGAGACAGGGTTCCACTATGTTGGCCAGGCTGGTATCAAAATCCTGACCTCATGATCCACCCACCAAAGTGCTGGGATTACAGGCATGAGCCACCGCGTCTGGCCGGAATGCCCAATTTTAAACTCAACTAGATCAATTTCTATGGTTGTATGATTTTTTTTTAATCAGATAATTTCAAAGGTCTGTACTTCCATGTCTCCCAACTCATGAAGAGGCTTATAACAGTCTTTTCTTTAGCAGAACAGTGAGAAGAGGAAGGACTCTTCTGAAGAGGAAAAAAAAATCATCAAAAACAACTGCCTTTGCACAAATCTTTTCTCTAGCTGAGCATATGAGGACCTCATAACCAGCATTCAAAAACAGAGATTTTTCTAATTTCAATATATAAAATTAAATGAAAAAATCAATTAATTTGAGAAACATTTTTAATACTTACTGTATGTGGTGTACTATATTAGAAATGAAGGGCATAGGTTGAGTAGATAATGTTACTCCCTTGAGGGAATACATAGTATAGACAGGAGGATAAAGAAGGTAAAGAGATCATTTCAATGTATGGTGGTAATGCATATAGGAGGCATGCTCAAAGAGATGTGGGGGCACAGAGAAGTGGGAAATCAAGAGCAACTTCTTGGGAGAAGTGAAGCCTAGTCCAAATTCTGAAGAGTAACCTGGAGCAAGCTGGGGAAGAAGGGGCATATGGTGGGAAAATGGCCCTCCAGGCAGGGGAAACAGCCTGAGCAAAGGCATGGAGGTGACCAACCCTGTGGTAGATGCAGAGAGAAAACCAGGTTGGTTCAGTATTTCTGGAGTGTAAACTGAGCAGTGAGAAAGGGCGGACAATGAGTCCAGAAGGCCCAAATCAGAGAGGGCCATGTTAAGGAGGAAACAGGGCTTCCCTGAGAGAGAAGTTTATTGACCACGTAAAGGGCCAAAGGCCACTATGATTTGGGAAGTCTGTAAGATGCTGGAAGATTCCATTTCCACCAGCAAAAATAGCAAAGGAGGGACAATACTGGTCATATTTACCCACTTAGATGCAGCTACAGCCCCAAGTGCTTACAAAGCAACCAGAGTCTAAAAGTGCCTAAGACACCAGATGAAGCCAAAAGGGAAGATGGAAACGGGGCAATTAAATTTGGTCTAGGTAGTGAAAAATGGTGATGTAGACTAGCCGGAGTCAGAAGAGGCAACCCCTTAAGATCAGCTTCTTTCCTCTGTAGGGAGTTACTAATAATTGTTGGCTTGTTTTTTGTTTGTTTTGAATTAACATAAGAAAAAGGATCATTCTGAAATTTCTAATTAGCCAGTGCTTACCTACCTTAACAAATCAATATTTGTAACTTAATCCCTTCCAATTATGTAGCAATTTGTTCTTCTCGAACTTTCATGGACTCTCTCATCTGTTCTGGCAATGGAGATAGACAGGATTGTTTGCCCCATTATCATGTAACAACACATCCCTTCCTTGCTGTAGGTCATCCAGCCAATCAGTAGTAGACTCCTACCTTTCAACCCCAGATCTAGGGGCTTCTCAGCAACAGTGCCTGAAATAATAAATGACTTATGAAAAGAAAGACTGTACAGTGTTGGCTCAATTATTCTATCTGGCTTCAGGAACATAGAGTCCACACATAAAACAGTGTTTTGGAGATTCCAGAGCAACATGAGGGGAATAGAGGAAAGTCACAAAGACCAGAACTTAAAAATCAGTTACTTACTAGCTGCATGACTTTGGGCAAGTCACCTAGTGCTTTTAAGTCTCAGTTTTCTCATGGGCAAATTGGGAGTAACAAAATATTCTCCACAAAGAATTAAAAGTAATAGAAGGAAAGCATTTCAGCAGAGTATCTGGTAGTCAGTATGTAGAAAACCAATAGTTGCTATCACCAATATGACCATTATTCTGTACCAATTTACACCCTTTGTTCCAAAGGATAAGACTGAAACTCTTTCAGCAAATCTATGGAAAGATTTGCCCTATATACACTTTAAAAGGTTTCAAAATATCAGAAGCTCACTTTGGGCTGCACAGTGATGCATCTGTGCCCTACGAGCACCCAGTAACTAGTTGGAATAATGTCCTATGGCCTCCATGAACTATTTTATTAATTTCCTTCTGTTTATCAAGACAGAAAGGATACAAATCATTGATCACCAGCAATTGTTTTCCCATGCTTGGGATATGATTCAATGGTCTGCAATGTTGAAAAAGGGATAATAAAAGGGAGAAAAGTGATAAAACAGATGTTGAATAAAAAATACAATTTCCCATTGAATAAAGTAGAGGTTGTGCCCAAGAGAATTAACTATACAATACATTCTTCCCTCAAGGGCTAGAGAGGCATTCTGTTCCTGCTCATTTGCCCTCTGGAAAAAAAAATCCCCTTAGGGAGTCATGAATTATTCTGTTTATTACCCTAGTCTGTAATGTACTCTATATCTTTTCTCAAGTATGTAGACTTTAAGGTTAAAATCCAGTGCATTTCTTAATGCATACTTCCATGAAAGCATCTAACAAGCAGCACCATGCCTTTCATGAACTTTGACGACAACTTTAGCAAGCTGCCTTGCCTTTGCATTCAAAGAACCAAGAGTGAACTGTAATATCATCATGCAAATCTTTCTGTTGCTGTTGTTTCAAAGAAAGGTACCAAGTGCTCTTTTCATGTGACTTTTTGCTAGAGACCTTCTAATCTAGAAACCAGAAGAGCAACACAGGATTTGTCAATATTTTCCTCCCTGGAGGTAAAAAATAAATAAAATTAAAGAGGAGTGGAGGGATGAGTGGGTAAACCAAAGACCCAAAACAGCACTGTGTTGTTCAAATGATCTGAAACATTCTAAATTAAAAACGAAGAAGTGTAAATGCCACCCATGTGACCCAGAACCTAAAGAAGGAACAGAACAATTTATTAGGTTGGTGCAGTATCTGTCATTACTTTTACTTTTTTTTTACTTTTGCACCAACCTAATATTTACCATTGGATTTCTGCTTAATATTTATAAGAAGATTTTAAACAGTTCCCTCATTACTCATCTATCCCCCAAAATACAAAGATGCTCCACCACCTAAGGTTATTGGGTTTTATTTTTAGGATTCTGCAGCAAAGGGTGTTAGGATATTGTTGGTAGAAAAGAGAAGTATAAATGATTATTAGGAGAGAGAAGAAGAACCTTCACAAAACATTTTGTAAGAAGAACACAGTGCTATTTTGGGACTTTGATTTTATTTTTACCCACTCATCCTTCCATTCCCCTATCTACCTAGTACAATTCTAAGTTAAGCTCCTTGCTGCCAGGCGTTAACATTCTAAACTGCTTAGATTTCAATCAGGAATTTTAAAAGTAATTTAAATTAAGCTATAGTTATCATCTATTTGTCAAATATTTTGAGCTAACATCTGAGCACATGGTAGGATTTTACTTCCTGGCCCCCTTGTGTTGGTTGGAGCTAGTGACTAGTTCTGACCAACAACTTCTAAGCAGAAGTGACGTATATCACTTCTGAGTTGTACATTTAATTAATGGAGTCAGGTGGTCCAGAGATTTTATTTTCCTTCTGCTATGATAACTGGCAATACCCCAGATGATTGCTCTGTCATCCTGGATCCAGAAATGAGGACAACAATGACAAGGAGCATCTTGCTAACTAGTGATGAGCATGTGGCATATGAGAGAAATAAACCTTTGTTGGTTTAGGCCACTGAGGTTTGGAGTTTTTGTTACAGCAGCATAGCCTAACCCAACCTGGTTAATACACTGCTTTTTGTAACTATACAAGCTCTAACTCACTAAGGTAACTTTCCTCGTTCATGAGCTGTTCACTCTTACACTCTCTCTCTTCCCTACTATTAATTCAGCCCTGGTATTAATTCAATTTAAAAGTTTTCCCTCCTGTACTGTGGTTAACAAATTTGTTGTTGACAGAACACAATAATTTATGGCTAGTATCTTAATTTATTTATTGAGCATTTACTAACCTATACTCTTTGCAGCCTGTGCATTTTTAATGGGTTTAGAGTAGGATTATTCATTTATCCATGTGTGTGAAATGGGGCCTTCATAATTCACCTGTGGCATTACCAGACATTAATTAACAGGATCAAGGTCTCACTAATTGTGAGACCACTAATTGTGAAAATAAAATACATTCTCTTGTACCTCTCAAAATCCCTTGCCATTTCTAATAGCAGTGGTAGCACATTTTATGAAATTTAGATTACTGAGTTTGAATCTAATTTAGATCACTAATTCGGCTAATATTTTACTGGTATTATAAGCACGGTATAGGAAAGAGAAATGTGATTATGGATAAAGAAATATTTTATTCCTCCCATCAATGAAATAATTTAGAGATGTATTTTTCTAGAATACTCAATGTTCTAGAAAATTCTTTTAATGCCTATTTAAAGCTATTCCCAGATTATGTATGTATCAGAGTTCCTTGATTAGAAACAACAGAGTCCAGGTCTGGATAACAAGCAAAAATGGATGCTATTGTAATGACATGAAAAACTCACAGGATCTAAAAGAACGCTGAGTAACACAGCTAAAAACATACAGAAATCAAGCAGTTCTAGAGGGTCTTGGCAAAAAAAAAAAAAAAAGGCTAGGCAGCCTTAGGAGGCACTTCTGCTGAAATGAAGGCATTTCCAGGATGAATTGGGCATTTAGTTATTCTCTTTAAGTTTTAAAGTCCAAAGAGAAAATCTGGTTGCTAAGCTTAAGTCACATGTTCATACCAAGTTCATACCAGGTAGTAGAAGGAAGGATCTGAGGGAAGGAAACTCCAGAGTTTCCTTCAGCCTGCTGAGTGAAAGAGCAGGACCATCAATTTAGTAGCCTAACAAAACCATGCTCAACAGAAGAAAATTTATTCCCCAAAAGAAAATTAAACACTTTTAACAGGGAAAGTGACCACTGTGTAGCTAGCTAATAAAGAAACACCGAATATCTACTATAATCTACATAAAAACTAAAGGCGTCCATTAATTAACATTTGCTCCAAGGATTTTGTAGTCTATTTCATTTTGTAATGTATCATTCTAAATCCAGTCAGTAAAAAGTCATTCTGGGTGTTTCAAGCAGAAACGAATTTAATTCTGAGAAATAAAGGCTTTGATGAAATTGGAAATCATCATTCTCAGTAAACTATCGCAAGAACAAAAAACCAAACACTGCATATTCTCACTCACAGGTGGGAATTGAACAATGAGATCACATGGACACAGGAAGGGGAATATCACACTCTGGGGACTGTTGTGGGGTGGGGGGAGGGGGGAGGGATAGCATCGGGAGATATACCTAATGCTAGATGACGAGTTAGTGGGTGCAGCGCACCAGCATGGCACATGTATACATATGTAACTAACCTGCACAATGTGCACATGTACCCTAAAACTTTAAGTATAATTAAAAAAAAAGAAAAGAAAATCAGGACTGAAGATGCAGGAAACTGCCAGTACAAATATCAGCAGCTTACAACACCAAAGTGGATAATTTACAGGAGGACATCTGGAAGCCAGTGGCAAAACCTCATGTCTGTCATCCCCCAAGGCCTGAAACCTACCTACTTCTGTCACAGGTGCAGTGGTGGTTTCTGCATTTCTTCTGCCTTCCAAATTTCATACCTCCATTGATGAACTCTAACGATGATTCTGAGGAAAGTAGTTTCCAGGCTCTCATCCCCTGCAATTTAAAAAAGTGCACTAAATCAGGAAGGCAAAGCTGAGTTTCCACAGACAATCCAGCAAACTTAACAAATAATTATTTGATTTTTTTTTTCTTTCAGGAGCTGTCACATGCTGCAAAATAAACGTGAAATTAGGGATGTATCATTATTAATCTCACTCTTACTCTTCTAAGTAAGGCTACATAACTCAAGATTATTTTCTTCCATCTGTTTTTTTCTCTCATTCATTTAATAAATATTAGATATCTACCATGTGCCAGTCATTGAATTAATATAGGCATTGGTGATATAAGTCAAAAGGCATGGCTCCTTTTTTCACT
Organism: Homo sapiens; assembly: GCF_000001405.40. Lineage (NCBI taxonomy): Eukaryota > Metazoa > Chordata > Mammalia > Primates > Hominidae > Homo > Homo sapiens. Next base: position 157,896,163 of record NC_000003.12, read on the forward strand.
ATCCTTACAGCATAGACAAATGACAGAAGCAAATACAAATGTGTGTACAAGGTGCAATGAAAATATAGAAAAAGAAGGGAGACTTTTCAGGGAAAATAAACTTTGAGCCAAAACTCAAAGGATGATTAGCCTATCTTTAGGCAGATAGCAGTGGAAAAGGAATTCCAGGCATTTCTCTTCTATACAGGAGTTCTGACATCAGTATCTCACTGTTTTGACTATTGTTATTTATATTTTAATATCTAATAGACAAGTTTTCCTTGGTACTCTTCTTTTTCAAATGTTTCCTTATTTTTCCACATTCATTTTTGTAATACAAACACTGTAATTATTTCTATGACTTCCAAGAGGAATTTGATTAGGATTTGCTAATGTATTTCATTAGACAGCAATTTACTCTCCAGGAACTCAAAAATTAAGCTATGAATTTAGCAGAACTATTAGATATCATCTAGCCAGCACTTATTAAATGTATTTTGTATATTTCATTTTTGTTTCTTAAGCTTCACTCTTCATATGATTCTTTATTCCTAAATTGTGGTAAATTCACTATAATTTATTGGTTTGAAATATTCTGTATTGATTGTTTCTGGTACATACTGTGCTCTTTGATATACTGACTTAAGTCTTCCTTTAGTTAAAGAAAGTTTTCCATCAGAGGAGCCAAGATGGCCGAATAGGAACAGCTCCGGTCTACAGCTCCCAGCGTGACCGACGCAGAAGACGGGTGATTTCTGCATTTCCATCTGAGGTACCGGGTTCATCTCACTAGGGAGTGCCAGACAGTGGGCGCAGGTCAGTGGGTGCGCGCACCGTGCGTGAGCCGAAGCAGGGTGAGGCATTACCTCACTCGGGAAGCACAAGGGGTCAGGGATTTCCCTTTCCTAGTCAAAGAAAGGGGTGATGGATGGCACCTGGAAAATCGGGTCACTCCCACCCTAATACTGTGCTTTTCCGACGGGCTAAAAAAACGGCGCACCACGAGATTATATCCTGCACATGGCTCGGAGGGTCCTATGCCCACAGAGTCTCGCTGATTGCTAGCACAGTAGTCTGAGATCAAACTGCAAGGCGGCAGCGAGGCTGGGGGAGGGATGCCCACCATTGCCCAGGCTTGCTTAGGTAAACAAAGCAGCCAGGAAGCTCGAACTGGGTGGAGCCCACCACAGCTCAAGGAGGCCTGCCTGCCTCTGTAGGCTCCACCTCTGGGGGCAGGGCACAGACAAAAAGACAGCAGTAACCTCTGCAGACTTAAATGTCCCTGTCTGACAGCTTTGAGGAGAGCAGTGGTTCTCCCAGTACGCAGCTGGAGATCTGAGAACGGGCAGACTGCCTCCTCAAGTGGGTCCCTGACCCCTGACCCCTGAGCAGCCTAACTGGGAGGCACCCCCCAGCAGGGGCACACTGACACCTCACACGGCAGGGTATTCCAACAGACCTGCAGCTGAGGGTCCTGTCTGTTAGAAGGAAAACTAACAAACAGAAAGGACATCCACACCAAAAACCCATCTGTACATCACCATCATCAAAGGCCAAAAGTAGATAAAACCACAAAGATGGGAAAAAACAGAACAGAAAAAGGGGAAACTCTAAAAAGCAGAGCACCTCTCCTCCTCCAAAGGAACGCAGTTCCTCACCAGCAACGGAACAAAGCTGGATGGAGAATGACTTTGACGAGCTGAGAGAAGAAGGCTTCAGACGATCAAATTACTCTGAGCTACGGGAGGACATCCAAACCAAAGGCAAAGAAGTTGAAAACTTTGAAAAAAATTTAGAAGAATGTATAACTAGAATAACCAATACAGAGAAGTGCTTAAAGGAGCTGATGCAGCTGAAAACCAAGGCTCAAGAACTACGTGAAGAATGCAGAAGCCTCAGGAGCCGATGCAATCAACTGCAAGAAAGGGTATCAGCAATGGAAGATGAAATGAATCAAATGAAACAAGAAGGGAAGTTTAGAGAAAAAAGAATAAAAAGAAATGAGCAAAGCGTCCAAGAAATATGGGACTATGTGAAAAGACCAAATCTACGTCTGATTGGTGCACCTGAAAGTGACGGGGAGAATGGAACCAAGTTGGAAAACATTCTGCAAGATATTATCCAGGAGAACTTCCCCAATCTAGAAACGCAGGCCGATGTTCAGATTCAGGAAATACAGAGAACGCCACAAAGATACTCCTCGAGAAGAGCAACTCCAAGACATATAATTGTCAGATTCACCAAAGTTGAAATGAAGGAAAAAATGTTAAGGGCAGCCAGAGAGAAAGGTCAGGTTACCCTCAAAGGGAAGCCCATCAGACTAACAGTGGATCTCTCGGCAGAAACCCTAGAAGCCAGAAGAGAGTGGGGGCCAATATTCAACATTCTTAAAGACAAGAATTTTCAACCCAGAATTTCATATCCAGCCAAACTAAGCTTCATCAGTGAAGGAGAAATAAAATCCTTTACAGACAAGCAAATGCTGAGAGATTTTGTCACCACCAGGCCTGCCCTAAAAGAGCTCCTGAAGGAAGCACTAAACATGGAAAGGAACAACCGATACCAGCCACTGCAAAATCATGCCAAAATGTAAAGACCATCAAGACTAGGAAGAAACTGCATCAACTAACGAGCAAAATAACCAGCTAACATCATAATGACAGGATCAAATTCACACATAACAATATTAACTTTAAATGTAAATAGACTAAATGCTCCAATTAAAAGACACAGACTGGCAAATGGGATAAAGAGTCAAGACCCATCAGTGTGCTGTATTCAGGAAACCCATCTCACGTGCAGAGACACACATAGGCTCAAAATAAAAGGATGGAGGAAGATCTACCAAGCAAATGGAAAACAAAAAAAGGTAGGGGTTGCAATCCTAGTCTCTGATAAAACAGACTTTAAACGAACAAAGATCAAAAGAGACAAGGAAGGCCATTACATAATGGTAAAGGGATCAATTCAACAAGAAGAGCTAACTATCCTAAATATATATGCACCCAATACAGGAGCACCCAGATTCATAAAGCAAGTCCTGAGTGACCTACAAAGAGACTTGGACTCCCACACAATAATAGTGGGAGACTTTAACACCCCACTGTCAACATTAGACAGATCAATGAGACAGAAAGTTAACAAGGATACCCAGGAATTGAACTCAGCTGTGCACCAAGTGGACCTAATAGACATCTACAGAACTCTCCACCCCAAATCAACAGAATATACATTTTTTTCAGCACCACACCACACCTATTCCAAAATTGACCACATACTTGGAAGTAAAGCTCTCCTCAGCAAATGTAAAAGAACAGAAATTATAACAAACTATCTCTCAGACCACAGTGCAAGCAAACTAGAACTCAGGATTAAGAATCTCACTCAAAACCGCTCAAATACATGGAAACTGAACAACCTGCTCCTGAATGACTACTGGGTACATAACGAAATGAAGGCAGAAATAAAGATGTTCTTTTAAACCAACGAGAACAAAGACACAACATACCAGAATCTCTGGGACATATTCAAAGCAGTGTGTAGAGGGAAATTTATAGCACTAAATGCCCACAAGAGAAAGCAGGAAAGATCCAAAATTGACACCCTAATATCACCATTAAAAGAACTAGAAAAGCAAGAGCAAACACATTCAAAAGCTAGCAGAAGGCAAGAAATAACTAAAATCAGAGCAGAACTGAAGGAAATAGAGACACAAAAAACCCTTCAAAAAATTAATGAATCCAGGAGATGGTTTTTTGAAAGGATCAACAAAATAGATAGACTGCTAGCAAGACTAATAAAGAAGAAAAGAGAGAAGAATCAAATAGACACAATAAAAAATGATAGAGGGGATATCACCACTGATCCCACAGAAATACAAACTACCATCAGAGAATACTACAAACACCTCTATGCAAATAAACTAGAAAATCTAGAAGAAATGGATAAATTCCTCAACACATACACTCTCCCAAGACTAAACCAGGAAGAAGTTGAATCTCTGAATAGACCAATAACAGGATCTGAAACTGTGGCAATAATCAATAGCTTACCAACCAAAAAGAGTCCAGGACCAGATGGATTCACAGCCGAATTCTACCAGAGGTACAAGGAGGAGCTGGTACCATTCCTTTTGAAACTATTCCAATCAATAGAAAAAGAGGGAATCCTCCCTAACTCATTTTATGAGGCCAGCATCATTCTGATACCAAAGCCTGGCAGAGACAAAACCAAAAAAGAGAATTTTAGACCAATATCCTTGATGAACATTGATGCAAAAATCCTCAGTAAAATACTGGCAAAACGAATCCAGCAGCACATCAAAAAGCTTATCCACCATGATCAAGTGGGCTTGATCCCTGGGATGCAAGGCTGGTTCAATATATGCAAATCAATAAATGTAATCCAGCATATAAACACAGCCAAAGACAAAAACCACTTGATTATCTCAATACATGCAGAAAAGGCCTTTGACAAAATTCAACAACCCTTCATGCTAAAAAAAACTCTCAATAAATTAGGTATTGATGGGACGTATTTCAAAATAATAAGAGCTTTCTATGACAAACCCACAGCCAATAACATACTGAATGGACAAAAACTGGAAGCATCCCCTTTGAAAACTGGCACTAGACAGGGATGCCCTCTCTCACCACTCCTATTCTACATAGTGTTGGAAGTGCTGGCCAGGGCAATTAGGCAGGAGAAGGAAATAAAGGGTATTCAATTAGGAAAAGAGGAAGTCAAATTGTCCCTGTTTGCAGATGACATGATTGTATATCTAGAAAAACCCCATTGTCTCAGCCCAAAATCTCCTTAAGCTGATAAGCAACTTCAGCAAAGTCTCAGAATACAAAATCAATGTACAAAAATCACAAGCATTCTTGTACACCAATAACAGACAAACAGAGAGCCAAATCATGAGTGAACTCCCATTCACAATTGCTTCAAAGAGAATAAAATACCTAGGAATCCAACTTACAAGGGATGTGAAGGACCTCTTCATGGAGAACTACAAACCACTGCTCAATGAAATAAAAGAGGATACAAACAAATGGAAGAACATTCCATGCTCACGGGTAGGAAGAATCAATATCGTGAAAATGGCCATACTGCCCAAGGTAATTTACAGATTCAATGCCATCCCCATCAAGCTACCAATGCCTTTCTTCACAGAATTGGAAAAAACTACTTTAAAGTTCATATGGAACCAAAAAAGAGCCCGCATTGCCAAGTAAATCCTAAGCCAAAAGAACAAAGCTGGAGGCATCCCACTACCTGACTTCAAACTATACTACAAGGCTACAGTAACCAAAACAGCATGGTACTGGTACCAAAACAGAGATATAGATCAATGGAACAGAACAGAGCCCTCAGAAATAACGCCACCTATCTACAACTATCTGCTCTTTGACAAACCTGAGAAAAACAAGCAATGGGGAAAGGATTCCCTATTTAATAAATGGTGCTGGGAAAACTGGCTAGCCATATGTAGAAAGCTGAAACTGGATCCCTTCCTTACACCTTATACAAAAATCAATTCAAGATGGATTAAAGACTTAAACGTTAGACCTAAAACCATAAAAACCCTAGAAGAAAACCTAGGCAATACCATTCAGGACATAGGCATGGGCAAGGACTTCATGTCTAAAACACCAAAAGCAATGGCAACAAAAGCCAAAATTGACAAATGGGATCTAATTAAACTAAAGAGCTTCTGCACAGCAAAAGAAACTACCATCAGAGTGAACAGGCAACCTACAAAATGGGAGAAAATTTTCGCAACCTACTCATCTGACAAAGGGCTAATATCCAGAATCTACAATGAACTCAAACAAATTTACAAGAAAAAAACAACCCCTTCAAAAAGTGGGCAAAGGACATGAACAGACACTTCTCAAAAGAAGACATTTATGCAGCCAAAAAACACATGAAAAAATGCTCACCATCACTGGCCATCAGAGAAATGCAAATCAAAACCACAATGAGATACCATCTCACACCAGTTAGAATGGCAATCATTAAAAAGTCAGGAAACAACAGGTGCTGGAGAGGATGTGGAGAAATAGGAACACTTTTACACTGTTGGTGGGACTGTAAACTAGTTCAACCATTGTGGAAGTCAGTGTGGCGATTCCTCGGGGATCTAGAACTAGAGATACCATTTGACCCAGCCATCCCATTACTGGGTATATACCTAAAGGACTATAAATCATGCTGCTATAAAGACACATGCACAGGTATGTTTATTGCGGCACTATTCACAATAGCAAAGACTTGGAACCAACCCAAATGTCCAACAATGATAGACTGGATTAAGAAAATGTGGCACATATACACCATGGAATACTATGGAGCCATAAAAAATGATGAGTTCATGTCCTTTGTAGGGACATGGATGAAATTGGAAATCATCATTCTCAGTAAACTATCGCAAGAACAAAAAACCAAACACCGTATGTTCTCACTCATAGGTGGGAATTGAACAATGAGATCACATGGACACAGGAAGGGGAACATCACACTCTGGGGACTGTTGTGGGGTAGGGGGAGGGGGGAGGGATAGCTTTGGGAGATATACCTAATGCTAGATGACGAGTTGGTGGGTGCAGCGCACCAGCATGGCACATATATACATATGTAACTAACCTGCACAATGTGCACATGTACCCTAAAACTTAAGGTATAATAATAAAAGAAAAAGAAAAAGAAAGTTTTCTTCTACAATATCTTTAAATGTGTTTTCTGTACCATTTTTTCTGTCTCTTTAGGAATATCGAATATGTATATATTGACTTTCCATTTATCATTTTCTCTGTAATTAATTTTCTACTTATTTCCTTTATCATTAATTTTCTCAAGCCTATACATATTTTTACTCAGTTTTTGGTCAGTTTTGTTCTACTTTATGTGGCATGTATTGTGATTTTCATCTCGTAATTTTTTTTATTTTTCTTTATGTTCTAGTTTTCTTATTTAGTTGTTTTTCTTTTTATCTCCTGTTGAAATGGCCCATGATCTTTTCTTGTAATCATTGTATCACTTCTCACAATTTACTTTTATAAATAGATTATATTGTATATAGTTTCTTTGAAATATGGAGACCTATTTCAAATCTTTCTTTATTTTCTGTGAATGAATACTTATGTTGATATACACTCTTCATCTTCCTTTTGTGTTCCTTTTCTCATTTGCTTTTGCAAATTTTCATACATAGTTTCTATCTTTCTGCTTATTTTTGAAGAGTCATTACCTGCTTGAGAGTATCACAGGATTGAATTGTTGGAAGACAGAGGACAAAACTAGAGAGTTCAGAATCCTCACTTAATGTTATGGTTGTATTACTGAGCTGTTGCAGCATTAAAGCTGCTAAACAAGCTAACCCAAAACTCGATAAGTTCAGTAAGCGTCTTGCCAAACACTTCTTCATTAGTTTGTGGGTTGGCTAGGATAGCTCTGCTTTTACTAGACTTGGATTCATGGTTCCCATAAGGCTAATGTCTTCTCCATCTCACTCTGGGGTCAGTTGAAAAGGAAGGAGATACCTGGGGCGTGCTCTTCTCATGCCAATCACAGGAACACAAAAGGGCTAGCCAAACTATGCAAGCATATCTCAAGATTGTCTGCATACCTGCTAACATCCCATTGGCCAAAGCAAGTCACAAAACCAAACCCAAAGTCAAGGAATGGGAAGTAAACTCTGTCACCATTGATATGGTTCAGATGTTTTGTCTTCTCCAAATCTCATGTGAAATGTGATCTCCAATGTTGAAGGTGGGGCTTGTGGGAGGTATTTGGGTCATGGGGGCAGATCCTTCTTGAACAGCTTGGCACCATACCCATGGAAATGAGTGAGTTCTCACTCTGTGAGTTCATGTGAGATCTGGTTTAAAAGGGCCTGGCACCTCCCTTCCCTCTGTCTTGCTCCCTCTCTTGCCATGTGATATGCCTGCTTCCTCTTCACCTTCCACCATGATTGTAAGCTTCCTAAGGACTCACTAGAAGGAGATACCAGCACCATGCTTCCTGTACAGCCTGCAGAACCCTGAGCCAAAATAAACCTCTTTTCTTTATAAATTACCAGCCACTGATATTTCTTTATAGCAATGCAAACGGACTAACACAACCATTAAGCATGAGTGTATAATTCCATTAAAGGTGAAAGTACAAGCCAGGTGTAGTGGCTCATGCCTGTAATCCCAGCACTTTGGGAGGCCAAGGCAGGCAGATTGCCTGAGGTCAGGAGTTGACCAGCCTGGCCAACATGATGAAACCCCATCTCTAGTAAAAATACAAAAATTATCTGGGTGTGGTGGCACATGCCTGTAGTCCCAACTACTTGAGAGGCTGAGGTAGGAGAATCACATGAACCTGGGAGGTGGAGGGTACAGTGAGCCAAGATCACACCACTGCACTCCAGCCTGAGTGACAGAACGAGACTCCATCTCAAAAATTTAAAAAATGAAAATAAAACAATGAAGGTGAAAGTACAAAATACCCATAGTTGCCTTTAACTAACCTGTTGCAAACTCTGTTGAAGAAATGTGTTATTTCTGCTATCTTGGGGCCATTTCATTTCACTGTTTTGAGCTTCATAGTAAAACCATTAGATGACAATGTCCCTCGGTGCTGACCTGGCAATTACTGTTTTCTTCTCTTATCTTCTCTTTTTACCCTTCACCATTCACATCTAACATTCTCTCTCTCTCAATAAACTGCATCATGGTAGACGGTAGAAAGAGCCTGGTTTCCACTTCAAATCTACTTTCTGCACCTTTTAGTGATGTGAAATGAAGTCTTCCTAGGGACCTTTTCAACCTTTCCTTTGACCTTCAACCTTTCCTTTGGCACCTCCAGCAGTGCCATTCTTTCTATCCATCAGGCTTATGGGAATGAATCCTAACTATAGATCTATATTTCCATGACCAGCAGGCTCCCATGTCTCACATTTACCATGTGTACTTCTTGATTTTTCACTTGGACTGTATCATTTTTCTGGTTTCATTGAATAAAGAGGTTTTTGCTGTATCTTTTCTCTTTTTACAAAAAAAGTTTTGTGGATTTTGAGGGTTAAAATGTTTTATGTTGCCATTTTAAATGAAAACCACAAGATTATATACTGAATGTACAATCAAATTAGAAACCCCGGGTTTTTCTTTTTTCCTATGTCATGTCATCCGATACTATAGTTATACAGTTTTACTTCTAGACTTAAGAGCGTAAGTCTAAATTTATCCCTGTTAAATAACGTCTTGTTAAATTCAGCCCTGTCTGAGATTTTGAAAGATGTTTTCCTGGCATCCAGTATATTTATCCAGCCCTTTCATCTTCACATCATTCATAAATTCAATCAGCTTACTGTTAATGTGCTCACCCAATCACTGCTAAAATTGTTGAATGGGGTGGTGCTAAAGGCAGTCATTCCTTCCTCCCTCACAGTCTGTCACTCATTATGGTCCACTTAACCTACATTTATCTATCTGTTTCCAATGGAATTATACACTCATATACAAAAATACACATATTGTGTCCAAGATGGATAAATGTGGTAAATTTTGTCAAATGGTTACTGAAATTCAGATGCTTTATGTCTGCAGCATTCTTTGATCATCTAGGGTAGGGAGCTAATAGTTTTAGAAGATAATGAAGATGAAGATAAGGAAGAAGAAGAGGAAGAGAAGAAGAAGGACAAGGGGAGCAGGAAGAAGAAAGGAGGATAACATAGAAATTTGAATAAAGACTAAATAAGAAAAATAGAGAATGGAGAAACTGATAAAATAATACAGCCATAGAACTAAAGAGAACTGCAAAATATGTGTTAATCCCATTTCCTACAATCAGAAAAGTAAATATCTAAACCAGAGTTACCAAAACTATGTTCTATAGATCAGAATGTTTAGAAGTGTCACACTATAGAATAGGTGCTTTAACTGCAGGACTTCTCAGAGCCTTTAACATGCTAATGTATATTGTTAATTCCCAAAATGGATATGGTATTCTGAATTGAACAGATGTATTTGATAAGTAACCCTTTTTACACAACCATCTCTCAGGATCAGGGTTAAGGGCACTTCTGTGAAATGCTGGCATAAGCCATCCATTTTATTGTTTGACCCACTATAGAGCACATGGAAATGATTGCCGAATTTAACTTGACTTTACAAACAGGAATTGCTTTCGTTTGACTTTTGTCGTTGGAAAAGAGGAAGGTAAAGTGCTCCTTTGTAATATTTAGCTCCAGAGACCAGAGTCAAAATGAAATTCAAATAAGAAACCAGACCTGAGTTAGAGAAAGTCAGTAGGGGAAAGAGGAAAAAGAATTAAAGGCATGTCAATGCTCTGCTACTTACTGACCATAGAACATTGTTCAAAGAATCTACCTCTTTGTGTTTCAATTTTCTCTCCTGTAAAATGGGGATAATACTTATCCTTTCTAGAACACAGGGATGTTGTAGGTATCGAATGAGATAATGTCTATAAAAATATCTTGTAAATGTAAAGCACTTTACAGTTATAAATATGGATTAGTCATGAATGCTAACAACTATAAGAAAATCTCAGTGGCCCAATTTATCAAACATCTACTTCATGCTTAAGTCACAGTGCATTGCAGCAGGTCACTGAGGTGTGTGGTTGTATTGGTGTGCTGCACTTAGTCATTCAGTGTGCTTCTTCCATCCAGTGTGCTACTGTCTCCATCTGGTGACCTTCAATAGACTGTGAAACTGGAGAAGAGAATGGAGGAGTGCACAGACATTTTTTCATGAATCATCTCATTAGCCAGAACCCAATACCTGGGCCCAAAATACCCACTGGGGCTAGCAAAGTAGGCAAGTTCCCAGGAAGAGAAGAGAAGCACATATATTGGCATTCTCTGACACAAGATATTGTTGGCAGTTGACTAAAAGTAGAAAGAAGGTTCTGCAGTATGCCTTGAACCCTGGCAGCCCAAGGACTATTCTCTCTGAACCCATCTATGTCTATGATTCAACTTAACTAAGACCAACTCAGAAGGAGGATTTTACATTTCAAATTGACAAAGTGTAATTTAAATCTATTCCCTCTAAATAAAAAGAATAAAAAGAATTTAAATACTGGAAACTAGGCAAATGAAATGATCCTCATTAGAACTTTCTAATAATTAAGTAAAAGCTAATGCTCTCAGGAAAAAATCCCCCACCTTCCTCACAGCATGAGGTGAAGCATCCCTTAAGGTACTATTCCGTTTATAGAGAAGCTAAATAAGAAGCCTATTAACTGTTTTAGTAATATTTTATCTTGTTATAGCATTAATAAATGTTCATTGTAGAAATGTTTAATATAGGTAAGCAGCCATTACTCAACATTTTCCCTTAACTATTTCATATTACATGAAAGTTAAATCAAGACTGCTTCTCCATTAAGAAAAACATGAATACAAGGCACCTTTTCCTATCATTTACCTCTGCATAGCTTAAATGTTTTCTCACTCTCTGGCAATTGTGAAGAAAGCCTATACTCTACACGGCTCACTTCTACAGCAGTAATTCCACCTGGTCTATTGGTAATATGTCACTGCATAAAAAACCATCTTAAAGATGAGTATCTTCAAGCAACAACAACAATTTCTTATTACTCACAATTGTGTGGATTGGGCAATTCTTCTGTTCCAGGTGATGTGGGCTGTGGCTACAGTTTTACAGATTCAGGTGATTTGGATGGAGCATCCAGGTCCAAATAGGTCCAAATAGGTGCCAGCTGAACTCATCCAGGTCCAAATAGGTGCCAGCTGAACTCACATGCTGGCACCTATTGTTGGACATCAGCTAGAAGCTCAGTTTGGGCTGTTAATGGAGCCTCTTGATTTTCTTCCACAGAGGCCTCTCCACATGGTTTGAGCCTCTCACAGCTCAGAGGCTGAGCTCCAAGAGGGAGCGCTTTAAAGAGGTGCAGGTGTGAGCTGTAGATTTCTTAAGACCCACACTCAGAAGTTAGTATCACTTTTGCCACATTCTTCTGATCAAAATAGATCATGGGTCAGCCTAGACTCAAGGGAAGGAAAAATAGACAATGGACAATGTCACATCACCAAAGAACACAGATGGGAAGATATTGCTGTAGTCATCTTTGTAAATGCACTTCACCATCTCTGCTTAGCAGGTGTATCCTATAGCCAGTGCTTTTAAGGACTCCCTCCCCACTTAGGCCTATGGCTATAAGCAGCTATCAAAAATTACAGCTACCATAGCTTGTGCCAGAGACTTTCTGCAAGCCCTACATCCTACCTCCTATTTCAAGTCATCTCTCTCTTCAGCAAGACTTTCCAGGCTCATACCTAGATACTTTTTCTCTTCCAAGTCCCTGTAATTAATTACTCATTACAGGAGCAGAGGCCACTCTAGCATATCTCCTCAAGAGGAGCTTGGAGACTGTAAACAGAGTTGCAAGGGAAAGCCAAAGGTGTGTTGTTTGTACATGGGCTGTAAGCTTCTCTGGGTAATGGTAGGAATGATACAGGTCATGAAGGAGTTAAAGTCACCCATGGTGCTGCCACTGTAGAACAATGTGTCAGGAAAAATTGGAGGTGGAGGGAGGAAGCTTTTTCTCAAGATACTGTATCTCCAAAATGTGCAGACCTATACATATTCATATATATATACTCACAGAACCACACATTCACACTCATATGCACGTAACACTCACACTAACATAAATAAACATTCACACATTCACATAAACACACTCATTCACACACATTCACATAAACACACACTCATTCACACACAAACACAGACCCACACATCCACACACTCACACTAACTCATACCAGAAGCCCAATCTCCTAGTCCCTCTGCAAATCTAGAAGGGAGAAAGGAGGTCAGTGATTTTGCTTGCACCCATTCTCCAAAAGTGGTATCTTTTCAACAATTTTCAGGCAATATGTGGCCATGGTGCTTACTGACTGTGATCCCGAGATGAAACAGTATGAAAGAAACACGGTGAAGAGAATGTAGTCAGAGAAGGGCACTTTCTTTGTGCTTACTTCCACACCACCAAATAGGCACCCCCACCACATCACCCCAGTCCCACCTTCCTGCCGTCAGAATCTGGCTATGCTGCTGCTCAAAGCCCCACTTGTCTGGGGATGGGTAGAGGCAGACCAGGGTTCCTGGAGACCATAAACGGTGGCAGCTTTCCCCATAGAGACGTTGATCAATGATTACATCAAGCCCCACATGAGCTCCTGGGGACTGGATTCCAAGAAAAGATGCTGTAGCAGAGGGTTTTCCATTGTGTAGATGTCTATTGTGGGCTTCAGAAAATGGAAGGAAGCCAATTCTGGGAAGTGTTTGCAGAGGTGAGAGGAAGAGGAGGTCAAGGTTACACCAGGGCAACAGGATGGAAAGGGAATGGGAACTGATACCTTTTCTAAAAATTCGCCAGCCCCTACCATTTTTAATATTTCTTTAGTATTGTGAAAAATAAAAGGGTCAAAGGGAGATAAAGGTGAGCTTTTATCCAATTGAGGATACATACTGTTTTTGTGCCTTTGCACATTCATTTCATTTTAGTGTCAAAGAGAAACCAGCAAGTCGAAATCCCATGAACACAGTTCATTTGTTTTATTGGGAAGGTTGAAGCAAAATCATTTGAAAAGACTACTACTTTATATCATGATGCATACGTCAACCTTTCAACTTCAAAAGTAGCCTCCAAAAAAAAATCAAAGTTGATTTTTTTTTCTTTTTTGGCTAAGTGTACAATGACAAATGTACCAATTTTAGGCTCCAAAAGAAAACCTCAACCTCACACTGACATCTCATCATTGAAAGCTGGTAAATCAGAGACAAGGAAACTATGGGCAAAGAAAAGAAAGACAAGGAAACTGCACTGTCAAAAGTCTGTTCAACCCAACAAATATTTACTGAGTGTCTGTTATGCATCAGGCACTATGCTGGATGCTGCAGATAATAAGGTGAATAGAAAAAGATCCCTGTCGTGACATGGTTTACAGCCTGGTAAGGCTGGCAGACAGGGAAAGATGATATTATTTTTAAATTGTCCAGGCATGCACAAGGTGCTATGAAACCTAGAGAAGGAACACTGAGCCCCACCCAGAGGAGATGGCATGACAGCTGAGAGCTGCAGAATAAATAAAAAATACTCAGGCAAATAAAGCAGCTGACAAGGGGACAATCCAGTGTCAGAATAGGCCAAGAGGCATGAAATAAGCAAAGTATGCACAGAACACAAACTCTAAATGATTCAAACACTCCAGGACATTAAGTGTTAGTCAAGGAGCAGCAGGAGATGAAACTGGGGAGGTAGACAGGGCAGGAAAGACCTTGTATGCTTGTAAGGAGCTTACACTTACCCGGAGGTGACAGAGAGAGGGGACTCATGAGGCAAGATTTGCATTTTAAATAGGGTCCCTTGGTAGCAGCACAGAGGACAGAGAGGAGGAGGGTAAGACCTGAGGCAGGGGACCAGGTGGTAGGCTAGTGTGATGGTACCAGCAAGAGATGACAAGGCCCAAGCAAGGGCATGTTTGCAGGGGTAGAGAAGAGGAAATGGATTCACAAAATATTTAGGGTGAAAAATTGGCAGGATGTTTTTAATTAGGTGTGGGATGGGAAAAGAAAGAAAATAGTATCTCAGGAGGTTGTTGGAATTAATTTAGACAGGGCCATAGAAGGAGGAGCAAGACTTGGGGAAATTTGAAGAAGTTGGTTTGGGAAATATTGATGATAAGAAATCTGGGAGTTGCCAAGCAGACAAGCCCAAAGCTCAAAGCTCAAAGCTGTGGAGTGAGGTCAGGAGGAAATAAAGGGTCTTAGGAATTAGAATTCAGGATGAACAAAAATCTCCCATGGTATAGGGTGAGAAAATCAGTGGGTGAGGCAGAAAACAATATTTAAACCAGGAGCTTTGTTCAAGTAACACGGGTTACAATTGTGTGGTTGTTTTAGGATGTTGTCTGTATTTAAAAGCCTGGTACTGAACAGCTTGTGCTATTTATCGGGTAAAAGGAGAAAATTACATTCTAACCAGAGAGATTTTGGTGTCTCAGGTCACGTGGCAAATTCAATCTTACCACACCTTTTCCTCCCAGTTGCCCTTCTCCTAATCTCTGATCACCCTACAGATGATACAACAATGGCAGCTGAATTTTTTCATTCTTTATGAAGCAATTACCATTGCCAGGCACTGGGGTGGTCTCTAAAGTTATCATATGAACAAAGGAAGATCCCTGTCTAGGAGAACGCTATGGTGTGGCCAAGCTTTCTCTGGCTGACTGTTGCTGTTCTGTCCCCTTGCTTACATATTCCCTACAGCCGGGCTAGACCTAAGTCCTTTATTTTCTTAACCCCTACAAACAAGTCATAATTTTGCCCAGCCTGCAGAATCAAGATGCCCTCTCATTTGGCTTCTTTATCCCAAATGTCTTGTGCTTTATATCTGTGGCCTGGAAGTTTCTATAGGATGTACAGAAGGGCCCTTTGAGAAGACTGTGGGGAGGTGAGACAGTGAGCTACAAGGCATTTTCTACTTAATGGCAGACCAAAGAGATATTCTTAGCCTTCTCTTTAGCCTCTCTGTCTCCCTGACTCAAAGCTGAGTTTTTATGGCTTCTTCTTCTCCTTTCTGCTCCCTCACCCTGCAAGTTACCCCTACCACCCCTTAAATGCAAAGGAGCTATAAGATGTCTATTTACATCCTATCTTGGACATCATTAGAGAGCATGGTAGCCCCCAAACTAGAAAGCTCTGTTCACCTTTATTCAGTCATTCAGCTAACACATATTGAAAGTCCACTAGGCACCAGCATCTAGTTATAGTGCAGGGGATATGGCAGTGAACAAGGCAAATGGAAATTCCTGCCTTCATGGAGTTTATATTGTGGCAAACTCTAGGGCCAGCGTAGTAGAGTGGCACTAATATAGGCACATACACTGGGACCCGATAGGACTCCAAGATCCACCTGCAACATTCACTTACTATCTACTCTGAGTGTGGTGACCTGCTGGCCATCATCCTGGCCCTCCCCGTTCTTTCGAACACAAAACCTGACCTACAACCAGAGATAAGATCAGCCAAATGACCCACTGACCCATGAACAAAAAAGAAAAATATTTGTTGTTTAAACCACTGCGATTTCACGGTTGTTTTTAATACAGCATCACTGTAGCACGAGAAAACTGATAAACAGTGTGAAAACACTTCATCACCAAAGGATTCTGGGGAGTATCCCATGAATATCAGTTTCCAGCATACGTTCAAAGACAAAAGGCATCCACATTCTTGTTGACTTGTGTGAGGCCCCCATGAGGGACATGCCAGAGCCTAGGGTCCTCCAGCTCTCTCACCCCATCACAGCTTTCATTCAGGTTTAATGAACTGCTCTTCTATTTGTCTAATGTCACTGTTTTCTCCAACTCGGCTGTACAGTACCAGGACTGTCTAGAAAAACCCATTACCTCTATTATTCTGCCAATAGCAAATCAGTAGAATTGCTTGTTCCTTAATTGATAGAATATACTCTCCTCCTCCTGATAGATTACCCTGGTCTAACAGCTCCAAGACCGATTCCCCAGTGTCTGACTACCATCCAATCCAGAGCTATTGGTTTATACTTTCAGTAATAAATCCTAACCTATCAATATATAATAGCTCTTCATAATCAACATCCACAGATTCTGTCTGGGCTCAGAAGCAACCACCAGCCATTTTTCACATGCCTATAATTAGCAGTGGCCAGATGATGTTTGTATATCTTAGCACAATACTCCTTCCCCATCCAGTAATGATAACACATTTTATATAAATTCAAGCTGATTTAATTCTCTTGTCAGAGTATGGGGATATAAATATATTTAGGCATGTGTAATAGTCTGTAAATCAAAATAGTTCAGCTGACCTGAGTACTGTGGTAAGAGAATCCTGTTCTACCTCTCCAGGAGGCTGACTATGGGCTGGTGCAAAAGAACTGTCTCAAACAGATCAGCAAAGAGAGTTAGCTAGAAGAGGTAATGCACATAATTTATTAGAAGTTCGTCGATCTAAGTACATTTCGCAAGGTTATGATGATCTCATCTTGATCTAAGAGCAACCAGTCTTAGGCCAAAATGTACAGTCTCAATGTTATCATTAGTTAGGAAGAATAAGTTCTGGTGTTCTATTGCACCAGGGTGACTATAGTTAACAATAACAGACTGCATATTTCAAATAGCTGGAAGAGAGGATTTTAAGTTCTCAACACAAAGAAATGATAAATAGTTAAGGTGGTGGGTGTGCTAGTTACCCTGATTTGATCATTACATGATATATGCATGTATGGAAATACTACGTTTTACCCCATAAATACATAAACTATTTGTCAATCAAAGATAAAATAAAACTTTTAAAAAGGTACAGACTACTGGTGTTTAACACCAAAGGGTACTCATGTACAGATAAACTTTGGAAGAGAGAATTTACATTAAGGGTGAATGGTGGGGAGGAGGAATGAGCACAACCAAGTTCACATTGCTTAAATGCCTCTAGCAGGCAAGTTCACCAGCCATGAGGAAAAGAGGACAAGAATGTCCCCTTGCTTCTTATAAATTAAACATCACAAAAGAAAGCCGGTGAGAAGAAGGGAAGAAAAAGTGCCCTAAACAAGGTAATAAAACTATAAACTTAATGAGGGCCAGTTTACAGCTTTGCAGTCTCTCTACTTTATAACATGCCCTTATGAGCCAGCCTGTCAGGATAATGTAATTGAGAACTTGCTATAAAACATATGTTTAATGGAGCCAGGGGCCAAAGAAAACACTGTGTCATTATAATAAGCAGGCTGGTAAGTAAAATGATATCTTTTAAAGGTTAAAATAGAGTTGCTTTCAGAACTGGGCCAGTCTTCTTCTTCAAATATTGCTTCACTAATGATTTCTTCACTTCACTTACAAAATGCATCTCTGAGGAGATTTGTTACAAATGTGATCCCTGCCTGGGAAGTAAACTGCTCACCATACAGAAGGCTCTGGCATTTATTCTCCAGTTTTATATAACTTGGAGAATGATGTTAAAATTGGCAAATGCATCTGAGGCACACCAGGCAACAGGATTTTTTTTTTAATCCACTCATTGTCCGATGCAGTTCAACTTGAAAGAGATACAACAGAGAAAAGATTGATCCTTTGTGGCCTATTCTCTTTCCAGAAGGTAAAAGCAATTCTCATCAACAGAGCCCAGTGCTCCGTGGGGTCATCTCCATTCTGCTCTGGGGAATTCGTTGCTCATAAGGGCATGAATATTTTTTAAAAATAAGAAAGAAAAGGAGAAAAATGAAAACTGATTCTGGGATCTGGAAGGCCCCACCTGTTCAAGGCCCGTCCCTGGTCTAAACCTAATACTTGCTGACTGACCTCTAAGATCCTTCTTTGGGGGAACTAATAGATGAGCTTCCTCAATAATAACCTTTGAGACTGGTGCTTCTTAGGCTTTGAGGTTGGCATTTTAAACAATGCTCAAATCCACCCATTCTGCCCAATTCTACTTGCTCTTGTTTGTTGTCGTATGTGGAGGTGGGGGTCTGGTAAACTGCACAACTGGTTAAAGGAGCAGCCCAACCCCTCCTGAGAAGACTCTGGGAGGCAAAATGGCTCCCCTTAGAGCAGCTGGTGCTCTCTGCGTGATGCTGGGTGTCTCACATCACCTCTCTGGACCTCAGTTAAAGCACCTGTGAGAAACGGGGCTTGTAAAAATGGTACCACAGGAGGGGGTTGACCCTCCAGATCTCTGAGTCACTTCCAGTTTTAATAAACTATGGCTAAATAGAATGACAAGATTATATGCCAACTAAACCACTAAATGGCAGTATCTGCCCTCCCTTTTCTTTCATACTAGTAAAAACTCCTGAGTTTTGGCTGAACACATAGCTGACCAGAACAAAGACTACATTTCCCAGTCTTTCTTGCAGTTAAGTGAGGACATGTGACCAAGTGCTGACCAATGAGATAGATGCAGATGTATCATATGTCAAATTCCCCAGGAACCTTCCTTAAAAGGCAATTCACACATAATCTTTCCCACTTGATCTATCATGCTGCCTGAAAGATAGATGCAATAGCTAGAGCTCTTGCTACTGTTTTGGACCATAAGGATGAGAGCTACACCTAGGGATAGTGGACCAAGGAGCTGAAAGAATTCCTGTACCCTGAGTTCTTCATCTAGCTGAACCTCTGTATCAGTCCTGGATTGCCCACCTACACTACTTTGAATAAGATAGTTTAGAAGTGAACTATCTTATTTAAGTCATGTTATTTGGCCCTCTGTTACTTGGAGATTATCTATGCATTATATGCAACATATAAATATAACTAAATTATTCATTCCACAAATATTGACAATGCATAGGTATAGTTGTCATTCAATGAAGTGATCTTTTGAAAACACAAAGCACATTATATCACTTCATGCTTAAAGGCCTTCAGCAGCTCCCATTACCTATTAGGGATAAAATCCAAATACCTTCTATGCCCTCAAGGCTCTCCTTCACCAGCCCTCTGACCACATCTCACACCTTTCTTCATCATGACCAGTGTTGCCCAAAGCAGACATGTCTTCTTTCCACTTCTGTAAACTGTCAAGCTCATTCTGGCTTTGGGGCTTTTGTAGTTGCTATTTGCTCTTCCTGAAAGACTCTTGTCCACTTCTTTGCATGGCTGATTTGTTCTAATCATTACTGCCTAAAGTCACCCCTCAAAGAAGTCTTTCTTAACCAGCTTGTCTAAAGTAACTACAAAACAGACAGACAGACAGACACACACACACACACACACACACACACACACACACACACCATACAAACTAATTTCCCATCAGTTTATCTTCTTCAAAACACTGAGATGATCTTATTCCTTTACCTAGTGTCTTCTCCCAGTATAGTATGAAGCCCATGAAAACAAAGACCACACTTTTCTTCACTGTTTCTGAGAGGCTAGAATGGTATCTGACCAACAAGTGAGCATTCAGTAAATATTGATTAAATGAATGAGTGGTTCAAAGCACTGTGCTTCAAATTGGGGAGGCAAGGATGGATAAGAAAGAAGTAAAATTGTCCTTCTGGTCCAAACAAGAACACAGATATGGTTATACAGGTCCACAAACTCTTGGACACAGATTGCTTTGGAATTTAGAATTTTTCAAATTTTAGAAAGATAAATTAGTGCCTATACCATATATCATATAGTACCTTAAGTAGGGTTTGAGACAGTACCCTACAAGAAAACATGTTAATATTTTTCCATAAAACATGAAATATTCACACTAAAGACTGAAAATAGCCTTTTGCTAGTTCATGACAGGTTTAGCTGTCAAATGCAGGTCATAGCTTGCAGCCAACGAGTATAGAGAAAAAAATTAATTTTCAGAGCTTTTTGAATTTCAGAATTGCAAATAAGGAACTTTGGACCTGTACTTAAAACATCACCGGAGAGGTCATCTAGAAAACCTTGATACATCACCAGCGATGCCTGAATAACTCATTGAACATAAATATTATAAATGCATAGCAATCTTTCATTTCTCTTACTTAATCCAACCTAATGATTACTTTCTCTGCAAATAATACATTTTAATATTCCTCCAATCCAAACATATTTAGAAAAGAAAACATTTGTGTAACTGGTGACTTGGTGGTCATGGAACCACCCAAAGTGCTTTGGGGATGAGGATAAACAAGTGACTAAGATAGTAGTACCTCACATTTATTGAATATTTACGATATGCCAGCCCTGTTCTAAGCATTGCTCGTGTGTTTACTCACTCAATCTGCATATCAATGCTATGAGTAGGCACTATTATTATTTTCGCTTTACAAATGAGGACACTGAGGCCAGGTAGATTAAATAGATCATCCAAGGTTACAGAGATAATAAGAGGCAGGGTTAGAACACAAACCAGAGAAATCTGGCACCAGAAACCTGTGGCCTGATTACCTCCCCAAACAGTTTTATTGGCAAGTGAGTTTGTTCAGGAAACATGAATTAAACACAAAAGTGAGTGCACAATTAGTTACTTGTCCTTCTGCAGCCCTGCTGTATCTATCCCTTTGCACCTTAAATCCTACCCAAACATGCAACAGAAATGGACAACACTGGGCATCATCCGTTTGGAGATGGCTACATAGAAAATGAAGGGACGAGTAATCAGACCCTGGGGAGATGCAAACAAAGAAACAGGGCAGGGTAAAAAGCGAATCATAATCCAAAAGGAAAACAGAAGGATCCCAGAGGCAAAAGAAGTAGAGCCAAGAAAAATGAGACCAAAATTTGGAGGGGCAGCCAGGAAGAGCAAAGGTAGGGCTTCCAGAAGCCATTTTCTGGCAGTCTGGGAGGCCGGCAGCCCTTCTGGCATACTGGCCTGGGCTGCCATGATCTTGCTGGTTTTTTATTGTTACCAGCTTAGCTGACAGACCCACTGTCTTCTGTCACCTAATTGTATGATTCTTTCCCTATATGAGGGGAGCAACTGCTCAGCCTCACAATCTGTGTGCAACATTGAACCATTGTTTATTAACTATCTGCTGAGTTGTGCTGGCACTAAAGATACAAAAATGAAGCAAGACAGTTCTCACCCTACAAGATCTAACAGTCTCCCATGGAGAACAGACCTGTACATACATAAAACAATAATTTAACAACAAAAATATTTATTGAGTGAATGTTATCTTCCATACACTCAACAAATATTTGTTGACCATCTACTCTCTGTCAGACATTAGGCACAGAGCAGAACCAGGAGTAGAAAAGTCACATGAGGACAGAAGCCAAGCAGAAATGAGCTCACCTGCCCAAAGGACCAGGTATGTTCATTGAAGGAATTGGGTTGGAGAGAGTGGCACTGTGACAACCTGGAAAGGCATAGTCTTGTAAAGGGGCCGATGCTACTCAGGTCCTTCCAATGGCTTTATCTGGAAATGCAGGCCCAACCCCACCAGATCATCTGAGTTTGCAGAGGTATCCAAATACCAGAAATTTTCTGTGAAATCTTCCAATGTTTAAATGTTGGCACAAATTCAAAACACTTTTAACATCATACAGCCTAATGAAGCAGGTCTACTGGCCACCTTGTTGTAACCTTCTGAAAATATTCATAACACAGAACCCCACTAAGGGCAGCTGACGCTCTCACTCATTGCAACATCCCCTCAACCCATAGGAAAATCCACCTCTTCCTTCACTTTCCACTCTCAGCCCTTTCTCCCTCCCCTGCCCCTCCCCAGCAGTTTTTCCCAGTCCAGTGATCTCTTTCTCCCGACCACCTACACACTCCTCCCTCTTTCACTCCTCATCCTTTACTCCTAGCCAGCCTGTCTGTTTCCTTCCAAAGAGCATGGTCCAAAGGCCTTAACCATGGCCCCTTGTAAATCCTTCCTGCATTTCATCATGCCAGCCATTTTCATAACTGTTTTTTCACTCAGATGAGGGAAGTAAAAAACTAATTTTGCACAACTCACACCAGCTGGTTAGGAAGAAACAAAACCACGTAATCCATAGACTAGTCCTTCGTAAGATGGGGTCTGTGGCTTTTGGTATGTGTTCATCTCTTCCCCTAGCAACTCTATTGCCCCATGGAGTCAGATCTATTCTTCTCACAAAAATGTATAGATATTTTGAGTTTTTAACTGTTTTCTTCCATACATCTAATCCCTTATTCCTTTGAAGTTAGGAGACTGAACCAGACTTCTTTCTAAGACTGGGATACATTACAAGCTAAAAGGTTAGTGATCACTTGTAAGCAATAAGAAAATGTATATTATAAATTCTATATACATATATATATGTATATATTTTCTAAGTGTTACTTCTAAAAAAGATCTGTTGGGAAGAATAACTTCCATAGGTTTGTGATCAAAATCTCAAAAGATGTTTTCATTTTTAAAAAAATCTTAAGCTTTTGTTGCAAAGATATGAAACATCATAAAAATGATTGCAGGTGACTAGCCAGTCTTTTGTTATATCTCTAAACATAAGACAAACAATAAAGTGGGGTTTTTTCTTAAAAGAAAAAAAAACCTCAATATTAGTCACAGTAAGCCTCAACATATGGGAATAGGTGCAGGGCGGGTAAGGGGGAGGGGAACCCACTCAGTTTTTCAAACCTTTAAAACTGAAAAAATATGTATCCCTGCTTTCTGTATATGCACATAATGTAAAATTTCATCAACCACAATATTTTAAAAGACAGAAATCATGAGATATATCACATCTAAATGGAAATATCATCTAAGGAAGCACCATTTATCAACATCACTTTGAAATGCAGTGGAGGATGTGATGGCATTATGTAGATCTCAAATATCTATGGGTGAATGAAATTGGGTAACCTTAGCAACCCCAGGTACATCCATGCAGCTATAAATCAAATGTCAGCACTCTGAGCTATGCACAAAATAAAGAAATAATTCTTTGAAATATTCATAACACTATGCAGTGTATTATTTTGTAAGTCTGTCCCCATTATGCATTTTTGAATCTAGCTAAAAAAAATACACATAACATTTGCATAATGCATCACTCCCATTCACCCACCCACCCACCAACCAACATCCTTACGAGCTTCTGGAAACAGGCAGACCTGCACTATATCCACTGCAGAACTCTGGTTCTTATGTTTGAGAAGGAGAGGGAATTTTATAAACAGGCAGCTAGTCTGACAGCCACCGAAATGGTTTCATATTGACTACTCCATTAAAAAAATAACAACTAAATAAGATATGAGAATTTTGGAAAAAGTGTCATGATATAGGTACATTTTTGTATTTGTGAAAGTAATATATTCAATATTCCAATCTCTGAAACTGGAAGAGATTTTTTTAAAAAATAAATTCTTGCTGGCAAGAAAATATACTAGTCTTCTAATCGGGAGTATCTTGTCAATATAGAGTTGTAGCATGTAACTCAAAATAAAGACTTTTATTTCATTTATACTTCAGATTTTTTTCTTTGATAATTTAGCTTATTTGGAGGGTATTTTATAAAAATACATTTATTAGCACATTTTAAAAATTCTGTCCCTACACCCATTCCTGGAACTGACAGTGCAGGTGTCTGAATATCCTAATGCCTGTGATGGATTCCAAATTCCGTGAAATGATAAGAGCTCTGAGATAGGGCTCAGTACAATTCTAAATCACACACACACACACACACACACACACACACACACACACACAGAGGTATATATGCTGAGACTACATAAAGAAGACCAAAATACCCATAGGTTGATAATTGCTTTGCTGTTAAAGTTTTATAAGCACGTTCAGGTTAAAATATCCAACACAGCTAACCAATTGAGTCATCTTGATACATTTAAGTGGCTGCTGTAGGAAATAGTGCTGCTTTTCGTGTACAATTAGTATAAGTGTCACTTTAAACACTTGGAAAGTGGTACCAAACAGACAAGGGGTTTAAGCCAGGAATTAAACAAGCCTTTCTAAGGGAAATCATCCCGTTTATCCTCAATCTATTTTTTTTTTCTGAGTTACCATCCTCTTCAAACTGTATTAATTGTTCTGGACCTATAGCACATGCTTCAATGAAAATAAATTACTTTATTTCTATTACACCACTAATGGCTGTGTGACTTAATTTCATTAGCTCGAACCTGTTGAGAGTATTCAGATTTCCATAGCAGGACGCACTTAAAATGAAAAGATTCTTTCGATTCTCAATTAACGGAATCGTTCTCTTTCAACTGAAATGAATGTTATTGAAACCAATTAGCATAGACTGGAAAATCTCTCACTAATGAGGGGAGTGTGGGTGAGTAAACAGCAATGAAAAGATGAAATTAGAGGAGAGCCTCTTCTCGTTGGCCTGAATAATTACATGCTTAGTTGCCTAATTGTCTGGTGAAAAGCGCCGCGGTGATAGTAACAGATTGCCATGTTCATTAGGCGGCAAAAGGCCACCTGCTG
The DNA here is from genome assembly GCF_000001405.40 of Homo sapiens. Classification (NCBI taxonomy): domain Eukaryota; kingdom Metazoa; phylum Chordata; class Mammalia; order Primates; family Hominidae; genus Homo; species Homo sapiens. The sequence goes on from NC_000003.12 coordinate 157,921,084, forward strand.
CTAAGCTTCATTTTCCTGCAGTCGATATACACGTGTTTATCCCTGGGGATTGATATTTGGACACAACAGTAGCTGGGAAAAGCAAATGAGCTTGCCAATATGCTGCAATATTGTGTCCTTTATGCCAAGATACAGAAGCTTAATATGTCAAATAGAATGAATAAAACCAAGAGTGATAACGAAGTTTATGAGGAACCTGACCTTAGAACAGGCTTGGTGTAGAACTCTAAACTGTGCCGAGTTCAACCTTTCAGTACAGATGTTCCTTTCTGGCCTGAACCGCTCCAAATTATACAGTACAAAAGATAAATTACAACGGTTAGGGCCTCAGCGATATTTTAGACAATGGTGTAATGAAAGCATGTAATGTAACTGTTAAAATTGAAAACAAATGTTCAGTCCTAAAGGCAGAAATGCGTATGAGAGAAACAGCATTGTTCTGATTGCCTGGCTTCAGACAGAAGATCAAAGAGAAGCCCTTTTGTTCACCAGTGAGCCTCCTTCGAATCCCCTTCATTTCTTCAGATTGCACGTCTCCAGTTGTTTTCATGTGTCCTCCAGCCAGCCGATATTATCTATTACACACTTCCCACTTTCCCTTAACTGTCATACCAGCTCAGATAGGCTATGTGTCTAAGAACATAAGAGAGCACAGACTGGTTTTCTAATGTCAAGCTGCTTTTGTAGGCATTATCATTTTCATCCTTGAAAGAAGCTTCGATGTCCTAAATCTTGCTTTTGCTAAAATTCGCATTTTCCTAAAAATGAATTCAGGGAAATTGATCAGGAGCCTCTCCATGCTCACATAGCAGCAACCCCTGTCCAATGAGTAGAATAATTGAGCACTAAGACACCTGGACTGCCTGAAGTCCGGAAATGCAAACCTCCAGCCCTCACACTGGATGGGGCTTGCAGACATGTTTACTTTCTACTGTTTTGAACATCTGTTTATGCTACTTGCCAACATTTAAAAATCAGGAGACTTAAACAGCTACGTATCTGGCTTTTCTTAACCTTCTTGAGGACATGAAAACACTGACCTCCATTCCAATGTGGTAATAATCAACAGGACAGAACTGGTAATGAGCTTTCAATTTGCCACAGTCCCCACCATGCCCTATGTACCCAATACTGAGGCAGACTGCTAGTTGCCATTTACTATTTTTCCTGCATTATTTTTTTCTTATAAAAATACTCATTCTTAATACTCATATCTTCCTAAAATGAGGGGAAAATTGGTCAGGAAGACCATAAATCTTCTGAGAAAAATTCATCGTATAGCTGGCCTGCTTTACTCATTGATATTACCTACCTTGCTTCTGCAGCCTTTCAGTTTGTGATTCTGAATTCATCCTACTCATTTTTCAAAAAAAAAAAAAAAAAAAGAATGAATGACATTGAGGCCCAGAGAGGGAAGGTGAGCGAGGACTAGAATTCAGGGCATCCAACAATGATTGTCCCTCTATACAGGGTTACCTCTGTCATACAAGAATACAGAATCCTGAGAAGTAAAAGATGTGACTCCTACCCTCTAACAGGGTCACATATTGAAAAATACAAAAGAAACACAAGACAACCCAAGGTATGCATATACCTTTGATAGATAGGTTGTTGTAATTATATATACACTATAGGCATCAAGAGAGGTGTGAAAGCCAGCAAGAGAGAGAAGGGAGACAGAGAGCTAAGAGAGTTCAGAGTGAAACTGGGGGTTTTCCCTTACCCTTTTGATTTGAGAGCGAAAGGAAAATTAAAACTTTGGTATTGGCTGAAATGCCAATCATTTTGACAGAAGTAAGAGCTTCTCAGTGGCCACTTGCAGAGACCAAACACACCATGCATCTCAGGAAAAGATAACACTAGGGACCCAGGCCTAAAGAGATATTCTTGTGATAAAAGCATCATGGCCCAAGTCCTGGATGAAGCTCAGCTTCTCCATGGAAAGACACAGAAACCCTTGCAAAGACAAAATCCTGTGCTATATAGTCCCCAGGAACCTAGATTTTTAAAACCCATCAGATGCATCAATCGACACTTGCTTTGCAATTCCAAATGTTGATACATGTGAGCCTGTGTTGGCGAAAGCAAACCAAGGTAATGAGCTACAAACAAAATTCACATTTTCATCAGCAACAGGAATGCCCAGGCTCAGTAACTTCTTCACTCTGTGTTGTCACAACTTATGTCAAGGAGTACTGAGAAATCTTCATGATTAATTTTCCCTTCTAAAAACCATTTAAGACAACATTTTGCATTTTTGTTCCAGATTTTTATTTATATGTAGGGCTTGCTTGTGGGTTTTTCTTTCTGACAAAGGTAAATCAAATTATACAAAATTTTAAAAGTTGCCTGACTGATCCTGCCAGTAGCATAAAATTTTTTAAGCTTTATTTAATAATTTTATTATTCATTACACAAGTAATACATGTATACTTTTGAAAATTAGTACAGATAAACAAAGGAAAAACTTATAAGTCATTTGTTATCACTATCCAAAAGTAAACGCTATTAAGATTTTGATGTATAATGTTCCAGACTTTTCATCTGTGTGTGTGCGTGTATTCAAACATAGATTTTACTTACTTCCTTTTCAATATTATTTCTTAATATAAGATGTAATGATTTTTGAGTACATGGGTTGTATAAAATAGAGAAAGAATTTTAAAATCATTTGTAATCCTACTACCTTACTATAACGACTTTTATTATTTTGGAATGTTTCTTCTTTTTATAACTTTTACTTTAAATTCAGGTCTACTTATGCAGGTTTGTTATATAGGTAAACTTGTGTCACGGGGGTTTGTTGTACAGATTATTTTGTTGCCCAGTTATTAAGTCCACTACTCATTAATTATCTAATCTTCTCCCTCCTTCTACTGTCTACCCTCTGGTAGGCCCCAGTTTGTGTTGTTCCCTTCTATGTGTCCATGTGCTCTCATTATTTAGTTCCCAATTATAAGTGAGAACATGTGATATTTGGTTTTCTGTTCCTGCATTAGTTTACTAAGGATAATGAACTCCAGCTCCATCCATGTTCCTGCAAAGGACATGATCTCATTCTTTTTTATAACTACATAGTATTCCATGGTGTAGATGTATTGATAGCATATTTTCTTCATATAGTCCACCATTGATGGGCATTTAAGCTAATTCCATGTCTTTGCTATTGTGAATAATGCTGCAATGAACATATGCATGCATGTATCTTTATGATAGAATGATTTATCTTCCTTTGAGTATATACCCAGTAAAGGGATTGCTGGGTTTGAATGGTAGTTCTGTTTTTAGGTCTTTTAGAAATTACCACATTGCTTTCTACAATGGTTGTACTAATTTGCACTCCCATCAACAGTATATAAGCATTCCTTTTTCTCTGCAATGTCTCCAGCAACCATTATTTTTTGACTTTTTCATAATAGCCATTCAGACTGGTGTGAGATGATATCTCATTTTGGTTTTGATTTGCATTTCTGTAATGATTAGTCATGTTCAGTTTTTTCATATGCTTGTTTGCTGCATGTACGTCTTCTCTAGAAAAATGTCTGTTCATGTCCTTTGCGCACTTTTTAATGAGGTTGCTTTTGTCTTATAAATTTGTTCAAGTTCCTTATGGATGCTGGATATTAGACCTTTCTCAGATGCATAGTTTCTATACATTCTCTCTCATTCTGTAGGTTGTCTGTTTATTCTGTTGATAGATTCTTTTGCTATGCAGAAGCTCTTTAGTTTGATTAGATCCCATTTGTCAATTTTTGCTTTTGTTGCAGTTGCTTTTGGCATCTTCGTCATGAAATCTTATCCTGTTTCTATGTCCAGAATGGTATTGCCTAGGTTGTGTCCCAGGGTTTTTACAGTTTTGGGTCTTACATTTAAGTCTTTGATCCATCATGAGTTGATTTTTGTATAAGGTGTAAAGAAAGGGTCCAATTTCAATCTTTCAATAGATTGCATATGGCTAGCCAGTTATCCCAAGACTCTTTACTAAATAGAAAGTCCTTTTCCCAATGCTTGTTTTTGTCAGCTTTGTTGAAGATCAGATGGTCATACGTGTGTGACCTTATTCCTAGGCTCTCTATCCTGTTCCATTGATCTATCTGTCTGTTTCTGTACCAGTACCATGCTGTTTTGGTTCCTGTAGCCCCGTAGTGTAGCCTGAAGTGTGGTAACGTGATGTCTCTGGCTTTGTTCTTTGTGCTTAGGATTGCCTTGGCTATTTGGGCTCTTTTTTGGTTCCATGTAAATTTTAAAACAGTTTTTCTCTAGTTCTGTGAAGACTATCTTTGGTAGTTTGATAAGAATAGCATTGAAATTGTACATTGCTTTGGGCAGTATGGCCATTTAATGATATTGATTCTTCCTATCCATGAGCATGGAATGTTTTTCCATTTGTTTGTGTCATCTCTGATTTCTTTGAGCAGTGTTTTGTAGTTCTCATTGTAGAGACCTTTCACCTTCCTGGTTAGCTGTATTCCTGGGTATTTTATTCATTTTGTCAGAACTGTGAATGGGAGTGCATTCCTGACTTGGCCTCAGCTTGATGGTTGTTGGGTATAAGAATGCTAGTGATGACTGTGAGTCATCCAGGTTCTTGGTGTGTTGAACAAAAAATTGGACAAAATGTATGAACAAAGCAATTGAAGATGAAAGCATAGATGTATTGAAGCAAAAATACACTACACAGGGTGGGAGTGGCCTTGAGGAAGTAGCTCAAGAGCCCTGGTTGCAAATCTTCTGGGGTTTAAGTACTGTTTAGAGGTTTCCCATTGGTTATACCCTGCGTAAATGAAGACTTGGCTCACGACAAATCGGAAGTTGAAATGAAGGCTTAGCCTGTGACCAATAAGAGGCTGAAGCTGCACCCTATGCAAATGAAGACTTGGCTCATGACCGATCAGAAGCTGAAGTCTCCCTATCTCCAGATCCTATTCTCCTGCCTCAATTTTTGTATGGTGATTTTGTATCCTGAGACTTCACTGAAGTTGTTTATCAGCTTATGGAGATTTTGGGCTGCAACTATGGGATTTTCTAGGTATAGGATCATGTCATCTGCAAACAGGGATAGTTTGACTTCCTGTCTTCCTATTTGGATGCCCTTTTTTGTCTCTGGCCTGATTGCTCCAGCCAGGACTTCCAATACTATGTTGAAAAGGAGTGATGTGAGAGCATCTTTGTCTTGTACCAGCTTTCAAGGGGAATGCTTCTAGGTTTTGCCTGTTCAGCATGATGTTGGCTGTAGGTTTGTCACAGACTGTTACTTCCAACTTACTAAGTTTACTATTATAATTTTTTAATTTTTTAAAATAAATTTCATTGTCTATATTTGTGTTACGGAGTTCATACAAATAGTAAAATGGTTACAATAGTGAAGCAAATTAACAAAGCCATTATCTCATATAGTTACCCCTTTTGTGAGTGTGTGGCAAAAGCAGCTAAAATCTACTCATTTAGCAGGAATCCCAAATACAGTACAACTCTATTAACTATATTCCTCAAGTTCTACATTGGATCTCTAGACTTGTTCATCCTATAAAACTGCTGCTTTGTATCCTCTGACCCACATCTTCCCATTTTCTACCACAATGATATCCACCCACCATATCACCCCTGGTAACCACTGTTTTATTCTCTATATATTTGACCCTTTTTTAAGATTTTACATACAGATGAAATTATGCAATATTTTTCCTTTGGTGTCTAGCTTATTTCACTTAGCATAATGTCCTCCACGATCATATATGGTATAGAAAATGGAACAATCTCTTTTTTTAAGGTGAAATAATATTCTGTCGTATACACACAAACACCATTTATCCACTTACCCCTGAACAGATACTGAAGTTATTATCATGTCTTGGCTATCGGAACATGGACGTACAGATACCTTTACGAGGTGGTGATTTCATTTCCTTTGGGTATATGCAGAGCAAAGGGATTGCTGAGTCATATAGTAATTCTAATTTTAATTTCCTTAGAAACCTCCAGACTGTTTTCCATAATTGCTGCACCAATCTGCATTCCCACTAACTGTAAACAAGAGTTCCCTTTGTGTACAGAATTGGTTCGTCCGGTGGGTTCTTGGTATTGCTGACTTCAAGAACGAAACCGTGGACCCTCACAGTGAGTGTTACAGCTCTTAAAGATGGTGTGTCTGGACTTCGTTCCTTCAGAGGTTCAGATGTGTCCAGAGTTTCTTCTTTCCCATGGGTTCGTGGTCTCACTGACTTCAGGAGTGAAGCCACAGACCTTCGCAGTGAGTGTTACAGCTCTTAAAGCTGGCACATCCGGAGTTGCTTGTTCCTCCCCGTGGGTTAGTGGGCTTGCTGACTTCAGGAATAAAGCCGCAGACCCCCGCAGTGAGTGTTACAGCTCACAAATGTAGTGTGGACCCAAAGAGTGAGCAGCAACAAGATTTATTGTGAAGAGCGAAAGAACAAAGCCTCCAGAGCACGGAAGGGGACCGACTGGGTTGCACTGCTGGCTTAGGTGGCCAGCTTTTATTCCCTTACTTGGCCCTGCCCATGTCCTGCTGATTGGTCCATTTTACGGAGTGCTGATTGGTCCATTTTACAGAGTGCTGATTGGTCCATTTTTACAGAGTGCTGATTGGTGCATTTACAAAGCTTTGGCTAGACCCAGAGCGCAGATTGGTGTGTTTACAATCCTTTAGCTAGAAGGAAAAGTTCTCCAAGTCCCTACCAGACCCAGAAGCCCAGCCAGCTTCACTTCTCACCTTTTTTCCATACCCTTACCAACATTTGTTATCTTTTGACTTTTTGGTAATAGCAAGACTTTTATTTTTATTTTAAAATGCTGAAAACTCAGAAAAGTCAAAATTATCCCTAATCTAATTTCACCCCCAGGAGTAATCCCTATTCATAATTAGATTCTTATTCTTCCCAACTTCTTTCCAAGTTTATAAAAATATATTTTTACAAAAAATCATGGGATCATACTTTATATGTTATGTAACATTTGCTTATATTTTGCTCAATAATAATATCTCGATTCAATAAATATATAGCCACATTAACATTCTTAAATGTTTGCAGAGTATTCCATTGTAAGACTGCAGCAATCCCCTAACCCCTTGTATTGCCAAGCATTTAAGCTGTTTTCAATTGATCACTACGATTTTTTTTAAATCCAAAATAAACATGTCTATACATACACTGCACACATATCCAATTGTTTTCTTTAGGGTACATTTCTAAAAAATAGATCTACCAAACAAAAGGTATGGCCTCCAATAATTTGGGTCTGATAATGCCTTTTTCCCTATTCCTTTGTTATACTGGCCATTGTCAATTCCACAGTAGAATATGGTTTGTTTTGTTTTTAATTTGTATTACTTTCTTTAGAAGTAATAATGAAGCATTTTAAAATTATTTATTGGCCATTTTATTGCTTTATTGTATTTCCTGCCCTAGCAAATTTTTCTGTAGGACAGATACTCATTCTATTATTTACTTGAAAGAGCTTTTCTCTTTACATTTTGTCATATGTAGCAACACTTGTCCCAGCTTATTGTGTTTTACCTTGGTTTATACTCTATTTTTCCATGCCTCAGTTTTAAATGTACCAATATCCATCTTTCCCTTCATGGTTTCTGCTTTCAGTCATGCTTCAAAAGTTCTTCTTCACCCTGAGATTTCATGATTTTCACCTATAATTTCCTCTAAATGTTTCGATCATTTTATCTTTTATTTTTAAGTCTTTAATGCACATGGAATTTATTTCTATATAAAATATGAGTTAGAAATATAACTTTATGTTTTCCAAAAAGAATAAGTCGATTTTCCCAACAGATTTATTTAGTAATATATTCTCCCACTGACTTCAGACAATATCCATTATGTCATATTATTAGACATATTTGAGTCTGTTTTTAAACTTTCTAATCTATCCCATTGTCTGTTTACTATTATGCCAAGACCCTTAAGTTTTGTTTTTTTGTTGTTGTTTTGTTTTTGTTTTTGTTTTTGTTTTGAGACGGAGTCTCGCTCTGTCGCCCAGGCTGGAGTGCAGTGGCGTGGTGTCGGCTCACTGCAAGCTCCACCTCCCGGGTTCACGCCATTCTCCTGCCTCAGCCTCTGGAGTACCTGGTACTACAGGTGCCCGCCACCACGCCCGGCTGATTTTTTGTATTTTTAGTAGAGACTAGACACGGGGTTTCACCGTGTTAGCCAGGATGGTCGCGACCTCCTAACCTTGTGATCCACCCTCATCGGCCTCCCAAAGTGCTGGGTTTACAGGCGTGAACCACTGCGCCCAGCCGACCCTTCAGTTTTAATTTACTGAGATATTATAATTCATAGTGATTCCAGATTAGTACCCTGTTCTTTTCTTAAACAATTTTTCCTGGCTGTTTTGGGTTTTTTTTTTTTCTCAGAAGAAACTCAGAATGATTTTTCAATACCGTGCTTTTTTAAAAAGCCCCATTTAGGTTTTGACATAAATTACAGTAAATGGATAAATTAATTTAGGAATACAAACTCATTTTTAAAATTAAAATGCATCCCAGCAAAACTTCTAGAAGAAATTGAGATGTTAAAGGAAAAACAAAAGAACTGTGCATTTTATCAGAGATTTCAAGAATTTGAAGGCTTGTGTTATTAGTTTAGTCAAGTATGATATGGTTGAGAAAACTTAAGACACAATGGTATTGTTATGATTCTACTATTACAGGTGAGGAAACTGACTCCAAATAAAGCAGCAACCACCACCACCACAAGAGCAACTAACAGCTGAGGAGCATTCATCATATTGCAGGCCCTGAGTGTTTTACACACGTTGTCTCGTTTTTTCCTTTTATTTGAAGAGAGGAAGACTTGATTCCCTTTACCTTCAGAATTGCTGAAAGTAATTTATGGGACAGCAGATAGGTACCAGCTTTATTGAGGGGTTCTTGCCAGATCAAAACCAATAGCAATTTAGGCCCATTTCAAATTTTAAATCAAACTTTTTTTTTTAAGAGGAAATGCATTCTTTATCTCTGTTGGCTTAAGATTATGTAAACAGAATTTATGTGCTCAGTGACCCCACTTCATTGATTTGACAGGGGTAATTCCTATGTAAGAATGAGCTATTTCTCTAATGTATTGAGTAAATGCTTCCATGACAGCATATTTTCTCCATTCCTTTAATTAAATGGGCAATGAATTGAAATGCAAAGGACTTTCTTTGAAATAGATGATCCATCCTCAACTCTCCATGTATTTTATTTGAAAAAAAAAAAAAAAAGAAAGAGAGAGACCAACAGTGGAGGAGCAAGCTAAAAGTATCAATCCCAAAACTCCCCTAAAAGTTTGCCTGAGTGATATTGGAGGAGAGATAGGTGACCCGCAGAGAGAGACCCAGTAAGCACCTTCCCACAGTGTTCATGTCAACACTTTGGGAGGCATTGCAGGGTCACAGAAAAGCCCCATCTTGAAGCCTCACTGAGCAGTGTTCACATTGCCTGGACCTACAGAGGATGAATGCTCCTTTAACGGGGTTATGTCATTCCTGTTGTCTGAGCCTGAGACTTGAAGGCTGACGTGGACAGAGGTGAGGGAGAAAGAAGACACCGGGCCACCACATCAGTCTAATGGGCTCTGGCAATCAATGGGGTGGCAGGGTCATAGCCAGGTCACCCTCACATTCAACTCCCTAGGCAAGTCCCTCCTTGACTCAAAGGTTAGCCCCATGCTTACTTAATTGATGAGAAGCCAGAGAAGGCAGTGGAAGTACAGGGAATCAGCCAGCCAACCTGAGGCCTAGCTACCCTACTTAACTTCTCCAAGCTTCTATTTATTCATCAGTGCAGCAAAAATAATAACCTTCCCTCACAGGGCTATTGAAAGATTCAGTGAAAAACAACATTTATGCTAAATGCCTGGCACATAATAAGTACTCAATAAATGGTAGCTATTATTGTGTTTCTCAAGTAAGATTTGTCTTAATCATTTTCATGAAAAAGTAAATCTCTATTGCTCTTAAGTCTGTTTCTAAAGGAATGATAGGATCTCAGAATTGAAAGGGCCTTGAGAATTATTTAGTCTTTCTTTTATGCTATGTCCTCAAAACTTTAAGGTAGAACTATAGTTTTCACAGACAACAAGCAAACAGCCCTGATACAGGGAGCTCAAGAGAGCCCTCATTTTATGTTGCACAAAAATCACAAGCTTAATCACTTTGTGTTTAAGCTCTATGTCAACTCTAACCAGTTCTAACAAAATGTTCAGGTTTAATACCAGTTAACTTTTTGTGAATTTTTTTATCTTTATATTACTGCCTTCAGTATGTAAGCCCCACCACATACAATATTGGAAAAAAAGGAAGTCCACTTTCAGAAGACACATCTGCCAAAGAAAAAGAGAGAAAGAAAATCTCACACCACACCCAAACAGTGGTTAAATTGTTTATGTAAAGGTACATGTGAGCGGAGGCACTGTGGATGCACTCAAGAGCAGCTATATAATTTTGAGGGTACAGTGCAAAATGAAAATGCAGGGCTCCTTGTTCAAAAATTATTACAAATTTCAAAACAACAAAAGACCATTACGCCAAACTCAGAGGCTTGTGCAACTGTATAGGCCACACGTCCTTGAAACCAGCCCTGGATGCACATTCACACGTAGCCCTGAGCCTCAGGGTGGGCCTGCACATCGAAAGACCGACCGTTCATGCTGCAGACCAGTAGGAAGATGCAGCAAGTGGAACACTTCCTCCTATTGTCAACTGCTAAGGCACTAACAATAAACTAGAAACATTGCCTTTGGCCAAATTGAAACTGGCTTTAGTTCAGAATTAAATCAAGCTAAGATTAACTGAAGTTGTCTCATCCTAATTTCTACCTAGACACGAATTCTAATGCTTTCAGTCTCAGAATAAAATGATATACGAATATAGTAAATATCATTCTACCTATTTAGGAAAACACTATAAAACTGACAAAAAAAAGTCACTAACCTCCGAAGGAATTTTATGACTTTAGCCAAAATGAATAACCAAAATACCTGTAAGATTGAAGCTAAGGCCTAAGTGATTTAAGGCCCAATTAGTAAAGTGACTACATCAGTTATCAAGATTTTATTATAATTAGTGAGTAGGTGATTAGGTATACAGTATTCCTAATAGTCTAATCTAACTTATGGGAGATGTGACTATTAATGTTTGCTTTGAGAAGAGATATGCAAAATTCACATTCAGTGAAATTCCCCAGTCAACATACAGGAAGATGCTGAAAAATTCAGTAAAAGTGAGCTGAATTTAAATCTTAAATAAAGTTATTCTGAGTCATGAAAACAAGTGATATATACAAATGACAAAAACATGCATTATATTAAATCTAAACTGATTCAAGGGCAAATATCTTTACCTGATTTGTTTGAAGAAGTTTTATTTCCAATATGGTTATTCTGAAAATGGAGATGTTCTACTAAATTAAGGAGAGGTAAATTACATAAGTTCAGTATAATAAAGTAAAGGAATAGGAAATAATACTTTCTATGTAAGTTCAATTTGATGTTTGTACAACAAGCCAAGAATAATAATTTATCATGTGTTTAACTCCTAATGCCTTCAGACTAGGAAATGCTGATACCCTTGGCCAAGGCTGCTTCATGAAGTCCTTGTATAAGGGTACTTAAAACCAATCTCAAAGAGTTTTCTCTCTCCGGCTGCAATTCCTCAAAGTTTAGACTTTAAATGCAGAACCTACCACTTGTTTTATCCTAAGACCATGGCACCTGGTCTTTTTCTGAAAGTTCTGAGATCTAAACTGAGTCCCTGAATTTTGAGATGAAGTTTTAAACCACGCTTGATTTTGGCAGGTGATGGGAAGCCCAAGATTAAATCCAAACCTAGAGACACTCCCCAGTTGGACGGACATTATGAGCCCTAAAAAGACACTTGTGCATCTCCTTTAAATACCCCCTGTCTGGAGCAAACAGCTTGCTTGTGTAGCCAGGGTGTGCCTATCATTCAATGGACAAGACCATGAGGGCAGGGTCTTTGTCTTGTTCAGCTGTGAAAGAAAATAGTTGAATGAAAGCATTAACAAAGACAAAGCATTTGTTGGGTCCCTGCTCTAGGTCAAATCTATTCTATGCACTTTTCAGATACCTGCTTACATTTAATGCTTACTACCCTCCTGCAGAATAGATTTGAGATATTTTGGATGATTAAGGGAAGCATGGCTAAGGAATTTGTCCAAGGACACAATTGGTGATCAAGCTGGGACTGGAGCCAAAGTCTTCTGTCCCCAAGACCATGCTCTTTTGATGATGCCACAGAAGAAAATTCTGAACTGGTTTTGTCTTTCGACGTATTAGAACATCTCATCCAACTTCTGAGTTTTTGAAGTGCAATCTCTCCAATAATACTGGTAATATAAAACATATACTATCAATTATGAAATCTGTTGGGATGGGTTTCCAACCCTTATTTTCCTACCGTATTTAGCAAATAACAGTCAAAGATCAAGGTGAAAAAAAAAAATGAGACCAAAGTTTTTTGACAGCTTCCTTCTACTGAGGAGTATAACTAGTTGAATGATCAATAAACAATTAAAATAAGGCAAGCTAAGTGAGATTCCTCCCACTGCCCCACCAAAAAAAGATTGAGGACTTCAAATTTGGAAGTCTAATTTTATAGTTTTAATAACAAACTATAAAACCACACGTGTAACACCTGTCCAAAGCCAAGTGTTCAAGAAACACTTATGTGAAAAGAAGTTACATTCTGATTTTCCAGAAAGGGAAAAATTGTCACCCCTTAAACAGCTATCCAATCATTTAGCCGAAGATAGTCCCAAAACCAATGGCAAGGTGAGTGCCTACCTATGCCTACATTTTCACACAAGTACACTCAGCCAATAAGAATCAGAGAAAAGATAATTACAATCTTTCTTCACATTCTTCTTGTTTCTTACATAATATTTTCCTTTTAAGAGTGATAAATCACTCTCTTCTGATAAATGGGCTGTTAATTTGAGTAGGCTGCATTTCCTTCTCCCTGCTTCACTGTGTGTGTGTGTGTGTGTGTGTGTGTGTGTATACACATACGTACATAAAGATATATACACATATTCTTTCTAAATCATTTGAGAGTAAGTTGTATACATAATTGTTCTTTACTTGTTAAAATTTCAGTGTGTATTTTACACAAACAAGAATGTTATCATACATAACCACAGTAAAATTTTCAAAATTGGAAAATTGAACACTGATACAATACTATTGTCGTCATGCCATATTCCAGTTTCACCAATTGTCTGAAAAATGTCTTTTATAGTAATTTTCCCCTTTTGTTCAGGATCCAAACCAGGATCACACATTGCATTTAGTTGTCATGTATCTTTTGTCTCATTTAATCCAAATCGGTTACTCGGCCTTTCTTTGTCTTTCCCTGATCTTTACAGTTTTACAAAATAACAGGCCAGTTATGTTGTAGGATACCCCTCAACTTGGATTTGTCTGATGTTTTATAGTAAGTAGATTAAATTCAGGTTATGCATGTTCTTAGCAGGAATGGCATAAAAATGATACTGTGTCCTTCCCATGAGATCATATCAGGAGGCTCATAATGTTGGTTTATCCCATGAATGGTGATGCTCACTTTGATCATTTGGTGAAGGTGGCATCTTGCCAGGTGTTTCAGTGTAATATTATCATTTTTCTTTAAGTAATTGATGAATAATTTGGGGAGATATTTTGAAACTATCCTTTGAAATTTTGAAACTCTTCCTTATCAAATTTTTACCCACACTTTTAGCATCTATTAATGATCCTTTCCTGGTGCTTACAAAATGGTGGGTTTTTTTTAACTTCATCAATCTTCATTTTGTCTACATTTATTAGTTTGAGTTCTGCTGTAAGAAAGAGCTTTCTCCTCCCACTCCCTCATTTATTTATTTATTATTAGTATAGACTGATGAATTTTTGTTTTGTTCAATGTGTTATTATCCATTCATGTCTTATTTTTTGATGATCAAATCCACAAATACTTTAAATATGATGGTAGAAACAAGGACCATTTCTCAAATGTGAAAAAACTTTGACAGCTTTGAATGCAAAATAAATTGCCAAGAAATCAAACAAATTTGTTTTTTATTTCCTGCTTTTCCAAAAGAGTCAGATGTTAAAAAATAAAGTTTAGTGGAAATGTTAAAAAATAAGAAAATAAAAATTCATCAAAATTGAATATTGATATGAAAGAGGCAAGCCTTGAAATTATAGTCAAGTGGCCATTATTGCCTTCATAAAAACTTTCACATCTTTTGCCTTTCGTCTTTCTGGACCTTGTTTCATGGAGGCTTAGGGTGTAAATACAGACTTTTTATCAGATCAATCACTTTCCCACAGACCAGGTGCTATATACATTTACTGAATTGCTGTTTGAGATCATGATCACGTAGTTATAATCACTGTTGGTTAGTTTAATTTAATACAGAAAGACATTTTAGATGATCAGAAGCCTTCCCTTCATGAACAAAAACCATCAAATGTAGTCTTTTTTAAATTACTTCCTTTTAATGAACACAGTATAGCTTAGGGTTCTATCCCTTACTTCTAGATCAGATATTCTTTATTTTATGAATTTGCAGCCCTCTGATTTCATTTCATTGTTATTGTATGTTAAGTGCTTGAACTTAACATGGGGATATTGCTATTGTTATTTCTCAAAAGTAGCACCAAAATGCTTACCACTATGAACAAAAGAGCTAGCATTTACTGAGCACTTACTATTTCCCAGCCACACTGCAAAGCATTTGCATTCATTATTTCACTTAGTTCTTAAAACTGCACAAGGAAATAAATTCAGATGAGGATGCTGAGGCTGTAAAGGGCTGAGGCACCTGTCCAGTGTCTGACAGCTTATTATATGTTTTGGACAGGTAATTGTGAGAAAGCTCCAGCCAGTCTCTCCAGAGTCTCGAATGTGCTGTAATGCCCCTGCCAGAGGTGAAGGAGGAGGGGTTCTTCTTCTGATAACAAAACCAGAATCCTTAATCCCAGCCCGCCACATGATGTTATACCTCTTGAGCCATACTAAAGAAAACTCACTCCCCAGGATGGGAATCTAAGCTGGACTGCCTGAACTGCTCAGGCTCCCAACCTCAATTTTATCTTGGACTCCTCTTTCTCCCTCTCTTTCCCTTCCTCCTCACCATATCCAATTAGGCGTCAAATCCTAGCAAGTCTGCCTCCAAACTGTCAGATCCATTCTCTCCTTTCCACTGACTCTCTGCTAGTTACCCCACTTACTATTCACCTCCCTGCTGGGTTGTCTATTTCCTCTTTGGTCCTCCCTTTCAATCTTCATACCTGCAACAGCAAAGTTGTCTCAAACAGCCTGGATCATGACATTCACCTGTTCAGAAACACTCAAAGACTTCCCATTGCTTGCAACATGAATTCTTGTCAGTTTGGCGTTCAGAGATGCCTGCCATTTGGTCCTTACCTGCCTCACCAGTTTACTAATCCCCACTCCAGTCTCTCCACCTTCACTCCACATGCACTGCCATATCTGCAATTTCCTAAGCCATCCCTCCACATTCCAGCTGTCCCTCTACCTAGAACATCCTTCCTCTTCCACTCTTCCCTCAGTCCCCAATCCTCACTCCTGCTGTTGGTCTCATTTCTTCCTGTCAAAGACCTACATGTATAGTGAGGGCAAGGCCAGGCTTAAAAGAGTCAAAACCAGGCTATAAATTATCTATTAGGTAAGAAATACTTCAAAACTCTTTGTTCAAAAAGGGACTGCCTTAGTCAGGTTTAATCTCTCCTTCCTAGATAAGCCTGTTTCATTCTCTTTATGATTCTGTTGCTGTACTTATCAAATTCTGCTGCACGTGAAAGCTAATTGTGCACACCTCCAGCTCTCCCACCAGATTGTGAATGCCTGAGAAGTGAAAGCCATCTTAAACATCTTTGTTTCCTTACAGGCAGATGTTGAACCAAATCTCCAGTTATTGGTAGGAAAATTTGTGGTTATAGGGAGATGATTTTTTATTTGTCTGTAATAGGTAACAGTTATGAGATAGACAGATATACATCTCAATTACATATATTTGCTGTAAATACATATATACACACAGTTATACATAGTTACATATGTATATATAACTATGACTAATAGTAAAAACAAATAAATATTTATCAATTAAAATAAACTAAAGTTGTTGAGCGTAAATAGCTAATTATAAAATTTTATAAACCACATTTTCATTACTTGAGATTTGGCATCCACGCATCATTGTGTAATGAGATAGATATAGAACTTACATGGTTCTCTTCAATTACAAAATGAATAGATTTAAAGTGCAAAATGAAGTGGATATCTTTTAATATATAAAAAGCTCTTACAAATAGGAAGGAAAGCGCTAATTGCACAAAACAATAAAACAGGCAAACGGCACTAACAGCCACTTTTCAAAAAATAAATAAAATGGCTAATAAACATTGAAATTGCTTACTAGTAATCAGAAACTGCAAGTTAATATAATGGTGCATCTTTTTTAAATCCATCAACTTGGCTAAATTTTTCAAAGCTCATGACCATTCTCTCTGTTGGTAGGCTTCTAAATTGTTATAAACTCTCTGGAATGTATTTTGGTGATATGTATCAAGAGATTTAAAATATTCTTACTATTTGGCCCAATAACTGCCCTCCTGGAAATCTATCAAGAGAAAATAATCAGAAATGTAGGTAAAGATTTCTGTTAAAGAATTATCATCACAGAGTTACTCATAACAATAAAAAATTGGAAAAATCTAAATTATTAAATAATAAGAAATTCTATAACATCTATACAGTGGAATATTTTGCAATCATTAAAAATAACATTTTCAAAACCTATTTAATAATGTGCAAAATGACCAAAAGTAACAGGATAAAATAACTACACATTATGATCCTATTTTTGTTAAAATGTATTGGTGAGATAACAGGTAATTTTTTTATTTATACACATCTACTTTTCCCAAGTTTTTACACAGACAACATAGTTTTTATTCTTTAAAACCCAAAATGAAAATAAAAAGCGATACTTAATTGTCTTATTCCCAGTAGGAACCAAAACTCGAAGACCAAACAAGTCCGTTTTTTATTTCCTCAGCGAGTGAAAACGACCGACTTCAAGAAACTGCCAGAATGCTGCTCTAAGCTCCCATTTCAAAGAAATGGTGTGGTGTTTGTAATGGATAAATTTGAAGAGACAGCCAGTATTATTCTCATCTGTGATATATCATTTCTGCCTCTGATATAATCTTTAAAAAGAAAAAAAATCCACTTCCACTTCCCTTTAAGTCCCTACAACTGTACAGACACCACTTGGTAATAAAAACAGCCTTAAAACCATGTGCCTCATTATTTCACAGCTACTAACCATAAATAACAGTCTCATACTTTGGGGATTATAAATTATTCACATGAAAGTAACGCCAAATTATTAAAAGCCATTTGGATGAATCTGTGACCTCCTTTGGCAGCCACTGGTTTGAGTGACAGCCTGCAAGTCAGTGTGGTCAAAGCTTATATGGACTAGCCAAGACAAGCTCTTCCTCTTACTCACCAAGTTGCTTTGGTTTGAAGCCAGATGAACTACAATTCTGAGAAGAGAAAAAGTATTTTTCCATTCTGGAGCTCTGTTTGGGGTGATAAGTGTACCTTGGGAAATAGGAATACTCTTAATCCTTAATAGTTAACAAATCACTTTCACATGTATTAAACCTAATCACTTGCCATTTTTTTAAGAATTGCTGAGATATCTGGATTTTCTTGGAGATACAAAATAACTTCTGGTATAAATGCAAGAATGAAGAACATTTATTTACAATGTAGTATGAGAAAGATCTATTCATTTTGTCATACTTTTGTAGTGAATAACATTTTGCTAAATGATACATATAGCAGAGCATAAAACCAAAAACACATACTTTTTTTTTTTTCTTGAGATAGAGTCTCGCTCTGTCCCCCAGGCTGGAGTCCAGTAGTGCAATCTCGGCTCACTGCAACCTCGGTTCACTGCAACCTCTGCCTCCTGGATTCAAGTGATTCTCCTGCCTCAGCCTCCCAAGTAGCTGGGACTACAGGCACATGCCACCACGCCCGGCTAATTTTTTGTATTTTTAGTGGAGATGGGATTTCACTGTGTTAGCCAGGATGGTCTCAATCTCCTGACCTCTTGATCTGCCCACCTTGGCCTCCCAAATGCTGAGATTACAGGCATGAGCCACAGCGCCTGGCCATAATCAAAACTTGACTATCACAAGATCACTTCCGTGTAGTAACAGGTGACTGAGCTCAGAATTCTGTAAGTACACCCTACCTGCATTGCCTTCCCTTTGGAAAGCCATATCTCTGCTCAGCTTGTAGTAAAAGATGCTAATTTGATCACACTGATTCCTTTCAGTGCAAAGACTGAATTGTTTTTAGACCACTGGTGATTAATGTGGGTATTGATTAGCTGATCAATAAGGCCACAGTGTCTAATTATTGATAATCCCTCTCCAAATGAAAGATCGAGTGTAAGGAGTCCCAGTTACAGAGTTCAAAATACAAAGTGATTCAGTGTGATGCTTGGTAATTGAAAGTCAAACTAATCCCATAAATTAAATCACAACAATCCATAACATTTACCTGATAAATCCTCTGGAAGCTGTATTTAATTTTTACTATCCTGGACTTGTTTCCCCCTCTGAATGTCTTAAAGCACACAACTTGTGGAGGGAGGTAAAAATCATTCTAAAGCGATTTGTCTTTATGAAGTAAGAGATCTAATGGCACCATCACTGATAGTTACATATTTTAAATAATGGTTTCAACTCCATATCACATTATAGGATGAAGAATAAAGAAAACTTACCATGAATGCTCAAGAGAATGAAGACTGTCCCTAATACTTGGACTCACAGAGCTGAAGATTATGAGATTATGAACTCTCCCTCTTGCTCTCCTATGGTTTAAAAGACTTATGATTGTCATACAGCTAGCCAGAGGGCAAGACAGGCTTGGGGATCTAGGTCTGTTACAACTGCTGCCCTTTCTTGTCATATAAAGAGTAGGTAAGCATTATTTTGAACTAGGGTCAAAAACGTACTCATATAGTCAATGGCCATGACATGCAATAAAAATAAAATTTCTTTTATATTCTTAGACAGATCTCAATTTGCTCCAACACCCCTGCAATTTCCACTGGCAATGTGGGGGCAAGGTGAGGAGACCCTGCCGATGAAAGATCAATCTCCATTTGAGGTTACCTCAGTCTCTTTTAGATACAGGCTTGATTTGGAAAATCATTTCTTCCTCCTCCCTTGCTCCTCCTCAAGATTGCATCCAAGTCTATGAGGGCTTATGTGATCCCATGGGAGTGAGAGAGGAGAGATTTGGATCTGTATGGGCTTTTGCCTGTCTACTGGAATTCACTAAAATCTGCCAGGGGGTGGCGGATCTGATTCCTTGGAGCTCTGTACTGGTCACTACTAAGGCACAGCTCCTCCTGCCTAGTATTTTTTCTTCTGTTTTTTCTTTTGCAATTTTACTTTGACACATTTGATATCTGCAAAATAATCAGCATAATATATATATGAGTTAGAGAGTATAATAATAAACACTCATGAATCCACCACCAACATAAGAAATAATCAATGCCACTGAAATCTCCTATCAGTCTCTTCCCAGTACCCCCAACCCAGGTGTAACCACTCTTCTTAAGTTTTCTGTTTATCATTCCTTTCCCTTATCTCTAAGAATTTACAATATGGACTTATGTGCTCAAAAAGTATAGCTTTTTGTTTTGCTTGTCTTTGAATATCATATCATGGTTCATAGTGTATGCATGCTTTATGGCTTACTTTCTTTTACTCAAGATTCTAAGATTCATCTATTCTTATCTCTGTGAATTCTTAAGCCAAAGTCCAAGTTGGTGAGAACAGAGTCTCCGAGGAACCCAGACTGCATTTTCATCTTGCCTTTGCTCCTCAAAAACATTCCCCTTCCTCCCACTGTGCTGAGGTTTCTACATCCTCCCCCTATCTGGTGAGAACATCTCTTTCATCATATTGTCCTCTCTGAACAATTATTTGGAGTAAAACTCTATTATACATACATTAATCAAACCAGGCTGTTTATATGTAAATGGAAGCTTTATAAAATTTAGGAAATCTCACTCTTTTCCAAGAAAGCCTAGCTTTTGGACTTCTGTTTCCAGATAAGGCAATGTACCTTGCATCAATCCAACCCTCACATAAAAACATCTTAAAAACTTTATATAGTGCTTTGTTTTTGTTGTTAAGCAGGTACTTGAAGCCATCAAAGAGCAACCAAAGCATCCCAGACTTCAGGAGCCCAGATCTCAGAGAAAAGCAAAAGATATTGAAAGTGAGCTTGACTTTCTCTACCTTCTCTCCTCATAAAGCATTTGCCAATTTGTAAGAGGTTCAGATAAGAGGCTTTAAAGAAAGTGGCAGCTCAGCACTCGTGTCAATAAATATAGAGGGGTGAATTAAGTATCTATATGTAGAAAAAATTAATCTTGACCTTCTACCTTGTACAAATACACAGAAATTATCTCCAGGTAGATTTTAGACATGTATGGGAAAAGTAAAACATCAAAGCTTTTAGGGGATGACATAGGAGAATGTCCTCATGACCTATAGGTGGGCAAGGATTTCTCAGACAAAATACAAAAGCTTTAAAAATCAATCATAAAGGAAAATATTGATAAATAAGACCACTTTAAAATTAAGATGCTTTTTAGGAAAAGACACTTTTAAAAGCATAAAAAGGTAAGCCAATAGGAAGAAGGTATATTTCTGACAAAAATTTTATTTACAAAGGTATAGAGATCTATAAATCAACAAGAAAACCTGCCAAAACAATTTTAATGAGAAAAATAAACAAACAAAAAAGACAACTTGAATAAGCATGTTACAAAAGAAGATAAATAAATGGCCAGTAAAATATGAGAAGGTGGTCAACATCATTAGCCACTAGGGAAATGCAGTTTAAAACTACATGGGATCCTACCATATACACACAAAATAGCTAAAATAGGACAGACGAGTCACAGTAGGAAGTATTGGCACCTGGAATTTCCACTTACTGTACTGAAAAATAAATTGTAGTACGGTCATAACATGAAATGCTATACATCTGTGAAATTGAAGAAACTAATCTGCACACAACAGCATGGCTAAATCTCACAAACCTAATTTTGAGAGAAAGAATTCAGATAAAAATTACCAAATACTGGATGATTCATTTTACATACAGTTCAAATATAGGCAAAACAAATCTATGGTGATAGAAGTTAGACCAGTGGTTACTTCGCTGGGGTATAATGAGAGGGAGGGAGCAGAGAAACTTCTGGGCCACTGGTAAAACTCTTTATCTTGATGTGGATAGTGGCTACCCAAGTGCATACACTTTGCAGAAATTCATCAAGCTGGACACTCATGATTTGTGCACTTTTTGTCAGTATGTTCTAGTCAATTGAAAAGTTTACTTTAAAAAAACAACAGCCTATCTTTTGAGACAATTATCTTAGTGCAGATCAGAAGTCCTATTTCATCATTGAATCTTTCTCTCTTTTTATTCTGCCTCTGGCTGGATAGAAGAATCATGTAAAAGGAAGTACAAAAAGGAAAAGAATGTTAATATAATTCAAAAATATTATCCCTGTTACACTTTTGATAAAACCTAGAATCAAAAGAACAGAAATAGGTGTCAATTAAAACTGTAATGTATTTCTTCAGATAATGGCAAAAATATCTTTGAGAGGATATGCTTTGTGGTAATGAGGATGTTTGAATATAGACATTCTATATAGTATTGGTGCATGCATTCTGGAGGAAAATTTGGAAAAAAAAAACTTTAAAATGCATACCATTTGACCTAACAATGGCCTTCCCAGGAATCTGACTTAAAGGAAAGAAGATCTGTGCACGGATTTACCCACAAAGCTTTCTTTGCAATATTCTTTAAAATATAAAGAAATGTAGAAAAAAAATCTGTTCAAGAGTAGAAAAATTATTCCGCATTTATATATAAAATTGTAGAAAATATCTATTGAGAAAGCGTGATGCTCATATGTATTTTTCATTATTTTTACTTGACAAATAGTTTTTTATATTAATGGAGTATTATGTGATATCTCGATATATGTAGACATTGTGGAATGGTTATATTAAGCCAATTAACATATCTATCACCTCACATGCCATTTTTTAGTAAGAACATTTAAAATCTATTTTAAAAACAATTTTGAAGTGTACCATATATTATTATTAACTATGGTCACCTTGCTGTGCAATAAATCTTCAAAATATATTCCTCCTGTGTAACTGGAACTTTGTACTCTTTGGTCAACTTCTTCTCACTGCCCATCTCCCCACTCCCAGCCTCTGGTAACCATCATTCTACTCTCTACTTTTCTAAATTCAACTTTTTATAGATTCCATATATAAGTGAAATCACATGGTATTTTTCTTTCTGTGCCTAGCTTATTTCACTTAGCATAATGCCCTCCAAGTTTGTTCATGTTGTCACAAATGGAAATTTCCTCCTTTTTTAACACTGAGTGGTATTCCATTGTGTATATATACCACATATTCTTTATCCATTCATTCACTGATGGACACTTTAGGTTGATTCTATATCTTGGATACGGTGAATAAAGCTACAATATTCACACTTTGTTATACATGAGAGAAAGCAAGTCATTAAATATAAGCAGACAAGACAGGATTTCACTTTGCTGATATGCATTGAAGAAAAGTCCAGAAGAGCACACTTTAAAGAGGAAGAATTGCCTGTGAATGGTGGAGTCATTTGCTCATTAATTAACTCAACATTTACTCTATACACCAGGCCCAATGTTTGAAAACACATGTATTAAGATAGACACATACTCTGCCAATACGGAGGTTAAAGCCTGGAAGAAGTCAGAAAACACCACCCATCAGCTGGGCATGGTGGCTCAACCTGTAATCCCAGCACTTTGGGAGGCCAAGGTGGGAGGATCACTTGAAGCCAGGAGTTCAATACCAGCTTGGGCAACATAGTGAGACCACCCCCCTGATCCCCCACCCTGATCCCTACACAATTTTTTTTTAATTAGCCAGGCATGGTGGTGCACACATGTAATCTTAGCCACCTGGGAGGCTAAGGCAGGAGGATCTCTTGAGTCCAAGAATTCAAGGCTGCAACGAGCTATGATCAGGCCACTGCACTCCAGCCTGGGCAACAAGACTAGACCTTGTATCTTTAAAAAAAAAACAAAAAAAAAACAAAAAAACCCCACCCATCTGACCCCATTAGAAACCTCCTGAACAAAGGCACCTAAACCATTGCAGGCATTAGAGTTGTTCAAAGCATTCATAGGCAAGAAATGAAGGCTTTTTAACCTGAAGTTTCCCAGCTACAATTTAAGGACATTTCCTCTGGCTGTTTACTCAGCAAAGGGGAGAAAGAGCTGGTCACCTCCTGTCTCCAGTTGCTCCACACTAGAAATGGAAATCAATTTAAAATTATTAAATCATTTCTAAGAGCCAAGAGGGTCATGGTGTCATTTTTGTTTGAGTTCGAGTTTGTCTTAAATGCTAAGGCCAGCCTCAAAATATAAAAAGAGCAGAGCAGAGGCATAATTAAAATGAGTGAGATTCATATTTTCTCATTTTATTTATTCTTGATCTGGGCACCCATGGAATAATAGTTCTATACCTTTAGTCACACAATAATTGTAACCTAGTGGTTGAAAGCAGAGATATTGGAGCCAGGCTTCCTGGATTCAAATCCTATGTCTGACATTTCTGAGTTTTGTGAACAAGGACAAGTTACTTAAGGTCTCTGAGGCTTAGTTTCCTTATCCGTAAATGCAGGTAACAATAGTAAATACAGTATGCTGTTGTGAGGATTAAATGTGATGATATAAAGTTCTTGTGACAGAGCCTGCCTGGTGAAAAGTAAGTTCTCAAAATTAGTTTATTATTATTGCATTCTCAATATAAAGTGACTCCCCTCTTTAATGGAAACATAAAGGATTTCTGCACATACTTGAGTTGCAACATACCCAAATCAAGAATTCACACAGAAGAGGCCGGGTGCACTGGCTTACACCTGTAATCACAGCACTTTGGGAGGCTGAGGCGGGTGGATCACTTGAGGTCAGGAGTTTGAAACCAGCCTGCTCAACATGGCAAAACCCCGTCCCTACTAAAAATGCAAAAATTAGCCGGGTGTGATGGCACACGCCTATAGTCCCAGTAACTTGGGAAGCTGAGGCAGGATAATTACTTGAACCAGGGAGTTGGAGGTTGCAGTGAGCCAAGATCATGCCACTGCACTCCAGCCTGGGCAACAGAGAAAGATTCTGTCAAAAAAAAAAAAGAAAGAAAAAAAAGAAAAAAAAGAAAAAGAAAGAAAGGAAGGAAGGAAGGAAGGAAGAGTTCACATGGAAGAAAAAGAGCCACCTCTCAGCACAATCTATCAGATTATATTTGAAATTTGAAAATTGAGTAATTAATTATCTGGCTAATTTGTTCAATTTAGATAACCAATAAGAATTGTTAAATCATTTTTTTACAAACAAATCTTTGTTTTTATTTTAAAATTTGTCCTCTGTTCTTCACTTCGTATTTGCCACTAGAATGTCAATTTCCTGTATTCCATGCTGCTCAGCACCCACCTAAGCCCATACTCTCCTGGAACCTCCTTGTCTCATTGTGGCTTCAGAGGAGCAGGATGGTGCAAAGCCTGCTTGGAAGTGATGTAGACACCGAAGAGGTCATGTTTGACAATTATTTTTGCCCTGCCAGTCCCCAAGCTCATGGATTATTTACATAGTGCTTTACAATTGCTGGATCAGATCATATAATTCTCTCTCTAGGTGTCATGGTTGGTTAGATAACTCTAGTTATAGCCTCATTCACTTAAGTCATAATAATTTCATATGTACAACAAGCATGGAGCCATGTGAGGCTGGGGAGATTTAGGGATTGCTCTGCCTGAAATCCATAATCATTGCATTCAGCGTAATCAAGATCCCATCCTCTCTTTCTTACAGTATCAGAAGAGGGGGAGGGAGGGAGGCAAAAAGGGGAGAAGAGAGGGAGAGAGGAAGGAATCTCATGATCCCATATCCCCCTCTCTAGTTCTTCATTTCATTGTTTTCCTTTTATAGGAAACTAAGAAATGGAGGAAATTCCTCCATATGGGTTACTCCATGGCGTTTCTTCCCATTCCCTCTTAAACTGTCTCCAGAGTTTCACATCTACCACACTACCAAAGCTTCTCCCTCCATACTGTTAAAAGCTATAATCAATTCCCATCTACTCTAACCTCTCTGTTACACCACCACCTCTTTCTCTTGTCCTTCCTCAAGATTTCTGTCCCTCTCCCTCTAGTTGCCTAACATTATTGGCTCAATATTGGTAAAATTTCCACTCACCTGGAACAGTGGATGACTTCTGGACCTTCTGCTCCTCCTGAACCACAAAAAAAGTGAATCTGAAACCTTGAGAAAAAGAATCATCCTATATATAAACCCATTTTTCAATCAGTGGTAAATCAGCACCTCCTTGATCCTTTATCTTCCACAAACATAAAAAGTCTGGTTTGAAAGCAATCAAGAAGTAAAAAATTTCTAAGAAATCAGTGCTGAGAAAGTTCACCTTCTATTGCCTCAATCACCAGTTGTGGGTAACTCTAGGTGATCTTTACTAAATTGAGGTGAGAATCTGAATGATTAGCAAAGATTGTTGAGAGTGATGAGAGACAGAAGTCTGCTGTTCACATAGTTCCTCCTCTCTTCCCTCCTCCTCTCACCAATGATTATGGGATAAATATGTCAGGAGGAAAAGCTAGATTGAAAAAAGAAGGAAATTATTTATTGCAATTCCTCTGAATATGTTCCATTTTCTCTTTCTTCCTCATTTCAACATAGCATGCACTAGTAAAATTGTTAAATTTCCAGATGAAAAGAAGGATGTAACATCTTATAAAAATAACTAACTTTCCCAACAAATCCCCCCACTTGTGATCATGTACATTAATGATTTTATGTAAATGTGTATGTATTCGTTTGTACTCAGTAGATGTTCAATAAATATATAAATGGGTGCATAAAAATTAGTGAGGTTGACAGAAGCTCTTCTGTCAAAGTGGAATAACAAAATCAGATCTTAGAGAACATCTTTGCAATGTGAAGAATTTTTAATAAACTCACTGAACCAATCGAAAGCCAGCAGTCATTGACCAGCGTCTCTTTTAAATGGTTAATTTGATTCAACAACATTTTATTGTAGTCTACTGTGCAATAACTGTATTAGTCACATTTTAAGCACTAGAACCAGATACTTTTATTTTTATTTTATGTATGTATGTATTTATTTATTTATTTTAGAAGCAGAGTTTCACCATATTGCCCATGCTGGCCTCAAACTCCTAGGCTCAAGAGATCCTCCTACCTTGGTCTCCCACAGTTCTGGGGTTACAGGCATGAGCTACCATGCCTGGCCATGAAAAACTTTTAAAGACAAAAAAATGAGAGACACGAAGATGTAGCTTCTACTAAGGCCCAACAGTTGTAAAACCCCAAAGCTGCATCTGAAGCAGTCAACATCAATCTAAGCCATAAGCTATATATGAGCTTAAATTCCAAACTTGTACCTTCATTACCATATTTCAACTCATTTTACTTTAGAACGGAAACCCTTCTTCTGGTGGTTACTCACTGACAAATTATTAGAAATAACTGAAGTCAGAAGTTTCAGGACAGGCCATGCATGGCGGCTTATGCCTGTAATCCCAGCACTTTTGGAGACAAAGACAGGAGAATCATTAAGCCCAGGAGTTTGAGACCAGCCTGGGCAACAAAGCGAGACCCTGTCTCTACAAAAATTTTGAAAATAAAAATAAAATGAAAAAAAGAA